>NC_000001.11:64402319-64705350 GCF_000001405.40 Homo sapiens | reverse complement strand
TTAGATTTTTTTCCATTATAGATTAATTTTACCTGTTCTAGAACTTCATATCAAAGGATCTATCCCAAATGTGCTCTTTTGTGTTCTTTTGCTTAGTATAACATCTATGAGATTCAGCCGTGATGTTATGTATATCATGTTCATCCTTTTTTTTTTTTTTTTTTTTTTTTTTATGGAGTCTCACTCTGTTGTGCCTAGGCTGGAGTGCAGTGGTTCGATCTCAGCTCACTGCAACCTCTGCCTCCTGGGTTCAAGTGATTCTTCTGCCTCAGCCTCCTGTGTAGAAGGGATTACAGGTGTGCACCACCATGCCTGGCTAGTTTTTTGTACTTTTAGTAGAAACGGGGTTTCACCATGTTGGCCAGGCTGGTCTTGAACTCCTGACCTCAGGTGATCTGCCCGCCTCGGCCCCACAAAGTGCTGGGATTATAGGCGTGAGCCAACGTGCCTGGCCCGTGTTCATCCCTTCTTATTGCTGAGTAGTATCTTATGCTTTTAATTTTGAATTTTAAATTATTTTCATAATACAAACGATACATGTTTACATTTTATCCTGCAAAAATGTGAAACATGACAGATCAGAAGTCTAATATCTTTTGCCCACTGCTGCCCCTTCTTATACCTACCTAGAGGCAATTACTGGGGTCTGTTGGTTCAGAGCCTAATGATTTTTTCTTTCTATGTATTCACAAACATGTATCTGTTCTTTTAGAAAACAGGTAATTTTACTGTGTTTTTTTTTTTTTAAGAGAGCAGGCATCACTATATATCTGCAATTTGCTTTTTTTTTTTTTTTTTTGAGGCAGGATCTTGCTCTGTTGCCCAGGCTCGAGTGGAGTGGTGCGATCTCAGCTCACTGCAGCCTCCACCTCCCAGGTTCAAGTAATTCTCATGCCTCAGGGTCTGGAGAAGCTGGGATTACAGGCACGTGCCTTTTGTATTTTTTGTAGAAACGGGATTTTGCCATGTTGACCAGGCTGGTCTCGAACTCCTGGCCTCGAGCAGTCCACCCGCCTCGGCCTCCCAAAGTGCTGGTATTACAGGTGTGAGCCACCATGCCCGGCCGCTTTTTTTACTCAACAATATATCGTAGATATAACCATGTCTGTGTAGAGAAATTTACCTTATGTTTTAAAATGGTGCATAGTATTTCATAATATAGATATTCAATATTTGAGTCATTACTGAGATGGTTTCTAGTTTTTTCCATTTCAACAAATGCTGCAGTAAACCTATTTGCCAAATTTCCTGGTGCACATGTGTTTTTATTTTGTTTTGTTTGGTTTTAGACAGAGTGTGGCTCTGTTGCCCAGGCTGGAGTGCAGTGGTGCGATTTTGGCTCACTGCAATCTCTGCCTCCTGAGCTCAAGCAATCCTCCCACCTCAGCCTCCTGAGTAGTTGGGACTACAGGCGCATGCTACCACACCTAGCTAACTTTTAACGTTTTTTGGTAGAGACAGGATTCCACTATGTTGCCCAGGCTGGTCTCCAACTCCTGGGCTCAAGCAATCTGCCTGCCTTGGTCTCCCAAAGTGCTGGGATACAGGAATGAGTCACTGTGCCTGGCCCCATGTGTTTTTGTAGTATAGGTGTGGAGAAGTAGAATTTCTGAGTCAGAGAGTTATGAACATTTAAATTTCAATAGATTTGCCAAAGTACCTACACAAATTTATATACTCCCACTAATGCTTAGAGTGTTAAGACAACTTTGAAATTTTGGCTTCTCTATGGTTGAAAAATCTTACCCCATTTTAATTTGTATTTCACAAATTCTAAAAAGTTTGGATTTTTTTTCTCATGATTACTAGCTATTTGTCTTGTCTTTTCACTGAAGAGGAACTCAGTTCAGTGTTTTTATTGGGTCATTTCTCTTTTGCTTGCTAGGTTTCTAGGAGTTCGCTTTAATATACATTAGCATTCTAAGTGCCAACCTTTCTTCTATTTTTTTTTTTTTTTGCAATTAAAATGACCCCATTTTGGGGAGGAAAGGCTATTTTTGTGGTACAAAACTTTTAAATTTTCCCAACCTTTGGGTTATGAGTTTTGCTTTTTCAGGCTCTAAGAAGGTCTTCTTCACTTTAAGGTCATAAGCATAGGGTTTTATTTCCTTCTGAGATTTTTATAGTTGTAGGTTGATTTTGATGTGCTTGTGGGACATTTGGATAAATAGAGCAACTCCACTCCAATCTCTTCCAGTCTTCTAGCAAGTAAACATATTCCTACCACTTCAGGTATCTTGAATTTACAATTGTGTCTTTCACCCTATTTCCAGTTTGGCAGTGAGCGGGCTTTCAGTGGGGAGGCTAAATAAACAATATAAAAATATCCTATTTTAGGGTCTTACATTCCTCTTTAAAATCCACCATAACAATAGCCAAGATTTGGAAGCAACCTAAATGTCCATCAACAGATGAATGGATAAAGAAAATGTGGTACATATACACAATGGAGTACTATTCAGCCATAAAAAAGAATGAGATCCTGTCGTTTGCAGCAACAGGGATGGAACTGGAGGTCATTATGGTAAATGAAATAAGCCAGGCACAAAAACACAAACATCACGTGTTCTCACTTATCTGTGGGAGCTAAAACTTAAAACAATTGAACTCATGGAGATAGAGAATAGAAGGATGGTTACCAGATGCTGGGAAGGGTAGCTGGGGTGGGGTGGGGAGAAAGGGGACACAGTTATTGGGTACAAAAAATAGAATAAGTAAGATCTAGTATTTGTTGGCACCACTGGGTGACTACAGAAAAAATAATTTAATTGCTCATTTAAAAATAACTAAAAGAGTATAATTGGATTGCTTGAAATGCAAAGGATAAATGATTGATGTGATGATACCCTATTTACCTTGATGTGATTATTACGCATTGCATGCCTGTATCAAAACATCTCATGTAACCCATATGTATATATGTCATGTACCCACAAAAATTAAAAATTAAATAAAATATACTTTAAATTCTGTTCAGACAAAAAAATAATGTATTCACTCAGTAAATATGTTTTAGGTGCCTGCTTGAGATAGGCATCAGGATGTAGCATGAAGACTGATTTTCTCCTGACCAGGCAGTGCTTACAGGCTGGTGAGGAGGCAGAAATAAAACAAATAACAGTAAGTGTGATTAGAGCCAAGAAGGAGACATCAAGCATAGGGTGCTGACACCTATCCAGATGTCCACTGAGGTCATGCTGTCCTTGGAGGCTTAAATAAAATTAGCTTGGACCTTTCATCCCATGTCTTGCAGGAAGTCCAATAACTTTCTCAAGATTCCTGTGAATTCATCAGGGCTTTGCTATCCTTGGCTCTGAGCCTTTGCCCCACTCAATTCTGTTTCACTTTTCTCCCATCCCTGCAGCTGTTCTCTTCTCTCTGCTCTGCCCTGGCCCGTTGGAACTTGGTTCATTCTCCTTGATTTCCCCTCAAGTCACTCATTCGAGGTGTGAGTTTATGAAACTCCAGTGAAACTTTGAGGAGCTTTACACTCACCACTCCTTCAGCTGTCTTCCACTGGTGCCTGTCATGATGTTCACTGGTGACCTTTCTCCGTGGGTACCAAAGCCTTTGTGCTTGGGTCCCGTTTCTGCCTCAAGACTTTCCACATATCTCCCAGCTTCTTGATTCAGAAGCTCAATTTATCCCAGTTTATTATGCAGACCCATGTCACATAATAAAGAGGCTCCTCCGGCTGAGTGCGGTGGCTCACGCCTGTAATCCCAGCACTTTGGGAGGCCGAGGTGGGCAGATCACTTGAGGTCAGGAGTTCGAGACCAGCCTGGCCAAATGGCGAAACCCTGTCTCTACTAAAAGTACAAAAATTAGCTGAGCGTGGTGGCACTCGCCTGTAATGCCAGCTACTCAGGAGGCTGAGGCAGGAGAATGACTTGAACCCAGGAGGCAGAGGTTGCAGTGAGCTGAGATCGTGCCACTGCACTCCAGCCTGGGCCATAAAGCGCAAATCCGTCTCAAAAAAAAAAAAAAAAAAAAGAGGCTTCTCCTTTAATAGCACAGCAAAAACTGACAGGTGAGTCAGAGTTTCAGCCTTTCTTTGTTTCCCTCTGTAAGTGGAAGGGACCAATATGCAGGTAGATTTTCCCTTTGATAAGAACTATGCTCCCTCTCTTGTTAGCAGGCAGGAGCACAGCCAAACTTAGTTTTGCATTTAGGTAACTTCTTTTGCATGCTAGTGTATCGTGGGTAGTCACTGAGAAAGTAGCATGGAAGCGGAGATCTGAGGAGGAGTGGTTGTTATTCAGGTGAGGGATGGGGCTGGGAGAGATGGGCTTGGAGAAGAAGTGGTCCAGGTAGAGTGAGCAGCGAGTGCAAAGACTCTGAGGTAGAGTAGAGCAAGGTTTACTCAAGAAATTAAGAGAAGGCTGGGCATGGTGGCTCACACCTTCAATCCCAGTATTCAAGTACTTTGGGAGGCTGAGGTGGGAGGATTGCTTGAGTCCAGGAGTTCAAGACCAGCCTGGGCAACATAGCAAGACCCTGTCTCTACAAAAAATTTAAAAGTTAGCGAGGCTTGATGGCATGTGTCTGTAGTCCTAGCTTTTAAGGAAGCTGAATTGGGAGGATTGTTTGAGCCCAAGAGGTTGAAGCTACTATTGAGCCATGACTGTGCCACTGCACTCCAGCCTGGGTGACACAGTGAGACCCTAACTCTTAAATTAAAAAATAAATAAATAAATAAAATAAAAAGATGAATTAGGGGACAGAAATCTCCTGCAGAACCAGCCCGTGGTAGGTGTTCTCTTGTCAGTAAGAAATGCTGGTCACTTGCTGTGTTGAAACTGAAAAGGGAAGAGGAGTCCAGTTTTGGCCTCAGATTATTGGCTAAAGGCAATGAAGGAATGAGTTGTCTGTTCTTGTTTTCCAGAGCTGGTCTCTGCTTACTCCTTAGGAAAGAATTCTGGTTAAAGCTTAGTAAGGAAGGGGCATCTTGAGGTGCGTCGGACCTCTGGTCCCATCATGGCTGGGAAATCAGTTTTTAAGGTTTCTCTGGGGTCCCCTTGGCCAAGAGGGAGTCTGGTCAGTCAGTGTGGGGGCTTAGGATTTCATTTTTATTTCTCAAAGTGTAGGTGGTATAACATTTTGAATGCACAAAATGCCACTGAATTGTACAGTTTAAAGTGGTTAGTTTTATGGTATGTGACATGCATACTTATCAGTCATAGGAGTGGGCACTTCAATAACAAAAAGATCACTCTGCCCACCGCATAGAGAATGAATTGGAGGAAACAAGAATGGAGAGAGGAAGGCCAGGCATGGTGGCTCACGCCTGTGATCCCAGCACTATGGGAGGCCAAGGCAGGTGGATCACCTGAGGTCAGGAGTTCAAGACCAGACTGGCCAACATGGCAAAACCCCATCTCTACTAAAAATACAAAAATTAGCCGGGTGTGATGGTGCATGGCTGTAATTCCAGCTATTTGGAGGGTGGCTGAGGCATAAGAATTGCTTGAACACAGAAGGCGGAGGTTGCAGTGAGCTGAGATCCCACCACTGCACTCCTGCCTGGGCAACAGAGCAAGACTGTCTGAAAAAAAAAAAAAGAAAAAGGAAAAGAATGGAGAGGAGAACAACAGGCAGGCTGCTGCAGTGTCCAGGTGCACAGTGACAGTAGCTCAGAGTAGGGAAGGGACAATGGGATCTCTGGTGCTGGAACTGCTGGGGAGATACTCATGTGGAGAACCACACAGACAACTGCATAAGGGGGCAGGATTTTAGGAAACAGACAGCGGGGCAGAGGTAGGGGTGCAGACGCAGGAGGAGGAGCGCATTTACAGATTCCAGGGGAAGTCACGACCCGGGATGAACTCAGCAGGGGCAGCACGTGCAGCAATGTGGCCACAGGAGGAGGCCGTTTGTGAGGTCTTGAGCGAACACTGTGATTTTGAAATATGAGCCCAGAAAGACAGAGAAACATGAACAGTAATGTGAGGGGAAAGCAAAGCTAAGGAAGTTTTGTATTTTTAGGTTAGAGGATAATTGAATGTGCACTAGGCTCAAAGAGTAGGAACCACTGGTGGGAAAGCGGAGCTGAGGCTATGCATTTTTGATGCAACTAGATCAAAAGTGTACAGGCTGGCCCTGCAAGGGAGCAGGAACATTGCTTCCTCTGAGAGAGAATAGAGAGCAGGATGATGCCTGAGAGCAATTTTTATGTGGTAGGGGTAAAAGTTATGGGACTTCTACCCAAATGCGAGGGTAGAACCTAAGGGCAGCTTTGGAGAAACTGTGGCAGGACAGAAAAAAGGGGCAAAGGATGTGGACATGTTTGGGAAGGTTTTTTTGTTTATTTGTTTGTTTGTTTTGAGACAGAGTCCCGCTCTTGTTGTTCAGGCTGGAGAGCAATGGCGCAATCTCAGCTCACTGCAACCTCTGCCTCCTGGGTTCAAGTGATTCTCCTGCCTCAGCCTCCCGAGTAGCTGGCATTACAGGCAAGTGACACCACACTCAGCTAATTTTTGTACTTTATTAGTAGAGATGGGGCTTCACCATGTTGGCCAGGCTGGTCTTGAACTCCTGACCTCAGGTGATCCACCCGCCTTGGCCTCCCAAGCCGCTGGGATTACAGGTGTCAGCCACTGTGCCCGGCCATGGGAAGGGATTTTAGAGGGAAGTGCAAGTGAGTAAACTGGGTCTGGATAAAGGATTGCCAAGGATCCCTGAAAGTCAAGAACATACCTTTGGAGGGGAGCCAAGCATCTCGTTATGTAATTTTTTTTTCCCCCAAAAGTACTAGGCCTAAGAACTAAGAGTAATCCTGGTGGGTATAGTGTTACATAAAATACTTTAATCAAGTCTCACTGAAATAGAATGGGAATGGCATAAAAGAAATACAAGTAGTATTATAAGAAATAGGATTTGAAAATCTTTCGTATATAAGTTCTCTTTTCAAAAGAAATGTTATTTAAAACTATTTTGAATAGATAACTCTATATTTAAATTAGCCATTAGGAATTATTTTTGCATTTAGGAGTACATCTATGTCATATAAATTATTATAATAAAATATAGGCCGCTTTTAAAAGGCCCATCTACTGAAACTGTATGTTTTAGGAAGTTGTTGAGGGTTTTCGTACCAGAGATAACATTAAAAAAAATCTCAAACCTGCAACATTATGTAAATTGTTAGTACAATATACTAAAAAATCTATTGTACTAATTGATTAAGCATATGATTTGGAGAAATCATTTGGCTTCATTCACTGCTTTAAATATTATATATATTATTATAACTTGCAACTAATTATGACTGCAGTTGGCACTCTAGAAATTTAGTGGTGTAAGTCTAGGGTGTGGTGCCATGAGCGCTACAAAGAGGAATAAGAAATAGTCCCTGCCCTGAGAAAGCTGATGTCTAGTTGGGGCTATAAGAGTTCATATGAAAAGGAGGGACTAGCGTCCTGGCTCATGCCTGTAATCTCAGCACTTTGGTCAGGAGTTTGAGACCAGCCTGGCCAACATGGCGAAGCCCTGTCTCTACTGAAAACACAACAATTAGCTGAGTGTGGTGGCGCATGCCTGAAGTCCCAGCTACTTGGGAGGCTGAGGCATGAGAATCCCTTGAACCCAGGAGACGGAGGTTGCAGTGAGCCGAGATCGTGCCACTGGACTCCAGCCTGTGTGACAGAGGAAGACTCAGTCTCAAAAAAAACCCCAAACAAAAAACAAAAAACAAAAAACAAACCAGTTCATATGAAAAGGCAGCTAACATCCAAGCAAGATGAACTAGAATCTCATGACTGGTGGAGAAGTAAGAGCTTTGGAAGATTCAAAGGGTCAGAGCTCACTTTAAAAATCAGACATAGGGGTGGGTAAGTGGGGTAGTTAAGAAACCTGGCCATGGACTAAGGTGCATTTGAATTGAGACTTGTTGGGGTGAAAAGAGTGGTTATTTTTCTTAAGAGGCAAAGAGAACACACAAGAAGATCAAACACATAAATACACATACCACAGCAAGAAAGTCAGATGGTTTCTGGTCAGTAGACCAGCTGGCTGGAGTATAGCAGAGATGTGCAAGGGGTAGCAGGGTGAGGTTTTGAATTTAAGGAGGGTTTGAACTGTGGAACATGCCATTAGGAGAATTAGGTAGAGAAAGAGGCTAGACTGACAGCTCTTCTATAGTACTGACTAATCAGAGCTAAAGTATACTGAATGAATTAGCACACAGAAAGACCTTACCACAATGCCTATTACAAAGCAAGTGTTCCATGAGCGACATCAGCATTACTGTTATTGGGCGGAGGTGTGCAGAATGATCTTGACACCTCTAGCCACTTTATGCCAAACACATCAAACATTGACTCTTCATTCCTTATCCTCTGCACCAAACTGTTCCTGCTCATCTCCTCCAGCACAGCAAGTGATGTAATCATTCAAGCCAGGAACCCTTTTCTCACCACTCTCTATATCCGGCCCACAACCAGCCAGGCCCTATTCTTTCTGCTTCCAAAATATATGTTTCACCATTCCACTTTCCTTTGTCTTCACTGTCATCATCCTGCATTTACTTAGAATTCTGCAATGGTTTCCTGTCCACATTTCCGTTTTTGGTACCCTACAATGTATTTTCAATTCAGAATGGTCTTTAAGAAAATATAGATAGCCGGGCATGGTGGTATGTACCTGTAGTCCCAGCTTCTCAGGATTGCTTGAGCCCAAGAATTTGAAGCTGTAGTGTGCTATGATAGTATCTGTGAATAGTCACTGCATTCCAGCTTGGGCAACATAGTGAGGAGATATATATATATCTCCTCACCCTCCCCTCCCTTTACTTCACTGATTTTCTTGCCATAGCTTAAGGACTCAATTTTCCTGCCTCTTCATTCTCACTGCATCTCGCTTTCCCTCTGTTGACCAATGCACTAGACCTGATGCTTTCCTAGCTCAGGCCTACGGAGGTTCTATTCCCTCTGTCTGAAATATCTGCCTGCCCACTGTACCCTTGACTGTCTAGCTCTTTCTTATTCTTCAGGTGGCAGCTTCAACATCACCCTCTCAGAGGCTTCCCACGAGCATCAAATCTAAAGCAGGTTCTGTCCGCCCCCCCCAACTCCCACTGTGGGCTAATTCACCCATCACTCTTCCAATTCCTTCACAGCAAATAGCCCTATGCAAAGATGTACTTATATTTTTGTATTTGCTAGTTTTATGTCTATACCAGATGCTTTCAAGTAGAGGTATTAAAAAGCCAATTCAACTGATCTTAAACAATAGGACATTTTATTATCGCCCATGAGTGGAAATCCAGAGGTAGGATGGGATTCAGAGCTGGTTGAGTCAGCAGTTTAAGATGTCCTATTCTTTCATTCTCTGTACTCCACTGTCCATGGCATCAGTGTCACCCTGAAGCTGCTGACACTGGTGAAATAAAGATGACAGCCAGATAGGATGGATCTTACCTGCTGGCTTCTTCACATTTACTGGGAGACAGAGTCTTTCCTTGCAACCAAAGTCCTTTCAGTCAGATTGAACTAAATTAGGTCACATGTTTCCCCCTAACTATCATCAGGAACAATGCTTTATGCTGTTTGCAGTAAGTCTTAGTTTCTGACCAAATAAGTAGGATGGATTTATTATTCTTGTCATAGGAATAAGAAATCCCACCCTATGACTGAAGTCAATGGAACTGTGGGATAAACAATCCTGGGAGTCCAATACTGGGGAGTCAACCCTGTTATCCACTTACATCTCCACATTCAGTGTGGAAAGGGATCATGCCTGTTTCATTCATTCCTATATACTCAACTTCAGGCCTTCTTGCTTTCAACTCAGTGCTCTACCACCCCAAGCAATGACAAGCATGTGTAGCTTAAAAAGAGATGGAAGGCAACAAATAGTACTGAAAAAAGGGGCTGAAGTCAAAACTTTGGAGAACCCCTTTATTTAGGGCACACATTCTCAACGGAGGAGATACTGCCCATAAAGGAGTGAAAATGAATTCTTACAGAAGGAAAAGAAACAGAGATTACAATGATTTGTAGCTCTCCAAAACGCAACCCAATCCAAAAAAACCTTAACCTCTAGTATTTAATTTCCCTTGTTAGGGAGAATTTAAATTAAATTAAAATTTCTTCCTCAAGGGGAGGGAGCAATAATTAATAAAAAATGAGAAACATTGAATTAAGAGAAGGAAGGGGCCCTAATGAGCAATTTAGGGCTGATGAGAGAGAATGGAGGAAAT
This sequence comes from Homo sapiens, assembly GCF_000001405.40. Taxonomy (NCBI): domain Eukaryota; kingdom Metazoa; phylum Chordata; class Mammalia; order Primates; family Hominidae; genus Homo; species Homo sapiens. Next base: position 64,695,152 of record NC_000001.11, on the reverse strand, counting down.
CCAGAAAAATCTCAATCTCAATGTGTGTGTGTGTGTGTGTGTGTACTTAACTACAAAAAAATATCTAGTTATAGTTCCTAAGTAATAGATACGGAAACTTAAAATTCTTTTTAACTAAAACATTAGAAAAAAATTTCTGAATATGGCATTCTATCTCAGCCAGGAAAATCACTACTCCTGTCTTCTGAAACAGACCAAAAGGAACATAGATGAGACCTGGCTGGTATGGGTTTTTGTTTTGTTTTGTTGTTTCATTTTTAGAAAGGGTCTCACTTTGTTGCCCAGGCTGGAGTGCAGTGGCGTGATCTCAGCTCACTGCAGCCTGGACCTCCTGGACTCAAGCAATCCTCCCTTGAGAGTAGCTGGGACTACAGGCATGTGTCACCATGCTTGGCTAATTTTTGTATTTTTAGTAGAGACCGGGTTACACCATACTGGTCAGGTCAAACTCCTGACCAAGTGATCCACCCGCTTCAGCCTTCCAAAATGCTGGGATTACAGGTGTGAGACATGGCACCTGGATCCGGCTGGCATGTTTTAAGAATATAATTATTTTGCCAGATATAAATTTTTAAAAATGTGATCATTAGGATAGTCCATCGCCATGGGGAAATGAAATTGTGGTATTTCAGGACTTCTTTCCACATAACAGTCACTCTGAGAGGCAAAACAAGTTCATATTGCCTAAGTTTTTCAAATATATTATCAATGAGGTTTAGTTGAGTATTCAATCAACTGGAGGAAAAAACATACCCTACAGTATAGTTTACAAAATTTCTAAAATAAACCTATCTGAAATGCAGATGAACTGTATATACCATGAGGACTAGCATGAGCCTGAGCCACGTTTTCCTTGGGCTACAATAGGACATTTTTTTCCTAGCTATATAAAGTGACCTGGAATTTCCTTAGCTTTGATACTTACCAACATTGATAAGCAATGTTGGTTACTGGCAGCAGGAGGCTTTGGTGAATGAAAAGATATTGGTAGGACCTCCTTCAGGATCTCAGGGAAGACTCATGTTTAACAAACACTGGTAACTGGCACCATGATAAAAAGTCTCTGAAAACATATTTTTCCTTTTAAACAATGACAACAAATGTTTAAATGACATTATATGTAACCCTTGGATTAGATAAAAGATAATTATAGAGGATCAAAACTTCAGCCTATATGTCATATTTCACAGGATCTTTAAAACTCAGCAATGTTTTGGTTTAGGTATAAACATTCAATTACTTTCCCCTCAAGTTCGGAATAGGAAAAACTCTTACCACAAAAGATACAAAATGGGCCGGGTGCAGTGGCTCACGCCTGTAATCTTAGCACTTTGGGATGCCAAGGCGGATGATCATTTGAGGTCAGGAGGTCGAGACCAGCATGGCCAACACGGTGAAACCCAGTCTCTATTAAAAATACAAAAATTAGCTGAGCCTGGTGGCAAGTACCTATAATCGCAGCTACTCAGGAGGCTGAGGCAGGAGAATCACTTGAACCCAGGAGGCAGAGGTTGCAGTGAGCTGAGAGATCATGCCGCTGCACTCCAGCCTGGGTGACACAGCAAGATTCCATCTCAAAAACGAAAACAAACAAAAAAACCCAAAAGATACAAAATGTATTCTGTTATTGTGTTTCTATAGGGGTACCTATTTCATTTTTAAGCTCTAAGTTTTGTGATTCTTTTCTTGAAAGCACCAAGTTTCCACTGCACTTCTCCCTCCTCAATCAATTTCCTAACACAGAGTTTCTCAACCTTAGGAAACAAACTAGTATCCCATGAAGAAGTTTAATTTTCTGGGAAGGCAGGAAACTCATTTAATCCTTCTAGCAGTTAGAGAAGAACCATTTATTATTAGTGACATGGATATAGATGCTCAGGAAGGGATAGCTATGTTCTATACATTTTTATCCCATTATATTGTTAAGTTGTTTGCATATTTGATCTAGATGGTCAAGAAGCCCTAGAAGTTGACTGTAGCATTGAAAGGAGGTCTATTTTCAGTTTGGCAACTGACCTGGCTAGGTTACAAAATGAATGTAACTTGCCTTGAGGCACAAGGAGTGGTACATTAACAAATCACTGTAGCCACTAAAATGGTCCATTGCATACGGTTTATTTCACTAGATTGCAATTTTATACACAGTATGAAGGGGTTTCCTGATAGCACATATATAGTTTACTTTCTGTACTGCTGAAGAACCAATTGTTTTTTACATTGTATCATAATACCCTATCATTAAAACATTATTCAGTGAATTTTTTCCAACTACATATAAACGGAGATTTACCACACACATTCTTTACCATGGTGCAAGAATGCCTTTATAACATATTTGAATCACAAAATGTGAGTCTAAAATACATCACTGTAATTAAAACACTACTTTAAAGTTACAATGCCCCATGTTATAGTAGCCAGATTTGATTAATCCCTGTATAAATCACAAAGCAATTTGGTGGATAATGTCTTGGCTAACTGGCAGCAGCTTTTAACCGTGATATTAAAAAAAAAATTCTTTAATTAAGAACCAGACTTTCACAATTTAGAAAACTTCTTCCCTTATATGTCAATATTCTCAGTCAAAATGGGATATTTAAAAATTTGTAGTCTCTAAAACAAGGAAAATAAATCCAACCCTCCCTTAGCTGAAAGGATGCGGTTCTAACATTAGGTTTCGTAGAAACCTAAGAATAGCATTGTACGAGGAGTGGAAACAAGTCATAAGAAACATAACATTTCTTTTAAAACCTCTTAAATTCCTCTGCCCCTCCCCATCTCTGTCAAACACAGAGAAAGAATACTGCATTACAAACAAAGATGTGTTTCCGTGAAATGATGTAAACAAGTCAGAGAGAAAGATTTCTTCATTTTCCTATTTTGTGGAGTGGGGCAGTGGGATATCAGTTAAATAAGAAATAGAGCTCCTTAATCAAAGAACCACTTCATTACACACAAAACAGCTCGGGGCAACTGCTGAAAACTTCTCCTGTGTTTCCTTTCCTTTTCCCCAAAGTTTGAGAATGTTTGAAAGTTCAATAAATAGTAGAAAAATAATCCTTTACTTAGAAATTCTGAGATGCATCGTTTAGAGCATAACATGAGTTCCATACAGCAACTGTGGTATCCAGGTACCGCTAAGAAACAAAGCGAAATCTTCAATGCACACATTTGTATCTGCATGTGCCACATTCCAGTCTCTGGGTGAGCAGATTTTTCTCTCTTCCAGTTAAGGAGAGCTGAATGCTTCTGGCTCTTTGGAACATTCCTCTGGCTCAGCTTCACTTGCAGGTTCCGTCTCTGTGTTTGGAGGTTCGCCTTCTGTTACCTTCCATTAGTGTTATGGCAGGTCTGTTCATCAGGCTTATTTCCCCTCCATTTCAGAACCAGCCTCACATCTTCACAAATGTGACTGTGTTGTTGTTTCTCTCGTTTTTAACCATGTCGACAGGCAGGAAATGACTCAAACAACTCTGCACAAAGCACAAACACAAGGGAGGTCTCTTGCTGTGGGTTTTAAGCCGGTTCTTTTTCTTTCCAGAACATTCTGTAGCTCCCAGATCTCATCTTGGCGTGGAGGTGAGGAGATTGTTAGCATTCTGCATCGACAGTGTGTACCGTGACGGCCGCCTGTAAGTGGTGGCTATGATGAAGTGTAGGGTGGTGTGACCGGTAGTGGTGGAACTTGTGACTTAGTAGGGCAGCAGTCTGAGGGGGGGTATCCAGGTCTAAGTCCTCATCATGGTTTCCCACATCGACCCCGGCTGACAAGGGGTCATTGTTGCATGGAGGATTTTCACTGTCCTCCTGTGGGCTCATGGTGCTGTAACCTAGAAAAAGAACAAAACAAACACACAGCTGAGAGCTTCAAGACGCAGACAGAAGATTTCACCTACAATTTCTAGGGCACTGGGAGGTATTCCTGTCTTTGCAATACATAGGTGCAAACACTGGCAGACTGTCAGCAGATGCTAAAGTAATTTATTTTTAAAGAGATTTAGTGATAACTCTTTTTTTCCCTTAAAAAACAATGACACAATAAATACATAACCACTTCAGACAGCTGAGAAAGTACAGAGGAGAAAAAAAAAATAAACAAGAACCCTTATCCCAAATCCCCAAACCAGCAACACAAAAATGAAAATCACACTACATCCCATCATCCATGGCGAGCCACCACTGGGGACCTATCTTTCTACACTTTTACCTATGATAAAGATAATCTTTTTTATTAAAGAAATCCAAAAAATGGACAGCTTCAAGAAGAAGATCTGAACAGGATTCAGATCAACTGGGGCTGGTGCGGAAATCTGGGCTTCCGCCTGAATGCCTGAATGTGACGCCACAATAGAACAAAAAGAACCATCACCATCACCTGCGTGCTTGCTTGGTAGCAGGCACTTGTGTCAGGCAATTCTTGCACACCAATGGTGATATATTTTAATATACATTTTACAATTCAGGGAAATGATGATCAGAGAGGTTAAGGAATTTGCCCAAAGTTCTAGTGCCTAATGAAACACTAACTCCACATATACCCAGGGCAACTAGCTGTGCAATCAGCTATTCTCTGTGTTAGCTGCCCCCCACCCCATTTAAATTTAATTTCTTTTGGTATTCTAAGTAATACATGTTTCAAAGGCAAATGCCCTTGCTGATCAAAGGATTCCATTCTGAGATTCCTGGCATGTTTTTAAATATTGCAAAAATCTCCTTTAAACATTTTAAGAAGCAACAGCTCATTAATATTTCCATTGCATCTACAGTTAGCGTCAATCAGCACTTACCCGTGGGTAATGCTAGTCACATTCATGGCTGCAAAATTGATGTTCTTGCATGCAGCCAAGCAGGAGTCATTGGTGGTTGAAATTGTATGCTCTGTGCAAAAATTCTGTCCTCAATGAAACATTACTCAAATGATAGAATTATTTAGCTGTCAGTCCAACTTAACAAATATTTACTGCGTACCTATAATATACAAGTCACTGTGTTGGGCACTGGAAGACATATAAAGATGAAAGCCTGGTCCCTGCATAGGGAGCTCAAAAGCTAATGTTTGAGAAATGAAACAAATATCAGCATTGGTCATTCACTTATTCATTTATTGGAGACCATTATGGGGCTGGAGCGGGAGAAGAGGAAACACGAATAAGAGACGTCATCTTTCCCTAATGATTTTACAGTTGAGTTTGAGACAGATGCTCACAAAACAAAGCCTCCTTTTACACAGATAATGGTAAGTGCTATAACTGAGGTATAATTAAAATCCAGAAGAGGGAATATCTAATTCTGCCTGGGGGAATAAGGAATCTTCAGAGAATGTATATTTTAGTTGGGCTTAAGTGGATGAGTAGGAGTTTGATAAGTGGATATAAAGAAAGGAACAGGATGACCACAGCCATAGAGGTGTGGATATAAAGGCCATCCCTGTTCCATGTGGCTTGGATGAGTGCTAGCAGGTAGCTGGAGGGTAGGGCAGGTGGGAGGCATGAAGTTAAGTCAAATCATAAAGCCCGTGCCGAAGAGTAGCAAATGGAGAGACCACACAAGATACTGAGCAGGCCAAAAAATGGCATGATCATTTGTGTTTAGAGGATGGTGGTTTGGGAGATGAAGCGAAAGGAAAGACAGGGAGCAGTTAGGAGGTTATTTCAACAGCCCGCGTGAGGGATAGAGAATTAAACTAGGGCAGTGGGATTGGACAGATTTAAAAGCTATCTCAGTGGTGGAGGCAAGAGAAATTGGTAAGTCATCAGATGTGGGGGACTGTGGGGGTGAGGAGTAGTGAAAGGTGACTACAACTTCAAGTTATAAGGATAAGAAAGGACAACTCACAGATTGAGTCTCAGGAAAGAAGACACATTTTGTTTATGCACAGCTTGATTTTGAGACTCTGTTGGTCACATATGTGGAGATGTCTAGCCAGAATCTCAGAAGTGTCATCTGCAAATTCAGGGCAGAAGAGGAAGTGTTCACTGACATATGTGTCCACCATAAGCATGGTCGGGCCTGGTTAGTACTTGGATGGGAGACATGTGTGTCCACCATGACTGAGTGCCTTCTTGGTGCCAGGTGCCAGGCTAGAGGCTGGACAGGAAAGGGCTAAGGTGAGGCCTCAGCTCCTGAGAGGCCTACCTTAGGGCAAGAAGGGGAAACACCCATGTGCTAAAACAGAGGCACACAAAAGGAATTCCAAAGCCAATGGACTTGGCTTAGATCCTTGAGGTGACAATTGGGTAGACCTGATGGGAGAAAAGGGGCTAAGTAGGTAAAGACAGGGGTGTAAAGGTACCTCCAGCAGGGCCCAAGCACATGCAATGGTACAACAGCTGGAAGGGCTCTGGTGGCTTCTGGGAATGGTGAAAGCTTGGTGCTGGGGGTTGGGGCGGTGGGAGATGGCACTGGACAGATAGGCTAAGACCAGGTCAAGAAGGCTGGCTGAAGCTATGAGCTATGATCTAGTAGTGGACAGTGGGAGTGGTCAGGGGGCAATGGGGAGGCTGGACAGAAGGAAGGTGGGATCAGAGGCTCAGAGGACAGGGTGCTGGAGCATGGGCCTCGAGGAGATGGCAAGGACATAAAGTAGGGCAGTCGCAGTGTGTGGACTGTTCAAGTGCACAGTAGGCTGGATTTGGTGACCAAATGGACTTGCCTGGTGAAGATGCCAGGGAGCTGACATCCTTGGAAAAGGTCGAGGTTTCTAGGTTCAGATACTGAGCAAATAGTGATGCCCTTACCCAGGATTAAGAGACCAGGAGCCAGAATAGGTTTCTCAGCTTTAGCAGTGCTAAGTCTGGAGTGTTAGATTGGGTGCTAGGCTCCAGAATCTAAGTCACAAACTGCTGTGCATATTAAAACCACCTTATGCTATACATGTAAAGGATTAAAGTAGAAAACAGGATTTTAGCAAAATCCCAGTGATTATTCAAACACTTCCTGGATAGCTTCCCGTCTCTGCTCATTTACAAGCACCCACACACTAACTGATAATTCATGTTAGCATTCGAGGTGTTAGATTCATGGTGGCCCTTCTGCTTGGCTCACCCTCCCACCTTCCTCATCTTGCTATTGTGCCTCATGCTTCAGTTGGAAAGTCTTCTCTGGGAAGCTTTCCCAACCTATTTCCCCCACCCACCTCCAGTCCTGCCAGCCCACATGGGGGCTGGTGCTCCTTCTGTGATTTTACATGCATTCTGTGCACATCTCTTATATTTTGCCATATTATAATAAAAAATATAAGGCTATCTATTCATTAGCAAATTCTTTCTTAAATTGTAAGTTCCTGTTTATCTTTGTATCCCTAGTATTTAACACAGTGACTCACACAAAGCAGGAACTTAAAAACAACTGCTGCCCCACCCCCCACCAACGCACACTATACTCTCAAAGCAACAGCATCAGTGAATTTTGTAGTTACCTGTGGCTTTGCCTGGTACAACATTCACTAGTCTCATCTAATAATGCAGACATTCTAGGATACACTGGACTCTGTCCATGGGTTATGACAGAGTCCAGTGACACTCTGAACCTGGCTGGTCACAGGTCCTGGGTTCACATCCAGGACGGTAGTGATGGTGCAGCTGTCTCCAAGGCAACTCAGGAGGGCACCCATCTCTTCATCTCAGGATGGCACCCCCATCTCTTCTGCTACTGCTTTCTGATAGGAACCTCAACAGAGGTGCTTTCAGAGTAAAACTCTCATACTAAGGGCATTCCATTTAATTTCCTTACTATGATACCATTGCTCAACTCCTCTGTAACTTCCTCTTATTTCAATCATTAATGGAAATCTGAAGAGGTCAGGGGAGAAGGGAATAGCAAGTTGTGGAAAAGCAGGAGAAAGACAAACACATTTTCGTATTCAACAAATTAATTGTTTACTCAGTGCCAGGCAGTTCTGCTGAGCACTGGGAAGGGTGATGAATTAAGACAGACATAGTCCCTGACTCATGGAGGAAGACGCACTATTTGAAACACAAAGGATATTTGCAAACACTTTCAAGGAAAAATTTATTTACTATCCAAAGGCTTATGTAGCAAAGTGTCTGCAAATACAATCTCAAGTGGGAAATGGGCTTTAGAAAGGAGGTCAGGCATCTATCAAAAAGAGCCGAGATTAGGTTTTTGTTCTTTGACAGTCTGCTTATATATTTATCTGATAGTTCCTAAGAAACTTTGTTTGATTATAAGGGGTGTGACGTCCCTCTGGGGACTCACTCACCATCTCGTGGCCACAGAGAGTAACTGCAGGAGAATGTTTGTGCACCTCTAGAAAATGGTCTTACGTTCATCTACAAAGTTTTTTGACCAGGTTTTTAAGGTTCAGCATTTGCTTTTTAAGTATTTTGGAATTTGCCACAAACTAGGGAGAAATCTTCCTCTACAAAGAAAAAAATGTTGCCTAATATACACTTACATAAAGTTTCTGATGAGATAGTAACCAAAATACAAATTCACAAGGAACAAATAACGTACAGGTGTTTTTTGACTTAAAAATAAGCCAATAGATGATTGGACAGAACATGATATTTTTAAGAGAAATGGGCAAAGCAGATAGATAGTTGAAAACACACACAGGTAGTAATTGTTTCTAACCTCCACTTGTGAGGGTAACACTGCTGAAAATCAATCATTCTAAGTGGTCTTAGACTATGGGCCAAAATGATTCTACTTTCAAAAAACATTCTCAATTGGAGTAGTTTTTCTTAAGATACAACAATTAAAATTAGATTCTTTTGAAAAACGAAATTCTGTTGGCCACATAAAATATTTCTAAATAAAAATACACCCTAAAGTTTCTAAGTTTAGTTTGGTAACATTCAATTTTCATTCAATTCTAGGATCACAACTCTGAACTCATACCATGAGAGCCGAGGCCGTTGTGTAGTCATGTATTTATAGACTTAATTCTTTTGAGTTTCCTTTTGTGTAACACACTCAAGGATTCACATGGAAATACGCTTATCAGGGAGCAGAGAATCATGACGCCACAATCCTACCAGTTCAAGGGCCAGTCAATGCCATGTTCCTCCATGGGGTTTCCCATAATTTACTCGCAGATAAAAGTGAACTCTCACCCCTTTCCTTCTTTGTTTTACTCTTTTAAGGAAGCTGTCATATTCCACCTTTTATCAAGCATATGAATACATGCATTCATTTATAGCTTCCTCCTAGACTGTAAATTTCTTCAGGGCAGGGTGGGCACAGAGGTAGGGAGGTCAACCCTGAGCACCGTGCCTATCATATGTCATTTCATTTCATCCTCATTGCAACTCCACCCAGCATTTTTTTTTTCTTTTTTTTTTGAGACAGCCCTGTCTCAAAGAGCTCAAAGAGTTCTTGGCTAGAGTGCAGTGGTGCTAACATGGCTCACTGCAACCTTGACCTCCTGGGCTCAAGTGATCTTCCCACCTCAGTCTCCCGAGTAGCTGGGACTACAGGCACGTACCACCATGCCTGGCTAATTTTTTTATTTTGTAGAGACAGGGTCTCACCATATTGCCCAGACTGCAGTAAAAATTTTTAATCCTACCTTAAGTGTTAGGAAACTCAGGTCTAAGGTAGCTCACTAAGGTCTCAACAGCTTGTGGAAAAAAAAGGGGGAGAAGTAGGCTTCAAAGTGAACTGGCTTTACCCTATCTCCTAAGCTCTTCCTCTACACCAAGCTGTCTTGAGGAAGTAACAACTCCCATCTGTAGCCCCCTCCACCTCCACAGTGTACAAGGGTACAGTCATGTCTTGTGTAATGACAGAGATACATTATGAGAAATGTGTCCTTAGGTAATTTCATCATTGCACAAATGTCACAGAGTGTACTTTCACAAACCTAGATGATACAGCCTACTACACACCTCGGCTATATGGCATAGCCTATTCTTCTAGGCTACAAACCTGTGCCACATGTTACTGCACTGAATACTGTAGGCAACTAAAACACAATTGTACACAATACTGTAGGTAATACTATAGGTATTTATATATCTAAACATAGAAGAGGTACCAGAAAAATACCGTATAAAAGATTTTTTAAAATGGTACACCTGTGGCCGGGCGCAGTGGCTCACGCCTGTAATCTCAACACATTGCGAGGCTGGGGTGGGCGGATCACCTGAGGTTGGGAGTTCGAGACCAGCCTGACCAACATGGAAAAACCCAGTCTCTTCCAAAAATACAAAATTAGCCGGGCATGGTGGCATGTGCCTGTAATCCCAGTTACTTGGGAGGCTGAAGCAGGAGAATCGCTTGAACCCAGGAGGTGGAGGTTGTGGTGAGCCGAGATCGCACCATTGCACTCCAGCCTGGGCGACAAGAGCAAAACTCTGTCTCAAAACAAAAAACAAAAAACAAAAAACAAAAAAGGTACACCTATATAGAGCACTTACCATAAATGGAGCTTGCAGGATTGGTAGTTGTTCTGTGTGAGCCAGTGAGTGACTGGTGAGTGAATGTGAAGGCCTAGGACATCAGTGTACACTACTGTAGACTTTATAAACACTATATATTTAGGCTACTCTAAATTTATTAAACTTTTTTCTTTCTTCAATAATAAACCTTTGCTTACTGTAACTTTTTTGCTTTATAAACTTTTAAACTTTTAAAACTTTTTGACTATTTTGTAATAACAGGTTAAAATACAGACACATTGTACAGCTGTGCAAAAATATTTCCTTTTGTTATATCCTTATTCTATAAGCTTTTTTCTAGTTTAAAAATTTTTACATTTCACTTTTTAAACTCCTTCATTAAAAAACTAAGACACAGTGTCTCCAAAAAAAAAAAAAAAAAAAAAGAAGAAGAAGAAGAAGAAAAAACAAAGAAAATCCACGAATATGACTAAATGGCGATAAAATACCAAAAAAAATTTTTACCACAAATGAGATCCTTGATATGTAAGGAATGATACAGTTTTGAAGTGCAGTGAGCTGAGATCGCACCTTTGCACTCCAGCCTGGGTGACAAGAGCGAGACTCCGTCTCAAAAAATAAAGCACACACACAAAAAAACTAAGACACAAACACACACATTAGCCCAGGCCTACACAGGGTCAGGATCATCAAGATATCACTAGGCAATAGAAATTTTTCAGCTCCATTATAATCTCATGGGACCCCTGTAGTATATGCGAAGTGTTGTTATGCAGTGCATAACTGTGCATAGCAGATGCCAATACATCCACCAAATAGGAGAGTAGAGCATACACAGATGAGCAAGAAGTGTGCCAACAAAACAATTAGATTTCCTTGTTTAATGGGTGTATGTAGCTTTGCCTCTAGGCATCACAGGGACATTAACTCAATGTCACCATTTTTAGTGACCCACGTACTGGTTCAAAGGATGCCAACACGCATTTAAATTCTATTGATTTTATGATGCATTTGGAATATGGGGAGTGTCAATGCCTTCCCCTTCTTTTGGTGTTGCATTCTGTCTGCATGAGAAACTATTTTTCATACCTTGGGGATAACATGGATCCAATTATGGAGAAAAATGAAAGGAACCAAGCCCTTAGCTGGATGCCTTAGTGTTCAGATACTGACACTGCACCCTTCCTTTTATCTAAGCTGTTGCTTCATATGCCATTTTACTGAGACAATGGGAGAGGCTAATGGAACGTCATAAACATCACTCAGAATCCTAATTTGGTATTGATGCAATTCCTATTGAGGAACAGAGAGAAAAAGGATTCAGTATTTCAGAGAGAGAAAAGGATTCAGTATTTCTGCTGAATAAGAAATTATTTCTGTTGAACTTTAGTAGCCTCAAACCTGTTTTATTATTCAAACGAGAAGGCACAGAACTGCCTGGCAGCAGGAATTTATGCAAGTTCAAAGGTTTGTAGAGAAAAAAGCAAAAAAGTCAAAGAAACTGAGAAATTTAAGTTCTGCTGTGGTTCTCCATAGAAACCTGAAGTTTCTATTTAGTTGGTGGGAATAATGTCATTCAAAGCCCAAATTAACAGTCTCCAATTTATAAAACAGAGCTTTAGCTGCTCTTATTTGCCAAAGGGAGTTTGAAGACCTGGCTGTAGTGTAAATGGTGACGTTGGTTGCTCTGAGGAGTATCTATTTTTGCATTTTTTAGTGTAGATACAGGGAATACAAGGTTTGAGGACTTTTTTTTTCCAGGATAGGTGTGGAAAAAGCTAAGTCAAAAAGGCTTAAATACACTATTTATGTATTTAAAAAAGGACTTGATTCTAGGAGGAAAATACAGATTTCTGGAAAATTAAACAGCTATCTTAAAAAAAAAAAAAGATTTTACAATGGCAGGAAAAACACTACCCACATCTGTTATATTTTTGTGGAACTGTGGCAGTGATGCTTATAGACTGGGATACATCTGCTGTTCTTTGCAACAATGAGCGATATGGACTCTGAGAAGGAGAGAAGCCATGTGGGATGGCCAAGTCTTTGGCAGAGTAGGTGGATTTCATAAGTTACCTAGCACTCGGCGCCTCTTCATGATTTGGCCTTGACCCTTCCTGAGCATCTTACAGGCACTTACACAACTCCATGACTTTGTAAACACTGGTCCTTTGGCCTCTAATATTCTTTGCCCCTACCTTTTCTTTAATCACCCCCTCAAGGCTCAGTGCAAATGTTGCTTCTTGCTTCTTTGGTGAAGCCTTCTCTGAGCTCCCCAGACCATGCCAGAGGTCAGGGCAAGAGAATGCTGGAGGACAGCACAGATTCTTGTCATGCCCCAAGGGGACATGACTGAAAAAGCCCTTAAAGATCCTGCTGTTTGCCAGCCAACACTGGAGAGCGGGACCTAAGAGGATGCTGATTTTATGGAAAAGCAAGTGGGATGGCAAGCAGGCTCCATTTAAACAATATGAATCCTTCTGTATGGAGAAAAACTTGAAAGCAATCTGTGTGCCCAGAGGAGTGCTGAGACATAAGTAAAACTGTCCTCGGGCTCTTATAAACCAGTGGCATGCTGGGGTGTGTCTTTTTGGAAAACCATGTCAAAATAGGGTGTGAGCATCATCCCACAGGAGTACATGAGGTTCCTTGGGTCTTCAAATGCAGGAAGCTAGACCTTACCATGATCACTTTCTGTTCCTGATCGACCCCAGTAGCGGCGCCTTCTTTCTGGACTGTGTGCATGTCGTTCGATGACCGCAGCTATAAACCGAGTGTTGCTGACTGTAGGAAGCCAAGGACAGTTAATGTCACTCTTATGCCAGTATCTCCATTGTTTCAAACACATTTGCTCTGAGAGGGCTCATTTACATGCTGGGAGAATTCTCTTTGGAAAGCCAGAATAAATCATTTTTTAAACAATTCTGGGGATTGGGGTGCTGATTTTAGAACTGGTGCAGTGAGAGGTATTTAATTATATATCTCCAACGTGCATCAGGAAGCTATGGTCTAGTAGCTGAAGGCCAGGGTGTCTTAACACTAATGGAAATCTCTTTTGATAAAGAAAATGCTCTTTTTTCCTCCCTGAGTTGTACATACTAGTTAAGGGATTTTTTAAAAAATGCATACCTGAAACTTCCTTTTCTAAAATACTATGGTTGGAAAATAATGAGCAAGAGAAACAAAGGAAAGGGTGAGCTGTTTTAGGCCAACACACTTAATGCAAAAAAAAAAAAAAAAAAAAAAACACAATAAAATCTTTTGAGATTCTCTAAAACAAAGACCTACACGTACTCCTAACAAAAAAGGATGGAAAAAAACAACTAAAAAAACCCAGCCACCGTGTCAAAGCTTCTTAAATTTTAATACAAGCCAAAAGGATATAAGAAAGAATATTTATTCTGGATTAGCCTCCTGCTGACACATTCTGCAGCAAGGCAGCTGAATACTCACTGATGCCTCTGTCTTCGTGGCTGTCGTCGTCCCTTTCATCTCTGTCATTCTCCAGGTTGGACATACGCACTGACATTTCTACCCATCATTAAAAAGAGAGAAACATGACTATTTAATCAAACAAAATCACCCGCTTTAATACCCTGCTGAGCACTTGTTTGATGGCTGGGTGACAGCATTCCATCAAGAATGAATCCCATCTTAGAAGGGAATGAACTGATGCCCCATGTTTTTTTAAAGGAGGAGGGAGCAGGAATCCAAACAAGAAGAACAAGTAATCAAGAGACATCTGAAATTCATTTCTGAGAAAGGAGGAGAAAAGAAGTTGATTGAGGCCAACAAATCTTTAATCCTCTACTAAAGTACTGAAACAGAAGGAAAGGGATTGAAAAATGACTGACTGTGTTGGTGAAATGGTGCAACAAAAGCCTCCAAAAGGCCAGGCATAAGCTAACACTGGATGACGGTCATCCTCAGTCTAGCTGAATCTCACCAAGGGAAGCACATGGTGATTATCCCTGTTACTAAATCAGGTAACATTACTCCATGATTCCCCTTCAGGCTTGTGGCCATAGTGAAATGCTTTAACATCAACCTGTCATTACAGCTGTTAGAGTGAGCTAAGTGGCCAGGAAGATGAGTTAACTTCACCTCCAAAAAGGTCAGGTCAACACATCCCCGGGGACTGGGGTTTTAGGAAGGATGGAGATGGCCATTAAACAGTTTTGTTCCCTGCAAACAGAGTACAGATACTGCACTTAAACAGAGTATAGATACTGCACGTGGTATTGAGGCCATGATTATAGGTGAATCATTTTGTACTTGGCTTCGATGACTTTTTTTTTTTTCAGATGGAGTCTCACTCTTTCGCCCAGAATGGAATGCAATGGCGCGATCTTGGCTCACTGTAGCTTCCATCTCCTGGGTTCAAGCGATTCTCCTGCCTCAGCCTCCCAAGTAGCTCAGACCACGGGTAGGTGCCACCGCACCGGCTAGTTTTTGTATTTTTAGTAGAGGCGGGGTTTCACCATGTTGGCCAGGCTGGTCTTGAACTCCTGACCTCAAATGATCCACCCACCTCGGCCTCCCAAAGTGCTGGGATTACAGGCATGAGCCACCGCGATTGGCCGACTTATCCTGTTTTAAGAGATGTGATTATTCAAATGTGTGTTTATTCACACTACATAATGGCAGCTGCAATCGAACAGATTATATTCTTGCCATTAGTGATCTGGGGTATCTTTGATTTGCCTGTCTTTTTGGAATTGCAAGGGCAGCACATCTAACAAACAAAATTTCCCACTCAGCATCCCAGCTCCCCTGACTGGCTTATTGCAGAGGCAGGCCACTGGGGGCTAATGCTGGTAAGGAGAGGATCCAGGGATTTTTCCGGGGATCAAAATAGAGCTTGTAGGGTTTAGGCACTGAAGAAGAAAGCAGGCTTTGGGAACTTCCAAAATGACTCCACAGAAGCTGAAAGTATAGCACTGTTCTGACAGTTCCTTAGAGGCTTACACAACCCGCCACTGTCCTTCTAGCCTGGCTGCTGCCTCCCCTGTGGGGTTCATTTTGAGCTCACCTTGGGCAGCAAGAGGAGACATATGCTGATGGCTCCGGCGATGAATCTGGTGGCGGTAGGCATACACCGCCAGGACCAAGACCATGATGCATCCCATGATCCCTCCAGCCACAGGACCCACAGGGGCGCTTTTAATCATGTTTAATGTGATCACCTCATCACCTTCAGTGAAAGAGCAAGAAGATGTTTCTTGTTAAGATTTCCCAAGTGGGGAAGAAAGTAAGGATGGTGAGATGGGAGGGAATACAGTGGGAAGGGGGTTGGCGGAAGATAAACAGATGCTTAGTTAGGCTTTGAGTTCCTCAAACATGACGCATGGGAACGTGGGAGCGGAGGCTACATTTAATTCCTGGTTCTCCAGTGTTGGTTGCTAGGCAGAGCAGGAGCACAAATGGCAAGGACTGCTGGGAAGAGTGAGCAGACCAGAAGAATTGCTTACACAGGCAGCATCCAACACCAACAGAGTCCTAGCTCCCTGGGGTATGAGTTACTCTTGGAAGAGAGGAAAAGTCACCTAGTACAGAGTAACCACTGAAATAAAAGGCACCAGGTCCAATAAATATGCGCTAACCGGATCAAGTTTCGAAGCTTATGGGTTTCCTTTAAAAGGCCATTTGTGCTTTCCAGATAGGAAACTGCAGGTGAGCATAGAAAGTGATTTCTCAGAGCCAAGTCACTTTCACATATGTACCCTCACCTAGTTCAGCAGTAACATACAAGCTCAAAATCCTTCCCCACATATGAGCTTTTCTTCTAGACAGGCTGATGTAAGTGATGTTAAAAATCAAGGTATTAACTAAGGATTTAAATATTTGACTCTACTGCCATCTAAGAATTAGGCCTTGGTGCTAATTCTGGAAAGACTGAAAAAAAAAATCTCAGGTAAGCAATCTAATCTTGGCAGTATTTTTGAGGTCTTGGAGACTGATCCCAGGGGCTGTCCACCCTGTGGTGTCCTTGTGCTTCATCCTAAGCTGTCCCAGATGCACTGGGTAGCTCTGGCTTCTGTTGACTCCAAGGCCCCAAATACTGATTTGTAGCTATAAGACTTCTACCTTGCAAAAGTTGTGAGTGAAGGTTTTAGCAGGCACTAGACATACAGTGGTCACTCCGTACACGGCCCTGTGCTTCTGACAGCTGGCGTGCATATCCAAACAGACTCCAGAGTTTGGCCATGCAGAAACCAGTCCTTATATTTATCAGAACAAGCTTTATGGGAATGAATTCCAGGCTTGTAAAATTTGGCAGCACAGATGGCCACTCACTCTCTCTGCATAGAATATTTAGCCAGTTCTGAAGGTAATTATCTGCCTTGGTTTTGTAACTAAAGACTACCAGCAAAGGAATCAGGGAAGTTGGGAAGAGGATTATTTTAAGATGTCCTAGCATATAGGCAGGAAATTGTATATTCAAGAATCAAATTGTTGGGGCATCTAACAAACATACCTATTGCTCCCATGTCATCAACGTAGGGACTTTTGGCTCCCACAATCCCCCCGAAGCATTCTTTCTGGGGGGCACAGTAGGGTTTGTCCAGGTGAGTCTTTCCATCACTGTCCACCATGCACCATTCACAATCCAGCACCCCAAAACAGTCCCTGCCAGAAAAACAATACTTAGTCTTCTATAAAGCAGTGTGG
Organism: Homo sapiens; assembly: GCF_000001405.40. Classification (NCBI taxonomy): domain Eukaryota; kingdom Metazoa; phylum Chordata; class Mammalia; order Primates; family Hominidae; genus Homo; species Homo sapiens. The sequence continues at coordinate 64,678,116 of NC_000001.11, read as the reverse complement.
GGCAGGGGACAGCACTTAAGTGTGGGCATCAGACAGTTCTCAGGATCTCCATTACTTACTAGTGCTGTGAATTTCTTGAGCTTTAGTTTCCTTTCCTTATAAAATGAGAATAGCAATAGACTGCCAGGGAAATAACTGTTTTATGCCTCTTAACAACTTGGAAAGGAGAGAAATAAAACTGCTCTCTGTGAATTAAATAATGACATCCACACATCATGGGGCTATTCAAAATCATCTTACAAGACCAAACAGAAATGACCCCAATGTTTGTTAGACTCTGGCTTAACATCCCCCAAGTGTGGGGTCATTTAAAAAAATAAAAAAAAAAGTCCAATAAGTTTGGAAATACTTGGCCAGTCACCACAGGTTTCCTCACTGCCAATTTCTCAGAGCCTTTAGTGTATTACATGCATTGTGACTGTCTCAAGAGAATATATGCAGTGTCAGCATTTCCCAAACTTAATTGACTTGGGGCTACTGTATAACATCCCAAATTAATCAGTTTGATGCCACAATTCCTTTGCTAAAATACACACGCAAAGCAGAGTAAGCTATCCCTCTAAACACTGTTTAATAAAATGGCAAGCTACAGCTACAATAAGCTAAAAACCAACTCCCCTTTACTTAGTCTACCACAGCCACTATTTCCATAATGTCTAGTCCCAAACTCCTAATCCCACCTGAGGAGTGGGGAGAGAGCGGGGAACATGTAGTTTTTAGTTCTCAAAACTATCATGAAGCAGATGTGTTTCCTAAGAAAGGAAAATAAATGAGCTTCAAAATATCACACCTAGAGCCTTGACCACTGGGTTCTGCTTCTGGACCTCAGGGGTTCCTCCTCCCTTGCCCTGCTGCTTCATGCCATGGCCCCTCACAAGTCTTTTATTTCAAGAAAAACTCCCATTCACAGATGAGGCTACTAACATATGGTACACACGCTAAATACGGGTAATAAGTGGGAACGAGACAACATTTAATCTGGTGGGTAAAGGCTTATGGAAATCAGTTTCAGATCTGAAAAACTGACATACCTTTTTAAAACACGAAGAGTAGGAATAATAAATATTAGCTGGAAAACCTCAATTCTTTACTAGATTCTGCTTACCCACTTTCCAGCCTCTGACTGCACCTGCTGTTGACACACTGGTGAAGAGCATCTTGCAGGCCAGGGTCAATAGCTGTGTATGTCACCGGCTCCTGGTGGACCTCGCAGCTGGGGTTTCTGTGCAGGAGGTAAGTCTGGAGGTTAAGACGACCACCGCCCACATTCCAAACTCATGCTCCTGGTCCTTAACAGCAGTCAGACAGATTTGGGTTTGAATCCTGGCTTTGCCACTTAGTGTGTAACCTTGTATCAATCACTTAACAACTCTGAGCTTCAATTTACTTATCTTTATATACAGTAGAAGTAATACAAATAACCTAGGCAACATGATGAAACCTCATCTCTACGAAAAGTACTACTACAGCAACAAAATTTAGACAGGCTTGGGAATCACATGCCTGCAGTCCCAGCTACGAGGGAGGTAGAAAGGTGGGAGGATTGCTTGAGCTTTGGAGGTAGAGGTTGCAGTGAGCCATGATCGCGCCACTGCACTCCATCCTGAGCAACAGAGTGAGACCATGTCTCAACAAACAATTATACACACACAATACAAACACACATGACACTCTTAATTTCTAGAGAAGGGGTTTATTACAATTTATTTTCCTGGTGTTAAAATCTGTCACTGATATAAATAATGCTGTAGAACACATCATACGTGTGTAAAAAACACTTGCATATTTATCACAGGGTTAATTAGAACACTAAGTGACTTAATGTGCATAACGTACTCAACACATGGTAGACACTTAGTAAATGCTTGAAACATTCTCACATTTTTTTGTATGTAGCACATACACTCTTAATACTTTTACAGCAGTTAAATTTAAACCTTGAAACAGGCATCATTTTATGGCACTACGGAGCTTGAATTCTGGCTCACTGAACAGTTAGTTCTATCATTAGAATGAATCATCTTTATACGCCCTAACTCAAAACAAATCTATAAGAGACTCACAGTATTACATATGTATTATTATTATTATTATTATTATTATTATTATTATTATTATTATTAATTATTTTACCGGTTCTCTGCATTGGTGAGGTTGCCAGTGCACTCATTGACCTCTAGAGGGCACTCACAAGGACATTCACATTCATTTTGTTCCATTCTGAAAAGCAAAAAGAAAGTTACTATGCAGAAGGTCAATGGCAAACTGTAAGTTGTACATGTGCTGGGGAAGCAAAATAATGAAGCTCTGAGCTAGTTTAAAAGAATAGTAAAAAAGAAGTTACAGCCAAAGGTTAAATACATAAATGGCCTTAATCCATTGTTCTTTGGACAAGGATGCTGCAAACGGCACAGCTCTAAGTGGCTTTGTAACTGTGACTTTTCTTCAGGACACACACCAGCACTTTCTGTTTATTTTGCACTTCAAAATGCCTGACATCAGTTGAAATATTAAACAGTGTGGTGAACACAGAATATGACCCATTGCATTTTTACCGGTGACAGTTGAGACAGAGTCGGTCCACCATGCTGCAGGCACAGAAGGCAAGAGAGTCGCAGGTTTCGTTGACAATGCCAACAAACGCGTTGGTTCCTGGGATCCTTGCTAATCTGTATTTGGAACAGTGGCTGCCATGCACAAGGTTCGTCAAATCCCCCTACAGAACAATCAAGGTATCAGAAATGACAGACAGCAATGCAAAGACTCAGCCCTACCTTGGTGAAAACAACTCTTCAACTACCTACGAAAAATAGCTTAAAATAAAATGTTTCTGATTACAAAAGTCACTGTTAAAAAATATATAGTCACTGTTAAAAATTTAGAAAATAAAAATTATTCATAATCAGAGATATCTCCCATTGAACAGCTGTGTATATATTATGAATTCTTTTATCTGTGCTTATACAAATGTAACTTTTATAACTGTTATTAAAATCTGTTTTTTCTTAACACATAACAATATACCAGGAAAATGAATACTTCAAGAAGCAATAAAAGACAATTTTCAGGGAAGGAATAGTTTAAAATTTATTCACATGCAAACCTAGTTAACCACAAATTGTGCATTCCCCTTTCTTTGGGTGATGAACCTTTTTCCTTTTATAATAATAAAATTATTTAAAAATCAAACCTAACAGGCAAATTTCTGCTTCTAGAATATTTAAATAATCCAACTAAAACAAGTATCCCTTTTCTTCATTCCATAACAAGAAAATGTGATAGCAAGTTTCTTGAATTGCCAATTTTGTTTATCATATTAGAAAATCAAAGATTCCAAAGTGGTATTGTAGAGTTGCATGTAATCATTTTTCTGCATGTGTGTCAGATACACTAGGCAAATTATTTCACCTCAAGCTTGTTTCATGCCATTCACCCTGTATATATGCTTGGTGAGGATTAGCTTAGTTCTGAGAATCATAGCACTCAATGGGTTTTTAGAGGTCTACATGAATTTCTAACTGTCTGGAAGACACCCACCTCTAGAACATAAGCAGTAACATAGGCTTGGAGTCCTGACAGCCCCAATACCCAGGAATGCTCTAATTCCATTTGGGGATAACTTGGGCCAATAAATTATTCGAATTTGCCTTTTGAGAAGTATCTACCTGAGTATCCTGGCATTGTGTGCTGAAGACTCCAGAAATCATTGCATAAATAATAGAAGATACACAGAATAAGTCAGACTTTCCTATGACAACCTTACTTGGCAGTCTCATTTGTCAATGTCTCCTTTAAAAACAGTGCTTCTCAAAATGGTATGGGGTCTGAACAGGGTAATAATGACTTCCCTTGCTTTGAACACACCATTCTATTAACATATTCATGTTTTAAACTACTCTTTTCCACCAGATAATTGCTTTCTGCAATAGAGTTTTTGAGACTCAGTTTAGGATTTTTAATTTAACCCAGTACATTTTAAAAATTAATTACATACTTAATGACTGACATAAATGCCTATTCTAAATAAAAAACCTACTTCCTGTAAATAGCTTTTTGAATGTTCTTTCATTCCCCATTTTAGCTTTCTCCCAACTAGGATTATTTATAAATTAATGAGAATGTCCTTAAGATCTTTAACCATAACCAGGTAAATTTGCAGCAACTCAAACTATACAGAGTACTCTAAGCTAAAAAAAGACATTATTTTCAGATGATTTACATAAGAGTTCCCATCTCATAGAGCAAATGATCAAGAACTGACCTAACTTGGCCTTGGGAATTTAAGGAGCCCGAGTGATCTCTAGAAGACAGGAAGAGAGGAACACATGGTGCCACATATATTTATACAAGACTGTGGGAACCAACTTCAGCAGATATTTCAAAGGACTTACATTGGGAAAGTCTTTAAACAAATAAAACCAAAACAAAATACCAACTGAGAGACCTTAAAACTTTTACTTTTCTACTCTGAGCTTTATATCTCCCAATTGTCAAACTGGGAACTGGAACTAAGCTCCTGTCTCCTCCTATCATTCTATAGTTCTAAGGCGATGAAACAGGTAGGAATAATATTCAGACACTAGCCATGATTCCAATTCATGTTCCATAATGGGATGGAAAAATGAGAGTGTTAAGGAATCAGATCAACTTACCGCAAGGCTGGTGTTGAATTTATAAAACCTCTGGACCGTTCTGTCACTGAAGCTGTTGCACAGGTTTTTCTTTACAAAGTTGGGGTGGTTGAGGATATCATTTGCTACCAGGGGCTCCTACCAAGGCCAAAGAGAACAGAAGACATATGCCATGTAGTGAGCTGCAGGAGGTTGGAGAACTGAGCAGCTCAGCTTTGTGACAAATACCTTGTGGGTGATGTGCTGCTGCTCCACAGGTGCATGTCCTTTGGGGTCGATGAGAGTCGGGTGCGCCACCAGATAACCCCTGTCCTCCATTATGAAGCACCTGTACCAAAACAAGTTATGCCCCTCATTCATATCAGCTGTTTTTTTTTTTTTCAAACGTATTCAGAGAGCATTTATCTTGCTAGCCCTGAAACAAACTGCATTTATCCCAGGTTCTCAATAAATACTCATTGGAAAAATGAAGGGAAGCTGGCAGGCAGGTAGACAGGTACATGATTTTTGAGGTTGCGGGTCACCTAGAGTAGAGGTTAAGGTAAGAGTTACACCTGACTCTGTGGTCACCTACATAGTGTATACAGAATGCGCTCACCCAGTCCGAGTAAGATGGACTCAGACCTTTTGCAAAGATGTATGAATGGGAAGTTTGTTCTTTTTTTCCAGGCAAGCAGATCCTAAAGGAAGTAGACTTGAGTATTTCTACTGACAGATTTGAAGTAAAGCATATAATTTCTTCTTTCAATGATAAATATACACAAAATAACAACACGCAGGGGATGTATAAAAATATACAGTAGTCCTTCTCCCTTATCTGTGGAAGATATGTTCCAAGACCCCCAATGGATGCCTGAAAGTGATGATAGTACTGAACCTTACATATACAGGTTTTTCCCTATATATATCTACCTGTGATAGTTTAATTTATAAATTAGGCCCAGTAAGAGATTAACAACATTAACTAATAATAAAATAGAACAATTATAACAGTAATAAAAGTTATGTGAATGTGGTCTTTCTGTCTCTATAAAAATATCTTATTGTATTATGCTATGGGTAACTGAACCCTCACAAAGCGAGACCAAAGATAAGAGGGGGACTACTATATTTGATCTATATTTGATAGAAACAATAAATGAAGCTAGAACTGCTTTAATCAAGACTATATTTTGCTTTATTTTACTTTACATTAGTGATATCAGTTTGCCAGGAATTCTGCATTTCCCCATAAGGGCCAATGACACGAAGCATGAACCATGAGGTGGAACTAAGAAAGCTATTTTTAAAAGCAGCCTGCATTAAATCAAGGGTATGCCCTTGCTTTGATCAGACAAGTTCTTTTGAAATTCAGGAGGCAGAGACTTTTGGTTCCATGGTCTCTTTCTGGGGAAATGTAAAAGGAACAGTCTAAGCAGCTGAAAATGTCACAAAGACTTTGGTTTAATGACAAAGTTAACATCAAAAGTCCTACCCAAGAGTCCTCTCTGGTCTTTCTAGTACCAAAGATATGGGAAGCCTCTAATTACTGACTTCCAGGGAAACAAGAGCTTTTGGTGCATTCCATGCTACAGTTATTTTTCTTGTTGTGTGCTGAGTCTGTCTAAATCATAAACAGTATGCATCTCAGAAAAACGAAAGAAGAGAAAAAGAACAAAAACCTTCTTAATAGGACACCCAGGCCATAAATTAGATTTCTATTCCTGACCATAACTATGCGGTTCCCATTCAACTAGAGATACCTGACATCTATTTTTAAACTGCAGCTAGAAAGGAAATAGCATCCCCAAAGCACTTACCTTATTTTGTTGCCACCATCTTGGTTACAGACAGGTAATAGGTCCATCAGAACTTTGTAGAAGTATCTGAGTGTGAAGTCAATGCCCATCACAGCCACAGTGTGCCCAGAAGACAGCTGTGTACTTTAAGTGAAAAAGATCAATGAGAACAATAGGCATGGCTTATTTAAGGATAAAAGCTATGTTCAGTCACAGGGACATTGTTTGGTATTAGAAATACCTTCCCACTGTTCCTCCCTACTTTTCCCACCTACAAAAATGATCAACTAAGTGACTGATTTAACACAACATGGAAATTTTATGAGAGAAAAAAATTTAAGACTTAATGTAGGACTGTATAAATAAGAGTGGCCCAAAACCTGAGCAGCTGTGAAATATGACGTTCAGAGAGTGGCTCGACTGACAAAAATATGGGCACAGAGGCATCAGGTGGGAGGTTGGATGCATGACTACTACAGTTACTTCCAACAAACCTCTAGATAAAAAAAAAATCCCCCTTAGCAACACCCTTATTATTTACTTCATTTTTTAGATAAGAAAACTGAGATCTCACAAAGGTTAACTGAGTGGCTAAGGTCATACAAAACTTAGGAGGAACAATGTCTAGTCCAGTTTTTTTCCCACAACATTAAGGTTGACTCTACTCAGAGCACAGCTCATATTCTAGAACAAGACTCTCCTGGTCCATAGGCCAGTGCTTTCTCCATTCCACCCTGCTACTCTCAACAGCCAAGGAAGAGAAAATTGGGCAGTAAAACACGGTGCTAACTTGTTTGGCTCTGGAATCAGCAGATCTGAAGTCAAATCTTGGCCCTGTTGCTTTCTATATATGTGGCTTATGGAATGCTGTTTCACCTTTCTAAGTTTCAGTTTTCTCACCTGAAAATGGATTCAATAATAGTACCTACTTTATAAGGCTGTTATTGGGATTAAATGAGATGGTGTATTTACAGTGAACACCTAAAAAAATAGAAGCTAAGCTAAAGAAAACTAAACAGTGAAGTTGAGCCCTCAGGCATGAGTTGACAATAAACTTATTACTCTTTCAGAGAAAACGCACTTCAAGAAATTGCTAGGTGTGTCAGAAGTGTGGACTTCTCACTTGGAACCTTGGCTGTTTTTAATCTATGCTCATGGGTAACTGGGAGGGCATGTGCTACTTGACCAACGAACTCCCCATACTCTTGTGGCTGAGAATTTGCAGTTTACCCAACATAGGACTTTCTAAGAGCCTATTATTTAGCATCACCCACCTGCCTAATTTCTTTAATCACAAAAACCTTAATTATTTCTCATAGCAATCTTAAAAGGCATTATAATTTCCAGAAAACTAAAGCTTGGGGAAATTAGTTATTTGGCCAAGGTCACATAGTGAATAACTAGTAGAAGCAGAAATGTATTTATCATTTTTGTAAGAGATGGGGTCTTGCTATGTTGCCCAGGCTAGATTCAAGCTCCTGGGGGCTCAAGTGATCCTCCTGCCCCAGTCTCAAGTAGCTGGGACTACAGACACACAACAATGGGCTGGTGGAAGCAGGGCTTTAAACTTAGTGTCTTCAACTCCAAAGCATATACCATGAAGTTGTACTGCCTTCTTAGATCTGCAGAGCATTCAAGCGTTTCCAAGCAACTTTACACTATTTAACTATCTGTGAAAAAGCCATAAAGGAATCATAGTTCCCATTTTATAAATAGAAGATTAGGCTGAGAAGGGCAAAAACACATAAGATAGATTAGACCAGTACCCACACCTGGCTCTTTCTACAACCCTACAGCTACCTCGGTGAAAAATAGCACTTAGGTGTTTTGGTATAAGGTAATTTTATTTCTAAACTTCTCTTGTATAACTGCCATCTGCTTCAAAATGATAAACATGCTAAAGCAACAGCACGTATATTGCCTACATAAATCTAGGATTCATATTTTCACCTGCATTTCAGATGGGTACACTGTTACCATAGCAACTCATAAAGAATGATACTGGAAAAAAAAAAATCACACCAAACCTATATTTCTAAGTACAACAGACCAGGCTGTTTGCAATACTTCCGTGAGATTTTCACAGCCAAAGACACATCTAACCAGTCCTTTACTCAATGATTGTACTTCATCTCTAGCAGCACCACCCTTCTCCAAAGAATGCAAACCCAGATTCTCAGGGCACTAAAAATGTGTATGAAAGAATCACAAGAAAGCTTACTATGAGTAACTGATAAGTGAGTGTTGAATTAGAAAATGCCTCTAATTCTCAGCCAAACCACTGAAAACTGAGTTCATGGGACTGCTTCATGACAAGCTGAAGATTAGCTTAAGCTTTCTCTTCTGACCTGCTAAAATGTCAGAACTTTAAAACAAAAATAGCATGATAAAAATAACTGCCATTTATTTGGGACTCGACCTCTTAAGTACAGTACTAAGCACTTGACATGCATGCATCATCTCTAATTCTCATCCTATCAGTTCAATGCAGGTATTACAGCCTCTGTTTTACATATGAAGTCAGCGAGGTCACAAAACATTATTATAAAAGTGCTTAACATTTATTGAGCCCTTACCAGATACCAGGCACTGTTCTAGGAGACTGACACATATTATTTAATTTAATCTTTAAAAATAATCATTTGAGATAGGCTCTAATATCTCACTTTCCTAAGTGGGGAAACAAAGGTGAAAAGGAGTTTGTTTATAGTCATGCAAACAGTAAATGGCAAATCTACTTTTTGGGAGTAGAACCATGTGTTAGGAGGGATGAAGTTCTCAAGCTGGCACCCAAGGCCAAAATCATCAGTAATCATTTGAAAAAAATACCTTTGCAAAGCCTATCTATCCGTGCATCCATCAAAGTCATAGTTACTCTGAGCACCATAAGAGGTAGTTGACTTGCATTTTAAACTCTGTTGATTGAAAAATACACAGCTCTAAATAGTAAAATCACACTCTGCTAAGCAAAATATTCAAACGACCAGGTGCGTGGGATTTCATATTGCACAGGGCAAGAGCACTTATTCTGGGGAATATACACTCACTGAGTGACTCAGGAGGCAGAACCCAGGACTTCAACTGCCATTTCTTGCTCTTATTATATTCTAGTTAAACTTGTGTAGGTTCAACCCATGATGTAAAAGTAACCAAATGAGGGATTTGAATCTGGAGTTTTCTCTTTTTTTTTGAGACAGAGCCTCACTCTGTTGCCCAGGCTGGAGTGCAGTGGCACATTCTTGGCTCACTGCAACCTCCGCCTCCCGGGTTCAAGTGAGTCTTGTGCCTCAGCCTCCAGAGTAGTTGGGATTATAGGCATGTGCCACTGCATTTGGCTGAACCTGGGTTTTTCTTTTTTTCTTTTTCTTTTTTTTTTTTTTTGAGATGCAGTCTTGCTCTGTCGCCCAGGCTGGAGTGCAGTGGTACGATCTCGGCTCACTGCAACCTTCGCCTCCCGGGTTCAAGCGATTCTCTTGCCTCAGCCTCCTGAGTAGCTGGGATTACAGGCATGCGCCTCCATGCCCAGCTAATTTTTGTATTTTTAGTACAGACGGGGTTTCACCATGTTGGTCAGTCTGGTCTTGAACTTCTGACCTCATGATCCGCCTGCCTTGGCCTCCCAATGTGCTGGGATTACAGGCATGAGCCACTGTGCCCGGCCTGAACCTGGGTTTTTGTAACTTGAAAGTCCATCATATTTCCATTGTGATTCACTTGGACCAACACGATAAATATTTGTAAACAAACCAAATCAAAATTCTTCCACCCATTTGAATCCCAACAAAAACATGTAAACGTACATACACAAGCATAAACATCTGCCCCTACCCTTGCCCTCTTGAACAAAAAGAATATGTCTAGACAGAAAAGCAAATGGCTCTTGATGATAAGCTGCCAGGTGAGAGGAGTCAGTTGGGTCACCTAATGACTAAGGCACACCTGGGTTTTGATTCCCTGCACTATAACAACATCTTTAACAGCCCAGTTCTGGCCCATTTCATTGTAATCAAAGACCAAGGTGACTGCTTCCCCTCAAAAGAAACAGTCTTTGTTTACTTTTTCTCAACCCATTAGAATATATGGGAGGCATGACAAGTCACTCTATTTAGACATCAGTAGGAGTGTGCTTCACACATGGTCTGTTAATGAGAACACTGAGGGATGTGTTCTAAGTAAGTGTTTACTTGTTTGCATATGAAATCTTATATGATGGGAGAAGCTGACAGATTCAGACAGATACCATACCCTACAAAGGAGTCAACATTTGGCTGGCTGCAGGGCCCCGTTTTCCACGAGACATAGGCCATGATATTGAAATTCCACACCTATGGCCTCCCAATTCTTGCTCCCAATGAACTTCCGTTAAGAGGAATTTTACTGAATGTCAATCATTTGACACACAATGAGCACCAGTGAAAAGCATAAACTTAAGCAAGAAAATCTGCCTCCTATAAATGTTAAGGCATCATTACAGGTACCAGTCAAAATATGATCTTTCTTGGTTGCTAGGAAAAAATAGCTATTTGTATAATGAAGGGATTAAAACAATGTGTGTGACTTGCCTCCCCACCAAACATTTCCCTGACATCTGTAGCTTAAATATTGAAACCTTAAAAGCAGGAAGCATAAAGCACTCTAAATATATTTCCAGTGATATTGATATAGCATTCTGGGAAAATCAATTTTCAAAAAGCCTTTTAATTTTTCAAGAGATAGTTTCAAGGACAATTTTTTTTTAAAGAAGAAAACCAAACAAACAACTTATTTAATTCTAAAGAGTTAGACTCAAATACAAGAGGCAGTAAGTTTGATATCTTGGTACTTTTTCTTTCTCGTTTTTTTTTTTTTTTTTTTTTTTTGAGACAGGATCTCACGCTGTCACCCAGGCTAGAGTGCAGCCTCAAACTCCCAGGGTGCTAGCCTCCTGCCTCAGCCTCCTGAGTTACTAGGAATACAAGTGTGCCCCATCATGCCTGATTAATTATTTTATTTTTGTAGAGCCAGGGTCTCGCTATGTTGCTCAGGCTGGTCCGGAACTCCTGGTCTCAAGTGATCCGCCCATCTCAGCCTCTCAAGGTGCTGGGATTACAAGTGTGAGCCAATGAACCCACCCCGTTTTTCTTCATTAACAATCCTCCTTTTCTTGGGAAACACTCTCTGGCAATCATAATTGTCAGGCTCCTATTGATATTTCTTTCATCAGTTTAAAGTGGATATTTCTTCAAACTGCTCTTTAGACTCCAACATCTTTTCTTTTTCATAAACATCATCATGGCTGCCAAGAACAGGGCTAACAGCCTTTCACTGACTCAGTTTACATGACAACCATGTGAGGTAGGTATCATTCCCATTTTATAGACGGCAGGAGAAAGCTACGGAATTGAAGGTGACAGAAAGAGAAGATGTTCAAATCCCAGCTGGCCTCACTTTAAAGGTCATGCTTCTGCCTCTAAGCCTTGGTGCGCGTACTCTTCTATTCAGATTTCCAAAATATCCTTGATATATTTAAGAAATGACTATAAAGTTAGTTAAAATATTACCTGGATGAATGAATTGTGTGACTGATTGTCACAACATAACCAGCTCCTCCAACATCTAAGTAAGGACCAGTCAAAGAAATCAACCCTGGATTAGCTACTGCATGGAGATACCTAATGGAGACCAAAGAAAGTCATGTTATTTTATTTTTTATTTATTTTTTTTGAGATGGAGTCTTGCTCTGTCGCCCAGGCTGGAGTGCAGTGGTGCGATCTCAGCTCACTGCAAGCTCCGCCTCCTGGGTTCACGCCATTCTCCTGCCTCAGCCTCTCCAAGTAGCTGGGACTACAGGCACCCGCCATCATGCCTAGCTAATTTTTTGTATTTTTAGTAGAGACGGGGTTTCACCGTGGTCTCGATCTCCTGACCTCGTGATCCGCCCACCTCAGCCTCCCAAAGTGCTGAGATTACAAGTGTGAGTCACCGCACCCGGCCAAGTCATGTTATTTTTAAGTATGCACCTCTACTCTGTAAATTTCAAAGAAAAGTGAGCTTATAAGTCTAAAAATATTTAGGATGAATTTTGTTTGTGTTACACTGAAATGCAAAAGGATTCTCATCTTTTGTATCTGACTGTAGCATCAACACAAGTAGTAAAGAGAATCTGAAATTCCTTCTTACTTTAAAAAGAGACATTGAACTCAGTATATATCTGGGCATTTACTAAGATATGTAGTATAGTTGTTTTTTTTGTTTTTTTGTTTTGTTTTTTGACAGGGTCTCATTCTATCGCCCAGGCTGGAGTGCAGTGGTGTGATCTTGGCTCACTGAAGCCTCAAACTCCTAGGCGTAAGCAATTCTCCCACCTCAGCCTCCTGAGTAGCTGGGACTACAGGTGTGTACCACCACACCCAACTAATTTTTGTATTTTTTTTTTTGTAGAGATGGGGTTTCACTATGTTACCCAGGCTGGTCTTGAACTCCTAGGCTCGAGCAATCCACCTGCCTTGGCCTCCCAAAGTGCTAGGGTTACAGGTAGAGATGTTTTAGAGGCTAGGTAGATTTTCTGTTCTTATGTCCAGTTGACTCCCCTGCTATGCTATAGCACATTGTTAGCTCTTGCTTTTGAAAATTAAAGTAAAAAAAAAGCCTAGAAGTAAAAGAATGTTTTTGAATTTGTGTGTTCATTTTTCACAGGTCATACATAAGCTGTAACTTGATTCCATAATCATGTGTAGTAAAATGAAGTCTATCCAGTAGGGACACATTTTGCATAAGGTAGGAATCAAACAAACCACTAGGAATTAAAATTGCCAAGCATAAAGAATTTCAGGCTCAAAATTTCAATGAGATAAAAACATTTTAGATAGAAAAAACCCCACAAAGCTGTTGTTAATGCTGCACTGAAAAAACTATTCAGGAACATTTTTCACCACCATGAAAGTATCTTCTTTAGTTTAATGCCCTGAAGTTGCTTTATTGTATGTACTTACCATGTCTCTCCAGGATTTGGGGGAGAACCTTTGATAACGGAAGCCCCTAAAACTCACCATTGTCTCCTAGTGGGATCAAATGCTTTGTCCATGAGGGAACCAGGATAAATTCTGAGGACGCCATTGGGTGTTGCTATGTAACGGCGGACAATGTAAGTGTTCAGGCTACTCATTTCCATTTGTGTCATCCATTCATCTGTGACGTGGCTGGTAGCCATTACTTCATTTCTGACAGAGAACTGGGAAACAAAGGAAGACATAGCAGGGATCCTTTAAAACTCACATGAAAAGAGAGTGGGCTGCTGGCAGTGTTCCCAAAGCTCTGTTGCAGAGAAGCCAAGCCGAATTACTTTTTAAAAATCTTTCCACAGCAGATGGATGCAACCAAACTTGGTGAAAATAAAAGCTTGCAGAAATACAGTCAGCAGATGCGTGATCACTCAATTGTTCACCCTACCTAGGCTTTCTGAGTTTAAGAAGAAAAATCCTATAGCGAGTCATTAATATACACATATATACACACTAACCCTAAAGCTTTGTTCCTTAAACTTTATACTTATATTTATCTCGAGAGACAGCAGGGGCACTTTACTTCTTCCTCTGGGTAAGACAGGGCTGGGAAAGTTTCACTAGTCTCTAAATCACATCCCTCTAACATCACTGGAAACCCCCAGTGCTTCTAAGGCCTGTAACAGATTCTCCATGTGGCCCACGGGGCTTCTTCATCCATCAGAAGAGTCACTGCTGACCAGCCTCCCCTGGGCCACACACTCTGCAGCTCTCCAGCTGAGAGGCACAGATGCAGAGCTGGGTTTCCTACTTCAAAGGTTCACTGCCAGCACCCCCTGCTGGGCCTGTGGAGGGGGACACCAGAAATGGAGCTCTGCGCCAATGCTTACTTTGAGGCCCGGGTTAGCAATGAGGCGGGTGTTGTCGCTGAGATAGGCGGTGTAGTGCTCTACCATGCGCTTTGTCTCTGGCTGGCTGAGGTGCTCATAGGGGGAGGAAAAGCTGCCAGCAGACAGCATGATGGTGGGACTTTCTGAAAGAGAAGCAAACAAAGCAGGCCTGAGAATGCGGAGACTCTATCTCATCCCAAACAAAGGCATCACTCGGGCTCTGCCAATCTGTCAGCTATGGTGGCTTAATGTCTTTTTTTTTCCTTTTTTTCTTTTTTTTTTTTTTTCAGATGGAGTCTCGCTCTGTGGCCCAGGCTGGTGTGAAGTGGCGCGGCTTCGGATCACTGCAAACTCCGCCTCCTGGGTTCCTGCCATTCTCCTGCCTCAGCCTCCCCAGTAGCTGGGACTACAGGCAACCGCCACCACGCCCGGCTTATTTTTGTATTTTTAGTAGGGACAGGGTTTCACCGTGTTAGCCAGGATGGTCTCGATCTCCTGACCTCGTGATCCACCTGTCTCGTCCTCCCAAAGTGCTGGGATTACAGGCATGAGCCACTGCGCCCGGCGGCGGCTTAATATCTAAAGGGCCACATTCTCTCCCTTCAGGGAGCTTACAGTCCTAAGAATGAACCAGTAAAGACATGCGCCAATAAACACAAGTGCTGGGAGTAGAAATTCTTCAAACTATCTGAGATCTACATATAATATCTTATGAGGAATGAGGGGACAGCTTATGACACACATGAAACCAGTCTGGATTAAAGCCATTTTCTGGCTGTGTGATGTTGGGCAGGTTATAATACATGTAGTGTTTCTCTCATTTGCATAGCAGCAATCTTACAGAAATACGGTGAGAATTCAATGAGTTAATATTTGTAAAGCAAATGAGTATTAACTATTATTCATATTAGTAGTACTATTTAAGAAAGAAAGATGGAACAGTGAAATCAATGCAAAAATCAAATAAAAATTATTCACTCAGATGGTGGCAGCAAAACTTGACACAAACAAAAGCTTCTAGAAATATAGTAATTAATGTATACATGTTTCATTATTGGTCTGATCTAACAGGAAAATCCTAGTTCTCTATTTAAGATAAAAATTCTCACAGTGAATCACAGTGCAGAACAAAAACACTAAATCTTCGTCTTTGAGATTTTCTACCATTCAACCTTATAGTATTTTTAAAAGCTTTAGAAAGCATGATCATGTGTCCTATCTCATTTAATCACATAGGGCATCTTCTACTCCTTTTGTTAGTTCTCACACGTCATGTCTTGTCTCCTGGTAGCCTGGTGATCTCTGATTGTGCTGGACATTGCACTTAAAAAGTAATCTGTAGAAATAGCTTGAGGCCTAAGAAGATGGGGGATCCTTCTCCAGAGAGGATTGTTGTTTCATCCTGTCCGGTGCCACACTGCAAGATGTAGCAGGTGGGGTGTTGGAAACAGTTCCCAATTAGGAGCCAGGATACTGACCTAAGCACTGCATGACTTCAACTAATCCTATTTCAAAGGCTAATGCTTGAAGTTCCCCAAACCACTCAGATGATAGGAACCCCAAGTCAAGGCCTGATTTAACTTCAGGCCTTCCCCTAAAGATGTAGTCTTTTAGAATCTCTGCCAAAAGCATGTATGTATGTGGGGCTGGGAGTAAAAAATTTATTAGAGTCTTCACCTTTTGTGGACCCTGGATTTGATTTTTGCTTCTCTTCCTTGCCTGAAGTAGCTACTTAAAGCACTGTTTAATTTCACAGCTGTTTCTTCTGGATTGGTAGACATGTGCATTGCAAAAGTGGCTTTGAGTGTTGGCTCTCTTCTCTGGGTTCTTATTTTCTCTGAGATTTTTGCCCAGTAATTCCTCTCTCTCATGTTAGCTCTGATGCTTTCCAAGATTTTAATCCAGGATTACGTTTCAATCCAGGAATTTTATTAAATAGTTGTCCTCAGTAGGTTGGGTTAGAATTACCTAGTCTGCCATTCCCAGAAAACATTAAATAATGTTATGTTTCATTTAATTCTGATGATATCTTCATTGGCTACCCTGGGAGATTATTATTATATTAATTAACCAAAGCAAAGACAACCAGAGGCTGGAAAAGGTTAGGGTGCCTAGCAGCATGCTGTGGATTCATGTATATATTCTTTTGCAGGCCCTCCATGCAAGGACCTGCCAAAAAGAGAGAGGGTAGTTCCTGAACTCAAAGAAGTTAGGATCTGATTGGAGTGACAAGGAATAAGGAAAATAGAGAAAAATAACAGTGTAAGAATAACACAATAATATAAGAAGTGTCAAAGGCACCCACTTCAGAGACAGAAGAGTCACCACGGGGCTGGAGTAAAGAGAAGAAGAGGTGGCTTGGGGTCTCTTTTGTAGTGACAGAGACTGGCGTTTTAGAAAAGGCTAGTGCAGTAAGATGGGGTGAGCACAAAGAGACAGAAGGAATCAAGATACAGGACCCAAAGCTTTGTGTCTAGGAGGTAGACATGCTTATTTATACACACATATACATATTTAATTGCCTTAGATGATGCACTCTTAAAAATTTTTTCTTTGTCTCTTTGTGTACCAAGAAAGATGATGTCCTTCTATCAGCTCACTTGAACACAGGTGACATATATTTAAGACCTGGCCTCTAAACCCCCACATCACTGAAATCAAATGGAAACCACTTCTTTGCCATTGCTTCCCATATTTCCTATTCCCTTTTTATTGTATTTTAATTACCTTGGTTCATTTTCATTGCCAACTGATCCTAACTAAGATGCCCTTGATTACCTCTCCACCTTGTCCTGGGGCCTTACCATCAAGGTGAGGAAGGGTGCCAAGACCTCCCAGTGAAAGTCAGACACTGGCCTATGGTCTGCTTGTTAATCATATATGAAATAATTAAGTTCATACATTATCTGAATAATCTCTATGAGGCAGTGCTTGCTGTCCAACTGAAATGCAATGCGATCCACAGATGTAATTTAAAATTTTCCAGTAGCCACATTAAGAAAAGCAAAAAGTGGCTGGGCACAGTGGCGCCTGTAATCCCAGCACTTTGGGAGGCCAAGGCGGGAGGATCACCTGAGGTCAGGAGTCAAGACCAGCCTGGCCAACATGGTGAAACTCCATCTTTACTAAAAATACAAAAATTAGCCGGGCGTGGTGGTGCGCAACTGTAATCCCAGCTAATCAGGCAGCTGAGGCAGAAGAATCACCTGAACCCAGGAGACGGAGGTGGCAGTGAGCCAAGATCGTGCCACTGTACTCCATTCTGGGTGACAAGAGCAAAACTCCCTGTCAAAGTAAAAATAAATAAAAAAAAAAAAGCAAAGCAAAAAGTAGTATTAAAGTAATTTTTATAATATGCTTATGGAATCCAGTATATCCACAATAGCATTATAATTTTAACATGTTATCAATATAAAAATTAAGTATGAACTTCACACTTACCATACACCTCAATTTGGATGAGCCATATTTAAAGTGCCCAATAGCTACACGTGGCTAGTGGCTGCCATATTGGAAACTGTAGCTATGGGAGATATGCAAAGGAAATAAAAAATCTAGGCTTGAGCTTCTTTTTCATCAAGAAAACTATTGTAATTTATTGTCTCAAATTTCAAAACAGTGACCTAATTTTCACCAGCAGTAGCTTGCTCACACAGAACTTAAAAGAGGCTTCTACACATCAGTGTTTCAGTAAAGCATTTCTTAAAAATATGAAATTTTTAAACATACTTTTTTGTATAAAAACAAACAAAACCCCAAAGACCAAATCAAAACAAAGAAATATAAAATCCTGCCTTCTTGGATCAACATCACTGGCTCTATCCAAATTGTCAACACTGCTGGGAGGTATCCCAGAAGAGACCACTTAGTCCAGCCTGCTCTTCTGATCTCATGTCCAGGCAGAACTCTCGAGGATGGAATTTAAGAGAGGAACACAAACACGAGTGCTATCATTTGGAATCTAGAGACTGCAGACTTCTAGCCTTGATTTTATTCCCATCTGTTCCCCTTCTTCTCAGTTGGCCAGTTGTGTGATGATTCTTCGTTATTAACTGCTTTGAACCCTAAGTCTTTTCAACAGTGAAAAAGAGAATACCTGTTTTACTGTACTGTCAGTATACTGTGGTTTGGTGACAACATAGACCACGAATGCCTAGTATGTGTCTGGCACATGGCAGAGCAGAGGTGCATGGGTCAAATCTCAGCTTTGCTATATTTTATGTTATCTGGGGGAAAATTATCTTTGGTAAACCCAAATCAATCACATGTCAACTCAGGTGAAAAATAAAAAACATCTGGTACGTAATAAATGTAAATTCCTTTTTGCTTCCTTTGAATTATCTTCGAATTCCTAAGCCCTTTTGAAGATAGGAATCTGTGGTAGATTACTGCTGATATGCTACATAGATTCCTTTGGAGGCCTTTTACTGTTATTCTACCCCACCCCACCTCAATATCCCCATACTTACATGTTTACCTTTAATGGGCTGTATCTGTGCCTCTCTCTATGGACTTAGGGCTACTGAAAACTCTGTACCTAGCACTAGAAGAAAGTTGAAAGTGACTAAGAAATGTGAAAGTTGAGCTCTCTTTAGAGTCTGGGCAAACTCTATTGGTGTAATTTACACTCCAGAGACCCCCTAGAAGACCAGGCTGAACTTAAAACTTCACTCAACATCAAACTTGTCTTTTTTGCCTTCCTTGTCCTGTTTTTCTCACTTCTTCACTGGTTTCTCAAAGCCCATCCTATATAAATCGCGAGCACACGAAACCTTGTCTCAGAGTCTGCTAGACGATCTGATTTGAGGCCAGGCTTCAAATCGTTTTCATATTTGTATCCCCAAACCAGCTGACTCTGCAGGCATTCAGTATCTTTTTTGGAGGGGTGGGGTGGATGGTATTCAAAAGGATATTTACAGTGAGCTGCTAAGAGTAAGAATGTGAAGGAAGTGTAAGGGCTTTACCTAGGGTTGCCAGCTGTTTGAAGTGGAGGCAAGCACTGGGCTGGCCAAGGAGATCCAGCCGGTGGTACAGCAGCTTGCTGCTGGGAACAGTGTTGAGGTTCTTCAGTTGTTTCACAGGTATTTCTGGTTGTATCACCACAATACACAGAATAAAGGAAGTGTCTTGTACCTGTAAAAATCAATAAAGAATTTCTGACCTAGAAAATGAGGGTTCCATGGGGACAGGGACTTTGCATACATTATTTTCTACTGCCTCTACCTTCTATCTTCACGTGGAAGGTATTCATTAAATATGGGATGAATGAATGAAGACATGAGGATAGGGTGATAGAAGGTATCTAATTTTGTATTTTCTGTTTTCTTTTCTTGTTGAGGAGACCTGAAGTATGTAACAGAAAATCATGGGGCTAACGAAAGGATAAGAAAGGAGTCCCTTTGAAACTGTGACCCTAGTCTTTTTTTGCTAATGTGGGTTAATGAGCACAAGCTAGAACAGGACATAATAATATAACACTTATTTCTATTTGGATTTGAAATGCACTTAAAAATACATAATTGGTTTTGCAATAAGTGTTCTGAGAATTGACTATTTTTCAAGCCAGTAGTGAATTCTCACTTTAAAAGAAAGGACTGAGGAGCAGCCAATACAGAATCCAGTTCATTCATTCTATTCCAACGAATGCTTTCTCTTCTCCTGGTTGGAAATGACCAACATCACTACTTAAACTCATGAAAAACACAAATCCTATGGCATCCCTGCAGAGTCAGCCTGATTTGTCATTGCAGACCATGGTAGGCAAGTATGCCATAGCTTAAGTCTAACTTATTAAGCTCATATGTAGAAACAGTAGTATTTTCAGATTCACTTTGTGCCTAGAAATGGATGCTTCAACAAAATTTAGTGGGGACAATGTCCACCACAGAATCAAAAGCCAATCTACCTAGTTCTAGCCACTTGAGAAAGACTTAAAAGTAAAAGAAATTTCTCGATTATTATCCTATTAGAAGAAAGACTGAACCTATTTAAAGATGGTTTATAAATAAATGAAGAAGTTGATGACTAGCGAAATCAGAACTAAAGAACGGTGCCTTATAAAGCAGCTCATGTGACTTACTTAGTGAAATAAAAGTAAAAGATGAAGGATAAAATTTTAACTAGGCAGGTTAGAGTTAAGTGAAATTTAGGATTTGTGAGGATGGTTGTAGACTCTTAAACACAGAAGCAATTTGCATCTTCCTGGAATTGCTTTCAAGTACTGCTGGCAAAGATATTCAATTAGATTAACAAATTTAATCCTTTTCCTCCATTCCCCAAATTATAAATTGACAAGGTGCTCTGAAGTGGCATTTACTATTTTCTCTCTTTTCAATCTCACAGTCATCTTTTAAGTTTGTTTTCCTATGTTGTGTGTTCCAAGGAACCAAAAGACAAAACCCTACCAGAATGACTAGAAAATAATTTTATAATTGGGTCTATTCTGTAAGAGAAAAATAAAGTTACCGTAAGCTTCTAAAAGTAGCACTTTATAAACAGTTCTTAGGAAAGCAGATTTCAATATAGGTCTTTCTGTCATGTTCTTAGCTGAAAAAAATAGTCTCTACATTAAAAGGAACTCTATTTCTAGAAGGGCTCTCTATGGGTTGGGAGTGGGTTTTTTTCACTGATTATAACATGGGATCCATGTTTTGAAGTGAAGCAGGCCTGTGTAACATGGGAACATGTGAATACCTTCTAATAGTCAGTACTTCTATCAGAGCAAACAGCCTCCTAAAGTGCTAAAAAATGCACTTGGGTTACACAGTGATGGAGTAATCTCTTAATGCTGCTAACATAATCTCTCAAGTTATATTTAAATTAATTCAGTGAAATAATCCCTCAATATCTGCTATATCTATGAGTGCTAAGCAGTTTAGGCAATTGTCCTTAGGATAAGCTAACTCTATTTGGATTATATTAGAAGAAACCATTTTATTTTTTAGGACAAGATAAGTATCTACCCTCCTCCCCAACAAAGTAACTAAAGAGATCTTAAAAATATTTGCCCTTATTACTGGGTAACCAGCCTAGCCTTTTTTTTTTTAAGTCTCCAATCTCATTATTTATTATCTCCTTAAGTTTTCACTTACAGGGATCTGCTCAACAATTTTAGAACTCAGAGAAAGCTAACACTGCTACCTGAAGTGACTACCTGATTACTACCTCGAATTTGCCTAAGAAGAATAACCAGAATTTACTAGCATCGTTGAAAAAAACCCCACTAACATTGAGGCTCTTTACTGTATCAAGAAGGTCAGACAAATGCCTACATTTCCTTCTTTCCCTTTTAATGCCAGCAACCATGCAGATATTTTCCCAGGATGTAACTGAGTTGCTTTCAATCAGAATATGTTGGAGGTAAACAATCTCTAATTTCAAACACAAAAGTCTGTTTTCTAATTGAGAATTTTGGTGGCCGGCTCACCCTTTCTGATATGAAAATTAAATAATTTATCTTTAAAAATGATATAAATATAAGGGCAGATGGTGCTATCATTCTAAAGAAAAATCTGAAAATAAGTCAGCTAAGAGAATTTCAAAATAGGCTTTGACCTTCCTCAAATGTGTATTACCAAACAACAAACTACCAGTAGAATTAGGCTTGTAAACATAAGTTTCTCAAATAGTTTCATTTATTAATTTGTTTGCTTCATTTGCATTTTAGTAATTGCTATTGCCATAATGATATTTTAAGAACCAAACAAGAAGGTTGGAAGAGACTCCTGCCTAAAGGCATTCTGGCTACTCCCAATTCCTATCTTTCCTGATCCAACTGATACAGGCACAGACACTGTATCGAGTTGCTGTTTGTCTGCATCCACCACTAGGCTCGATGCTCTATGAAGGCAGAGAGAGTGTCAATCTTCTTTATCCTTCTTAGTACACAGAAAATGTTCAATAAGTAGTTTGTAAAGGGATGATTAAATGGATCTATTTGGAGTCAACAGGTTAAACATCTGATTTGTCCATCCAAGAAAAATCTCATGTATGACTGCATTTTATGTTCAGCGATTAAAATTTGATGATAAAAGTAAAACTCTACTCCCCTTTTGGTCAGTTATAGTATTTAGGGTCCTTCAACAGCACTGCTATGCTACATTGGGAAGGAAGAGGAGAGAAGAGAAACACAGGTAACATGAACAGTGTGTGTTAGATACGCTTTCTCTATGATTCTTTGAAGCCTGGTGTCTGAAAGAATCTGGTAAGAGAAAGCAGAAATGGGTGCCACAAGTTATGGCCAAACTATCCATCTGCTTGTGTTGAACATGAATAATCCAATTTCTAATCTAAAATTTTCTTTTCCTTAGAGAATGTCGGAAGGTACTTATGCTTTCATGTCTCCTTTTAAACTCCCAACCTCCACAATCTGAGTTGAACTGAAAAAAACCAACTGGATGTAATCTAAATGTGCATTAATAGGGGACTGTTTAAAGAAATTTGGGTTATCTACACAATGCAATCCTATATAGCCATTAAAGCCGTGGGTGAGCGTATACACACACACACAAATATATATACCTGCCTGTATATACACATTTTCTGGAAATTGATTTAAGTGGCTACTTATGGGGAATGAAAAGTCAAAGGAAGGAAGGAAGTAGATAGTTTTGGTGCTAGCATGGCTCACTGCAGCTTCAACCTCTCAGGCTTAAGCAATCCTCCCACCTCAGCCTCCTGAGTAGCTGGGAATACAAGCATGTGTCACCACGTCTGGCTAATTTTTACATTTTTTTATAGAGATGGGATTTTGTTATGTTGTCCAGGCTGGGCATAGTTTACTTTCTACTTTACATCCTTTTATATGGTTTGATGAATTCATCATGAACAATTATCAGTTTTATAAACAAAAAAGGAAAAATAATTATACAACACCTGTGGAATGTCTTCTTTCCCAATCACTTTAAAAACTGATTAGTCACATTACGAGACAAATTATCAGACCCAAGTGCCACCCCCTGGCTGAGAATTCCAACATGAAGAAGAGCACTGTACCCTGTAGCTCTTCAAGCAAACACAACTTCCTCTCACTCACCATCTTCCAGGCATAGCTAACATTGTAGGCTTCCTTTCCAGTTTCTCTCAGCTTGTTTATGTGCCAAGACAGGGATGAGTTCACAGGGACTGCGATAATCTGGCTGCCCAGAGGGAGGCTGTGTTGGCAAACAGAATTAAATATTTCAGGCAAAAGATAAAATTAAGCACTTAATTAAAGGCAAGGAAGAAGCTGTTGAGTCAATGGCCACCTCCTGATTTCGAATACCAAAGAAGCTCATCAGTTTTGAAAGGATAATGTGAGATTTTCAATTGCGTAAAAGCATTATGTCAGCTCTGCATTAAAAACATCCCTTACTCTCCATCCTTGCTCCCCAACTCTAATTCTTTCCAGAGACTAACTTGTCTCAAATCACTCAGTCATTAATTTTCAACCAATGAGCACAAAGACCCATTCCTCTACAGGTTACCATCTGCCAAAATAATGTATCACAGTTGGAAAAGATCCAATCTGTTTTTTATTTGAAGAAAAAACAATGTATAAGATTGTGCTGTCAACTTGGAATGGACGCTACTTTGCCAGGCTATTTTTTGGCAAATGCAACAAAGCTGGTCCTCAACTTAGCCTTTTATTTTGCCAACATTTTTCAATTTGGTATCATTGGAACTTTTTTTGAAAATGAGATGAAATATATCTGATTTTACAATGAAAGTCAATGTGAACATAAAATTTGATTTACAAGACATTATCGTCAAATAATAGTTCTAAGACACCTTATCTGTGATACAAAGTAAGCAAAATCTTGGGTGCTATTCTTACGGAAACATTACTGAGAATACTTTTGATAACATTAAAATAATTTATACACTTGTTTTATACTCTGTAGTAAATACTCGTATGTGGCTTTGATGGGTCCCATTCTCAGGGAAAAACAATCCTATGACCCTCACCTTTTCCTTACCTTAGGATATTTTGCCGAACTAATTCAAATTTTGGAATATTTTCATAATGTATGATGTCAGTATGAAGTGGGGGCTCTGACAATAAATATGGCCTGGTAAGAGATGGGTGCATAAGTGTATATCCTGCAATAAGAAAACAAAATGCATGTTAATAAGAAACATGTTGTAGGAAGTTCTGAATCACTGTTTTGAAATATGGGGTACTCTGGGCTGGCTGCCCGATACTCAACTTCTCATTCTGCAACTCACCAGTCCAGTAAAAACTGAACCTGTTTTATATGTGCTTACATAAAACTCTTGAGGCGTAGAAAGATGTCTTAAATTATCAAACATCTGTCTCATCAAGAGTATTTTGGAGGTATTGGTTGTTTTGTTGTTTTATAAAACATTCTAATCTACCACATAAATCTTAATGCCAATAAATCTAAGATAACAATTTAATAAAAAAAAGATCCAAAGGATGACATTCTTCTTTTTTTTTTTTTTTTTTTTTTAACTTCTTTTAACTTCAGGGGTACATGTGCAGGTTTATTATATAGGTAAGCTTGTGTCACGGGGGTTTGTTGTACAGATTATTTTGTGACCCAGGTACTAAGCATAGCACCCAATAGTTATTTTTTCTGCTCCTCTCCCTCGTCCCGCTTTCCACCCTTAGGTAGCCTCAGTATCTGTTGTCCTCCTCTTTGTGTCCATGTGTTCTCATCATTTAGCTCCCACTTATAAGTGAGAACATGCAGTATCTGTTCCTGAGTTAGTTTGCTAAGGATAATGGCCTCCAGCTCCATCTGTGTTTCTGCAAAGGACATGATCTCATTCTTTATTTATGGCTGCATAGTATTCCATATGTACCACATTTTCTTTATCCAGTCTACCACTGAGGGGCATTTAGGGTGATTCCATGTCTTGGCTATTGTGAATAGCACTGCAATGAACATACAGGTGTCTTTATGAGAGAACGATTGACATTCCTTTGGGTACATATATACACCCAGTAATGGGATTGCTGGGTCAAATGGTAGTTCTGTTTTCATCTCTTTGAGGAATCATCACACTGCTTTCCACAATGGCTGACCTAATTTACATTCCCACTAAGAGTATTCAAGTGTACCCTTTTCTCTGCAACCTTGCCAGCATCTGCTATTTTTTGACTTTTTAATAATAGGCATTCTGACAGGTGTAGGATGGCATCTCATTGTGGTTTGGATTTGCATTTCTCTAATGATCAGGGATACTGCGATTGTTTTCATAGGCTTGTTGGCTGCATTATTTCTTCTTTAGAAAAGTTATCTGTTCAGGTCAAAGGATGACATTCTATGTGTCATTCAATCCTCCAGTCTAATTTCCTGATGTTACAAATAACCGTTCCCTACCCCTCAAAGAACAGAGAAACACATGTGTAATTTGGAGATCCACTCTGCCATCTTTACGGTGTTCTACTACAAATGAGCAATCTTAGTCACAATGCTCTTCTTTACACTATCATTTTCCTATTTTGTTTGTAGAATATCTATACCTTATTTTCTTTAGGTTTCTAAAAAAGTATTCTTAGGATGAACATTTAGCAGATTACCTTTGTCGTCTATGAGAAAAGTATAGGAAGCCAAAGAGTCTTGGTAATACGTCACGTCTTCAAGAATGTAAGCCAGATTCACGTCCACACCTACAATTCCCAGAAGTAGGTTTCCAAAATAACAGGGTTTACTCACAGTCATTATCAAACCTATGGGTTAAAAACAAAATAAATCTAAAGACCAGCAGAGAAGGAATTGGACAAAGACTGGAACTGTGCTCCGGTGAATCATGAAGGCTTCTATCAGCTGTCTCAATTTTGTTTGGAAGAAAAGTTTCCCATGTGGTCCAGTAATCAAGCATTGCCTTTGCAGACAGCCTAATAAATGAGTTAGAGTGGGAGGGAAAGAGCGTCCTTTGGCAGCTCAGATAGCGCAGTTAATTTAAAAGGAGGCAATTTCTATGTTTTCCACTACTTTTTCACCTAAAAAGATAAGACCTTCCAGATCAGTGCAAAACATCAGCAACACTAAATACATTTTTCTATTTTGTGAAGCAGTTAGATTCAGCTGAACTTGAAAGATCAATGGACAATGAATCTAAAAACTGTACTTAATAGTCCAGCTGTACCCCTTTTGTATTGTACAGGTGACAATGGATATAACTACTCTGAGCCTTGGTTCACACATCTGTTAATTTTTTTAATTTTAATATTTCGAGATGAGGTCTCACTCTGTCACCCAGGTTGGAATGCAGTGGTGCGATCATAGCTCATGGTGGCCTCAACTGCCTGGGCTCAAGTGATCCTCCCTCCTCAGTCTCTCAAGTAGCTGGGACTATGGGGATGAGCCACTGTGTCTGGCTCACACATCTGTTTAAAGGACACAGCATTAACTGCTTTACTGATTTCTAGGAAATGTTAGATCAAAAGAGACTATGGATAAAGGAATGCTTAAAAGGTATTATTACTATACCCCATTAATGCATCCTTTAAAAAAAGGTGAAAACAAGGGGAAAAAATTTAGAAAGGTACAGTATCTGAACATACAGAACTTCAAGCAGCTGAAGGAGAAATTAAGTTTCCAAAGGAATGTATTTCCAGTCATTCGGGCCAGGAGTTCCTAAATTTTTATGTAAGGGGTCAGACAGGAAATATTTCAGGCTTTGTGGGCTACACAGTCTCTAGTGCATAATTTTTGTTGTTGTTTTTTTATAAAAAATAACCTTTTCAAAATATAAAGACCGTACTTAGGTAACAGGCCATTAAAAACAACAACAACAATAGGATAATTAGGGAAAGGGCAAAGCACACAGGAGGAAAATGTAGAAAGAGAGGTGGGTCAATGCATGGCCCCGAGATCGAGACACCTGGTTTCTCCTCCTGGCTTCCCTGCTGGGTTTGGTAAGTTGTGCCACGTCTTGGAATGAGACTCTCCATGCATCAGATGGCTGGGGTTGGGGGCGGGGGGAGGTGAGATAAAATGATCTTTACGATCCCCAACAATTTCACAATCCTATGGCTCTAAAGAAAACTCTAAACAAAAAGATGGATTGTTTATCTTTATCTTGATTTTGTTTTTTCCTGCGCTTGATGTCTATCAGCCTATCAGAAAGCCATTCTTCTAGAAACCCCCAGGAAAGGGATTTAAAACTCCTGAAGGCTTCTACAAAGAATGAGCTTCTACACAGAGAATTGCATATGATGTCCACTTGAGGTATTATTGAGTTGCTATGGTTGCATAGGCCAACTAAATGCATCACTTGATAGGAAGAAGTGGATACATCACTGAAAAAGCATCTGAAAAGTCATGCAACGGGTCTCTATTTTGGTCTCAAAAGCATTTTTTAAGCAGTTCACATTTAGAATGCTATCTGTTTTAAAATGTTTAAAAATAACATGTATTTAAGGAGGTTTTAGAAATGCATTTTGGAGAAGGTTTTTCCCAGGTCTCCCAGGATAAATAGGTTGTAAGCGGCAGGAGCAGGCTGTGAGGACCAGCATGGAGACAGAGGTCACAATCTGCCCACCACAGTCCCCTGAGCTTTAGTCTAGGATTAAAGCCATTTTCATAGATCAGTAAAGTACAACAGAAATACTCTGTGACTGAGATGCCTGCTCGCTTCAAATTTCTATTCTCCTCTGGACAGGTTGAGAACAAAGTCTTAAAAAAGAAACACAATCTTACTTTTCAATTATCAACTGGGACAGAAGACTCTTGATCCCATTATGGCAAATAAAGTATGCTAAGCTCCTGTTATATTGACAAAATCCTCAATCACTCTCTGTACTTTAACCTAAAGCACATAGATTTACTTTTTAAAAAGAAATATGTTCAGTAACTGATATTTTAATCTGTGTAGGTTTTGAATTAGAGCCACATAAACATGGGTTTCCCTAGAATCAAGCCTCATGTCATGGAGTCAGAGGATGTGGCACTCAATAATTCTAGGGACTGAAAACACAAAGATGAAAAGACAGACACACTCTAGTAGAGGAATTCAATAGATCTGCAAACCAATCACTGAAATCCACTGCACAGGATTCATAACACAGGCCCCAAGGAGCAAAATTTGGATGGTATCAGGCAACAGGTGGCCAAAGTTCTACATGTGATTTGGTTTAAAGCATTCAGGGTAGCTCTCTGGATTTAGGAGGGAGTTCCACTCTACCTGATACCACTATCAGTAAGAGAATTTGGCTATATGATCTGAGTTTGTGAAAAACTGGATCTCTACGTCATCCTTTGTCCCTTTCACACAGTATTAACGGGAATTACTGATTTGTCTTTCTCTTATCAGACTTACGCTTACTGAGGGTAGGAGGTGAGCCTCACTCATCACTGCCTGGCACAATGCTTGGCTGGCACTCAGTAATGTAAGCTACATGCATAAAAGGTAACTTGCATTCAGGACTTCATATTTTCACTAAAAAGGGAAATAACCTTATCTAAAAGTGGGAGTTTCCATTCTATATACATCTGTAGTCCCTGACAGTAATAGGAGTGATTAAAAAAAGCAAGGCTGGGGATGGTGGCCCACAACTGCACTTTAGGAGGCAAAGGTGGGAGGACTGCTTGAGGCCAGGAGGTCGAGGCTGCAGTGAACTATGATCACACCACTGCACTCCGGCCGGGGTGAGACAGGCCCTGTCTCTTTAAAAATAAAAATTGAGACATAATGGCAGTTGGCTTATTTCTTCCTTATAGAAAGAGAATGTCTACCTAGTTTCTAGAAAACACCTTCTCTATAGGCTTGTTACTTTTTACACGTGAGTTTTAAAAAAAATCCGTATTTGTAAGAGTTCCTAGCTAACAAAACATAAATATAATATCTCAAATGGCAATGGTGTCTGTCTGGCTAATAATTAGCTACTTCTTCAATTTTCTTCTGTCAAGGAAGGAGAAAGGGGAGGATATAGAGAAAAGGAAAAGTAAGAACATGGAGGAGGAAAAGAAAAAGATTGTGCTTTTACTAAAAATATACTGTTAGTCAGGCATTGTTCTAGATGTTTTATTATTATTGCATTTAATCTTCACAACTGCCTTGAGGAAAATGTTGTATTTTCTGTTATATTTTCCAGATTCTATTTTATAGGTCAGGAAATTGAATCCTGTGAAGGTTCAGTACTTTACTCAACATCCTGTTATGGGTAACTTAGGCATCAGGATGACGGTGATGCTGATGTTAGTAATAATAACAATGATAACAACAAAGGTAAAATACATTTAATAAATGAAATAAAAACAGTAATTATAACTGAATGGTATGCCGGTCATGTGTTATCATAGATTTTATAATATCTAGGTAATCCTAGATTAACTAGATAATGACAGGTCATATATGTTATCTAGTTAATCCTAATAATCTGAAAGATTTACTATCCCATTTTACAGGTGACCAAATGGAGAATTAACACCATTAAATAACTTACCAAGGACAACACCTCAAGTGGAAGAATGGAATTTGAAAGCCCACCTGAGGCCAGGCCCATGTTTGTGCGATGATGCCACGTTGCCTTGTCTCTGAGGCTGAATCCTCAGCACTTCTGAGCTTCATTTCCCATGTGCCATGATACAAAGCTACCCTTTAGTTCTAATTCACAAACTTTTGGATATTCGAGAATCCTCACAAAGCCTCCCCAGAGGATACATCCATTATGTGTACTATGGCCAGGGTAATAAGGAAGAACCTGGGCTGGGGATTTCTGCTGTACAATACAGAGATATAGGACAGGTGGCAGGGGTGCTAAGAAACCCTATGATCCTGAGAAAGAGGTGCCATTTCTATCTGCCCAGTTCTTTTCCCCTTCCTTTAAAATGACGTTTATCCAAACTCACCATCTCCCATCTCATCAGAGAAGGGCAGGCTGAAGACGGCTTCATCAATCATCCGGTTGGGAAGGTTTGTGTAGAACCTGCCCACTGTGGTCTCCAGGTTGCTCAACTGATTCAGCACCATCATGCTGCCCTTAATCACAGGCAAGGCCATCCGGTCTGGCACACCGTACTTCCCTGAATTCTGTTCAGCTAGATCCCTCAGAAAAGCCAGCTCTTTCAAACCAGTCACCCCATCTAAAATGGAAAGCCGAGAGAAGACCACGGAAAGCAAAATGGTTTATATCCATTCAACCTCTTGCCATTTAGATCAAATACGGGCATGGATGAGGTCTTGTAATACCAAAGGGGTTTTTGCAGAGACCACATAGACTCTGGACACAAATACCAGTTCCTGCTGAGGAAACAAAGCCTGAGGCATAGTCTTTCCTGAAATAGTCAAGAGGGGAAAGGGACTCTTCACAGGGCGATAATGAAAAACAAATGAGCAAATAAAGGAGTCCCATTCAGTAAGAATGTGTTCTCCCCAAAAGTTAATTATAAAATGAAAATTCATTTTCTGCATTTAATATTTAAAAGCAAAAGTAATAATCAACACGTCTGCATTTAATTTAATGTAGTAGATGAAACTGTAAGAGTTTTAAAGAACAGAGGGTGATCCTTTCATTCCTTACTTCTTCACCTATAAAACCACTTGCCAAAGTCTAGCTGCCATGCAACTAAATGAAAGAATTATGGATTGCATTTACTGATGCCTCCAAACCCTGTTTCTTTAAGCTCATTTTAATTATAAACATATTCATGCTTGATATTGTTAGGATAATACTGAACTTGATTTACTTAATACAAATTTTTTTACATTTAGAGGGTTTTGAAACTTTGTACAAAATTTAGGCATACTGGGATGTATTATTCTACAACATCTGTAATTTATAGCACAAAAGTAAATTTAATACACTTTTTTTTTTTTTTTTAGTTTGCTATTGTTGGAACATAGTCAAAAGGATTAGAAACTGATTGCATATGGGGACTGTTGTAAACAAATTCAAAATGATTTCAGTCACTACTGAGATTCTACCACTGCCTTTTTAAAAGGTTTTGTCTCATGTTCTTGCAGATTTCAATACCAAACCATGAACTATTCAATCATTAAAAAGAATCTGAAGCTTTCATGGTTCATCTACCACATATGTCTTTAGCATTTCTACATAGAGAGTGTACATACTTGTAGCACTGGAAGTCCACTTCTAAAATCATGGCAGAATAAAATAAATATTAATTTCTTTCTCCCACCCCCCACCTTTTTTTGAGACAGTTTCCCTCTGTCACCCAGGCTGGAATGCAGTGGTGCAATCTTGGCTCACTGCAACCTCCACCTCCTGGGTTCAAGCGATTCTCATGCCTCAGTCTCCCGGGTAGCTGGGATTACAGGCATACACCACCATGCCTGGCTATTTTTTTTTTGTATTTTTGGTAAAGACGGGGTTTCACCATGTTGGCCAGGCTGGCCTCGAACTCCTGGCCTCAAGTGATCTGCCCACCTTGTCTCCCAAACTGCTGGGATTACAGGTGTCAGCCACCATGCCTGGCAAATCATTTCTTTCTTAAAACACATTATATTTAAATAAACTTGACTTTTGCTCCACTCATGCAATGCTAAAGGAAAGCAAAAAATACCTGGGCCAAATTAAGTCAGAATCAGATTACTGTTCCCTTTGCACGGCACAGAGCTGAGATGGGGAGTGAGGGGTACACTCCAGAGTAAAAGTTAACACCAAAGACACGATTGGTACCTGACCTTATATCCTTGAGAAGCTCACAGAAGTAAAACAATAAAAGAAGAAAACTCGAGCAATAACTAAATTTCCCTTCTTTGTCATGTATTGCTTGAGTCTCTCAAAACATAAAAGAAAACAATATCTACTAGGCAAAGAAGAGTAGCGTGGGATGGAAGGTTATGGAGGATTGAGTATGAGGTGTTACTCCATCATGAGATGTTATGTAGGGATGGCAGGAAGGTCAGTAGGGTGGCTGATTGGTAAGTACGCTGGGTTGCCTATTATCAACATGGTCATGCTAGAAACTACATTTCCCAGGATCCTCTTTTCTTGTATGCTACCAGGTTAAAGGTGCAAAAAGTGAGGGCTGTACTGCGAGATTTAGGGGACAGTAAGAAGTGGTCAGAGACAGACACTGAGGGGCCAGAATGCTCCAGTTTGTCCTACTCTTCTCTGTGTTCAGCTCCCTTTCCCAGCTGCTGACCTGCTCACTGATAGCAACCCCAGCCATGTTCCAGATGCTTCACTGAGCATGCACGGGGGCTGGCAGCCACAAAAAGCCAACAACCTTCCATGGACTTCTACACCAGGTCTCCTAAGTAATCTTCCATGTTCCTAGCTTCTAGACTTCCCAGCAGGCCCCAACCTGGTTACTAAACTTTCTGAGATGTCACCTCCCCATCTTGGGTCTTTTATTTTTTTTTCTCCCACAGTTTCTCCCAGTTTCTCCCACAATTGTGTGCATTCTAATTCTGACAATAAACTCTTTTTTAAATTTAATTTTTATGGGTACATAGCAGGTGTATATATTTATGGTGTACATGCGATGTTTTGATACAGTTGTGCAATGTGTAATAATCACAGCAGAGTAATCGAGGTATGAATCACCCCAATCATTTATGATTTCTTTGTACTATTAGAAACATCAAACTTCCACTGTATTAGTTATTTTAAAATATATAATAAATTACTATTGACTACAGTCACCGTTATATTATCAAATACTAGATCTTATTCCTTCTATCTAACTATATTTTTGTTAGATAGAATGTAACCATTACCAATGATTACCCATCAACCATTCCCAATCCCCCCAACTTCTCTGGTACCCTTTCCAGTCTCTTATCTCCTGTAGTTCAAGTGTTTTATTTATTTTATTTTTTGAGACAGAGTATCACTCTATTGCCCAGGCTGTAGTGCAGTGGTGCCATCTTGGCTCACTGCAAACTCTGCCTCCCAGGATCAAGCGATTCTTGTGCCTCAGCCTCCTGAATAGCTAGGAATACAGGCATGGGTCACCACACTTGGCTAATTTCTGTATTTTAGTAGAGATGGGGTTTCACCACGCTGGTCAGGCTGGTCTCGAACTCCTGACCTCAGGTGATCCGCCTGCCTCGGCATCCCAAAGTGCTGGGATTACAGGCGTAAGCCACTGAGCCTGGTCCAAGTGTTTTAATTTTTAGCCGACAACAAATTCTTTATTCCAGTTCTCTTAGTCAATCTGTTTCCCTATTTGTAAGTAAGGTTAATTGTGTCTACTCTAGTGAATTACACTTAGAAATAGGGTTCTGAGAAAGAGAGAGAAAACTGGCAGTGAGGATGTGTGTCTGGTTAGATTAAAGGAAGAAAGAGAAGAGAAAAAGATGCTGAGATGGAAGTAACTAGAGACTCTAAAGTACGGAATTACTGTAACAGAAAGTGTGTAAGAGACTCTGGTTGAAGAATTTAGGACCAGTGAAGGAATGGGTGACAGCAAGGAAGTAAAGAAGTATCTGCCCAGGCAGACCTTCAAATCTAATGGAAGAGAAGTGATCCCTTCCTTTTGGGCCTCCTTACTCCTCTACTATTGAATTTCATTCATCTTCCATGTCTACCTATCTTCCTCACTGGGTCATAAGCATCTTGCAGACAGGAACTTTGTATAATACAGCTCTGAAACCTCAGTACCCTGTGTTGTACATGGTAGGTGGTCAGTAAATTTTATTTTCCTCCCTTCCTCCTTTTCTCCCACCCTTCCTACCTCTCATGAATGAAAGAATCCAACACAAAGGAGAAAAGAGCAACAGGTGGTCAGAGATAACACTGATGGGCACGTGCCCAGGCACCCTCACCCACTTCAGCTGCTTTCAGTCCTGTGCTAAGCGCTCAGAATGCAAAGAAAACTAAGACATAGTTCATGCTTGAGAAGTTCACATTCTTGTGGAAAGTGGAGGGAGAAGAGAGAGAGGACAGTATGTGAGCACCTTACTATAGTATAATGGGAGACATGCTTGTCAGAATTAGGCAGAAAGTGCCAGGGGACAAAGAGGACTGGACAGAGATCTGGCCCTGGATGGCAGAGCTCCACCTCTGAGCTATACTGTCTGAGACAGGAAACCATATAAGCTTTCATAAACTCCTTATGCTGGCTTTGAGGACCATTCTTTTGGAGTCTTGCTCTGTCGCCCAGGCTGGAGTGCAGTGGTGCAATCTCGGCTCACTGCAAGCTCCGCCTCCCGGGTTCTAGCCTTTCTCCTGCCTCAGCTTCCCGAGTAGCTGGGACTACAGGTGCCCGCCACCACGCCTGGCTAATTTTTTTTGTATTTTTAGCAGAGATGGGGTTTCACCGTGTTAGCCAGGATGGTCTTGATCTCCTGACCTCGTGATCCGCCCGCCTTGGCCTCCCAAAGTGCTGGGATTACAGGCATGAGCCACCGAGCTCGGTCTTTGAGGACACTTTCTTTACCAGGTACTACATTAAGAACTTTAAACACAATCATATATTGCTTATTTATTATTACAACAACCCTATGCAGTAGATTTTACTATTTTTCATTTCACAGCTAAAACTGCAGTCTAAAGAGATTAAGTAACTTGCCATAAGCCAAACGACTAGCAAATGTGGACAGCAGCTAAGGACCACTAGACATCAGAACCTGTGTTCTCTCAAGTGTGGTCTAGAAATCATTTGGAAGAGAATCACCCTGGCCAAAAAGTAGATTCCTGAACCCCTCCTAAGAGGATCTGAATAAGAATCTGAGAGCAATGCCTGGAAATCTGCATTTTAAAGCCATTCCCCAAGGAACCCTTAGCACATCAGAATATGAGGCCCACTGTCCCTGAACCACATGGTTCTGCATGGAAATTTCACAGTTGACAAGAGAAACAAAAGATAGTAGGTGGGAAAGACTGCTTGATCAAGACATGGCTTTTTTTTTTTTTTTTTTTTTTTTTTTTTTTTTTTAGACAGAGTCTTGCTCTGTCACCAGGCTGGGGTGCAGTGCTGCAATCTCAGCTCACTGCAACCTCTGCCTCCTGGGTTCAAGCGATTCTCCTGCCTCAACCTCCCGAGTAGCTGGGACTACAGGCGCACACCACCACGCCCAGCTAATTTTTGTATTTTTAGTAGAGACGAGGTTTCACATTGTTGGCCAGGTCTTGATCTCTTGACCTCGTGATCAGCCCACCGAGACCTCACAAAGTGTTGGGATTACAGGCGTGAATCACCGTGTCCAGCCAAGACACGGCCTCTTAAACACAAGAGAAGATGGCCACTTTGAATACTGAGGGCAATGGGCCTAAAGATGTCATGGGAGAAAAGCAATGTATTAACAGGCGGAGAGATACAATACAGCTAGAAAACTGTGCTGCACTCAGACTAGCGGACAGGTTGAATAGCAGAAGGGAAAAAATGTAGTAGTAGCTTGAATTTACCAATTTACTAAACCCTTTTACATTCTGTCATTCGACAGCAGCACAATCCATTTTAATAAGTTGTTTACTGTACATTAAGGCTAATCCTCACAACAACACTGCAAGGTAGATAATGCTTATCTCCATTTTACAGCTAAGGAAGCTGAGGTGGAGAAAGTGGCAGAAGAGGCTTCAGGTGGTGATTCTGCAGGAAAATGTGATATTCACAGATTGGGTTGTGCAGAAGAATCTAGGTCAGTGCTTTGGCTTCCTGCAGCTTAAACCAATGAGATAAGCTAAAACCTTAGATAATCCTAGAATATGAAGGAGAACTGAAAAAAAAGGTGGGGCAGGGGGACGCTGTATAAAATCCTCTGCAAGACCACGTAAGTGGAGAAGAGGTTTAGAAACAAGCAGTTCACTGGAGAGACAGATGAAGAGAAAGGAACCTCCTTACACACCCTAAATACCAACATCAGGTAGAGAAAGAGCCGCCTGGTTGCCTTTTCCCGTAGCCTTCATCCAAGCACACTGTTATGATTCTTTTTCTTCTTTTTAAAGCAGCATACACTTAGAGGGATCTTTGATCTGAAAGGAATATCTTGAAACTCTACCTACCGTTCATGAGGGCATAGGTGAGAATCATTACAGAGTTGTTTAGAAAGCTATTTTCTTCATTGATGACTTGGAGAGTCGCTTTTTTATCTTCTTCCGAAGAGTCCTTTGATGTAATGCCAGCTGACAGGTAAATGATGACCATGTCTGTATCTAAACAAAAACACATCAATTGAATGCTCTCTTTGGATTCCAGCTAAAGGCAGCAGTTCAGTTTCCTGTTCATGTCCTTGGACTTCCCCACCTCGAGGACTTGCCTAGCCCACGGTTCCTAGTCCCTCCTGTTTGATGCTGTGGCTTTCATCCCCCTGCTTCTGCCTTTCTTCCATTCCACCCTTTCTGGACAATGAGGCCACATTTATGCAGCATCAGGTAAGGAGATGTTCCTAATATATTTATCAGATGAAAGGAGGCGATTTCCTTTAGGCACCAATGGTTATAGTAATTTAAGCCAATCCAAATGGAAATCTCTCCTGCCTTCTGAAACAGATGATGCAGAACGCGACTTATCCTTTCCTCTGTGATGCAGGAACATCACCATGAATGCTCGTTTCTTGAGGACCAGGCTTTAAAATGATGACTCTTTCGGGCTCTTCAGGCACATAATGTTATTTGCTCCTAGACTAAATATCTTTAGGTAATTTTCATTTAAAAATCTCATCAGTAGAGCAGTGAAACATGGACTTAGAAGCCAGGTAACTGTGTTCAAAGCCCAGCTCTGCTACTTACAAGCTGTGTCTGGGTAATTGAGGCAAATTTCTCAACCTCTCTACAACTAATTTTCTTTGTCTATAAAATGGGAGTAATGACAGGACTGACTTAGTAGTGTTGCTGTGAAGAATAATTGGTTATTTTACGTAAAGACTATCAGCAAAAAGGTGATAAAAAAAGAAGGTAAAAGAGAAAAAAAAGAAACTACAACACACACACAAAATGAAAACAAAAACCATGCCATTGGATTGAAGGAGCACCCCTGAGTTAGAAGTGAAATTATTTTCCAAATAGGGCTGCGAGGTAGAATAACTGAGAGTTAATTTTGGTCCCGTAGAACTTCTGTCAAGTGGGTTGACTAAAAAAAAACAAAGGTGATTAATTTCCTACAATTAGAGATAAATAAGCAGAGGCTAAATGACCACAATAAAAAGAGGGAAGTCAGAGAGCTGGACTTTTACATCTTCTTCCTAATCTGTAATTCTTTGATTTAACATATATATATATATATATATATATAATGTTGAGAGTGTGTGTGTGTGTGTGTGTGTGTGTGTGTGTGTGTGTGTCTGTATATATATATATTTTAAGACTGAGTCTTGCTCTGTTACCCAGGCTGGAGTGCAGTAGTATGATCTCAGCTTACTGCAATCTCCTCCTCCAGGGTTCAAGCGATTCTCATGCCTCAGATTACTGTAGTGGGACTACAGGCACGTGCCATTATGCCTGGCTAATTTTTTGTATTTTTAGTAGAGATGGGGTTTCACCATGTTGGCCAGGCTGGTCTTGAACTCCTGACCTCAAATGATCTGCCCGCCTTGGCCTCCCAAAATGCTGGGATTACAGGCGTGAGCCACCACGCCTGGCCTCAATAAAAATTTTTAGGACATCCTACATATTTATCTTTTTACTGAGAAATATTTATATAATATGTTATACACTTACTTCTTCAGGTTTCTGTTATTGTGTTTTAGTTGAGGTTGCTCTAAAGTGACTGCGGCAGGCAACCTCAAACTTGGTCCCTTAGTGATTCCATGTCTTGACATTCATTCACCTCCTGGGGTAGCTGCCTCCCTTGAGTGTGGCTGGATTTAGTGAGTCACTTATAATGACTAGAATGCGGCAGAGGTGATGGGACATCAAGACAAAGACTAGGTTACAAAAAGACTGTGGCTTCTGCAAGGGGGGCTTTCTCACTCTGAAGAAAGCCAGCTGGCAGGCTGTAAGCAGTCCTATGGAGAGGCAAGGAACAGAGGCCCCTGGAACTGAAGATCCTGCCAGCAAAAGTGTGAGTGAGCTTGGAAGCAGCTATTTCCCCAGTAGAACTTTGAGAAGACAGCAGCTCTGGGCAATAGGCTGACTGCCGTCTCAAGAAACTCGTTGGGCCAGAGGCACCCAGCTATGCTGTGTCCAGATTCCTGAAGTACAGAAACTATGAGACAATAAAGATGTATTAAGCCACAGAGTGTTGGAATAATTTGTTACACAGCAATAGTTAATGAATATAGCTACCCTTTAAAAAATTATCCTAATGGTGAAGACACAAAACTTGAATTTCCTTCAAATTATACATTTCCATTTTAGATTTAAGTATTCTTTATTAGGCAGAATTTAACAGTTAACTTATAATATATGAATGTCATAGATAACTGAACTGAGTTTAACAAAATTTGACTCTAAGAAATAAATGCATTCAAAATTCCTCTTATTTACTCCTAATACTTAATACCAATTTTGATACCTGAACATTCTCTAGTGAACATTAACTGCACATTTAAATTTCACTATTTAGTTATCAGAGATTAGGAAGTGAATGCTGATGCAAAAAGAAAATCCACACTTTAGGAATATTCTTGTCTTAAATTAGATGTCAACAAACCAGATGTCAATATTTTTTCAGTTGTATATACAGTTCAGTAAATTATTTTATAAGGACCCTAAACAGTTCATTTAAACTTCAGACTGAAAAATACAAAAACAAAAATTGCTTGAGTCCCTAGTTGGAGGGAACATATATACATAGATACAGCATGAGGAGGATCTATGGTATGACACAAACCATCTCCTCATGGCAAAAGTATATGTGTGATAAATTCCTGGACACATCTAGGGTGACCTAAAAGAGAACCCTAGTCTCTAAGTTGTCTCACTTAGCCTTATGATTCTGCATAAAATACACTGTCATTTAGAGCTGTTTCTAGGGCAAAGGTCCATGTCTGGAAGGCCAGAAAGCTAGCAGCCCTTGAGCTGCTTTGGTAGCCAAGCACATTTTCTTTCCATTCCAACAATAAGACATACACTCTGTAAGAATCCTCGCTGGCTCTGTCCAACCCCTGACTCCATTCCCACCTTATCCTCAAGAAAAATTGAGTTATTTTTCCATTCTTATCAGATCTGTCAAATTTGGTTTGATTTGTTTTTTTAATGCATTGGGATATTCCCTTTTTAGTCACCCACTTAGAGCAATTTTAGGGGCAAGCAATTACAGGGACTTGGGGTAGAGCAGAGATGCAGCATGTAACTGGAAGAAAATGTAATAGCTCTCCATTTGCTGAGTCTCTCTATAAGCCACCAGGCATGTCTTGGGGTCAACATCAAAAGGGGAAGAGCGACTCATATTTAGGCTTTGCCCATACCATTAGATCTCCACTCTTAACCATCTTTAATTGAGGTTCATTATGATCCTCAACTAATCAGCTCCAAAACAAATTCAGAAGAAACAACTCCAGGATGTTAATGCTGTCAGTTAAAGATCTACCATAAGACTGAAAAAAGGGTCAGAATTGGACAAAAGTTTTAGACCTTCTGGTTGATATAAGGCAAATTAGTGTCAACCAACAATGATTTATGACATGTAGCTTATTTTTATATGGCTACCAATGTGGGCATACACTTTACTTTCATGTACAGACTAACCCTTACAACAATCGTCAAGAGTAGGTCTTATTATTTGAATAACCTCACATGTGGCACCTAAAACAGCACCAGATATACAGTAGACATTAAATAATTGTCTGTAGAGTGAAGAGAAATAGTGATGTATAGAGTTTACACTAGAATAAACTTCTAGGAAGTGTATACAGACCCCTTGCTACACTGTTGCCTAGGCCTTGGCCATCTTTGGGCCTGAGGTCAACTTAGGACATCTAGGGCATCTGATCTAGTTTAGCTGGAGCTAGAAGTCTTATAGGAAACTGAATATCATAATAATCACAGGAAATATGCATTGGATATTTATGATGGAATCCTGGATATTATCACCCCTCCATTTACAGGTGAGGAATCCAGGTCTGGAGAAAATAAAACAATATAGACAAATCCACAAGGTTAGAAAAATTTCAGAGTAGAACACTAGTTGAAATCTATAACCTGCATAACTCCTGGGCAATATTGCCTGAGAGTACCCTGGGACTGCTCCTTAATAAACTGGACAACGCTCATTCCTGAAGTCTTTTCTTTATACAAACTAATCTAGGTTATTTTTTCTCTAAACTGTCAGTAAAAGCTATAAACTAGAGGCCAGTGAGCTAAGCCTTAGAAACATCTTACTTGGGCTAAAAAGGGCTCCTCTGAGTATTTAGAAAACTGTGCCTTCAAAATTTGTCCAAGTCTTTAATGGTCAATCTTCTTGCCATGTTTTTGTTTGCCAACATTAAGAAAAACAACACAGAAAAATCCAGAGGAGAAATGCCTCTCATCAAACCAGCCTCCTGCTCATGTGCAGTGCAGGAATGTCTGTGAGAAGAGATTTAATGAGGTCTCTATTCACAGTTTTAAAGCTGGAACAAATGTCAACATTTGAAAATCAAGGGATTTCACATGAAAATCCAGATTTCTGGCATCTCTTGAAACAGAAGATCTGGCAGCACTGGGCAGACATTCCTGCTCAATGGACTGAACAGAGGAGCAGCTACCCTCTGGATGGTGCATGTGTCCATGTGACCATGTTCTCCAACTCATCCTCATTACCTTCCCCCAGCTCACTTGACTCAAATGCGCTGCCTGGCCACTGTGGACATCTGAGTTTGCAACTGCTAGTCTAACATTTCTCTCCATTATTTGAAAAGTATAATAATCAAAACTAGACTTTAAAGATGGTCTGATGACAGAAGAATTTGGTAGAAAGAACACTTCTAGTGAGGAATGCTGACAGGTGGGTGGCATTGACAAACAGGCCAATCTGCCTTGAGTACTTGAATTCAGCCTTGTTAACTGACCTTACTGAACCAAGGGCAACTTTACGCTCAGCCACCCCATAATATTGGCTTGTGGATAGCTGATGCTTGCCAAAGCTGGTAGGCCAAATTCTAAGATGATCTAAATGAGCAACATCCTGTATACTGCTGAATATACAGGATGTCCTGTATACGGGACATAACCTGTAACTTGCTTCTAAGAAGAAGAATATGGCAAGTAATGAGCCATTACTCCTGTGATGGTGCTTGCAAAGATGGATGGATGTTTGCCGAGGTCCCTGATAAACTTACATTGAGTTAATCACAAGCGAGAGTAATCTGATTAAATAAATCAAAAGGGAAAGTGGGGCTGATCTAATCAGATGAGCTTGTTAAAAGAGGGCCCAAACCTTCTCTGAAGCCAGGGATTTGAAGAGATGCTCTTCTATTGGCCTTGAAGAAGTAAATGAAATGAGTTTTACAGTTGCAAGGAAATGAACTCTGCCAACAAACGTGTGAGCTCATGTTTGTTGAACCTTAGCATGAATGAACCTTAGCATGAACAAACCTTAGCATGAACCTTAGGACTCTGAATGAACGGTAGTCCCACTGACACTCTGACAGTAGCCTGTGAGACCCTAAACAGAGGACTCAGCTAAGCTGTACTTGGACTCCTGACCCACAAAAACTGTGAGATAACAAATGTATATTGTGCTAAACTGCTAAGTTTGTGGTAATTTGTTATGCTGAGACATAAAACTAACACACCATGTACCATCATTAGTTATAATTACAGTAGCTTCCTTCTTTTGAGGATCCATTATGTGCGAGGCACTATGCTTTGCATTAATCAGTGCTTAGTTTAAACACAGACACAATGAAGGGCTTGGAAATGTATTCTTTAAATTTATCTCAATAGGATACATTAATATTTTCAAACAAAGAAAAAAACTATAAACAGATTTTTTTTTTTTTTTGAGACTGAGTCTCGCTCCGTCACCAGGCTGGAGTACAGTGGCGCAATCTTGGCTCACTGCAACCTCCACTTCCCGGGTTCAAGCAATTCTCCTGCCTCAGCCTCCTGAGTAGCTGGGATTACAGGCGTGTGCCACCATGTCCAGCTATATTTTTGTATTTTTAGTGGAGATGAGGTTTCACCATGTTGGTCAGGCTGGTCTTGATCTCATGACCTTGTGATCCACCCACCTCAGCCTCCCAAAGGGCTGGGATTACAGGCATGAGCCACCGCGCCCAGCCTATAAACAGATTTTTGAAAATAAAAGGGAAAATGAAATAGATTCCTTCAAGTAGTTTCAAAGCATGAGCCCCATTTCAAATATCTTTTCCCTTACTTTAGGATGCATCCTAATTCCAGATTTTCTTTAATACATAAAAATTAAATTAGAGGCCAGGCGTGGTGGCTCACACCTCTAATTCCAGCACTTTGGGAGGCCGAGGTGGGGGATTACAAGGTCAGGAGTTCAAGATCAGCCTGACCAACATGGTGAAACCCCATCTCTACTTAAAATACAAAAATTAGCCAGGCATGGTGGCACATGCCTGTAATCCCAGCTACTCAGGAGGCTGAGGCAGGAGAATCGCTTGAACCCGGGAGGTGGAGGTTGCAGTGAGCCGGGATTGCGCGATCACACTCCAGGCTGGGTGACAAAGTGAGACTCTGTCTCCAAAAAAAAAAAAAAAAAAAATTAAATTAGAGTGCCTTTGTACATCTGAAGGGCCATGCTCATCTAAATGACAGCTGGTTAGAAGAAGGAAGGATCAAGGCAAGAATTCCTGCTGCCCACTTCACGTCCACATGTGCACAAGCAGACTTCCACTCCAAGTCAAAGAGGAAGCAAAGCTGACAATCAGCATTAGAAAGGATGTGGAGATTCCCTTGGGACATAAGTGCAGACATGATCTAAATAAAGGGGCAGGAAGGGGAGGCTCTAAGAGTCAAGAAATTGTACAGACTGACCATCTTTGATTGGAAAAGATGAGAAAAACGCAGTTAACACTCTATAATTAGATGATGACGAAGACAACATATGACAATTTTATCCCAAATCTTTTTTTTTTTTTTTTTTTTTTGAGACAGAGTCTTGCTCTGTCACCCAGGCTGGAGTGCAGTGGCATGATCTTGGCTTACTGCAACCTCTGCCTCCTGGGTTCAAGTGATTCTCCTGCCTCAGCCTCCCGAGGAGCTGGGACTACAGGCAACCACCACC
This sequence comes from Homo sapiens, assembly GCF_000001405.40. Lineage (NCBI taxonomy): Eukaryota > Metazoa > Chordata > Mammalia > Primates > Hominidae > Homo > Homo sapiens. Next base: position 64,634,858 of record NC_000001.11, on the reverse strand, counting down.
ATGCCTGCCTAATTTTTTTTGTATTTTTAGTAGAGATGGGGTTTCACCATATTGGCCAGGCTGGTCTCGAACTCCCGACCTTGTGATCCGCCTGCCTTGACCTCCCAAAGTGCTGGGATTATAGGCGTGAGCCACCGCACCTCGCCCCCAATCAATTTTTTTTTAATCCCTCTACGCTGGTCGCGGTGACTCATGCTTGTAATTCCAGTACTTCGGGAGGCAAAGGCAGGTGGATTGCTTGAGTTCAAGAGTTTGAGATCAGACAGGTCTCAGCCAGTGAAACCCTTTCTTTACCAAAAATATAAAAATTAGCTGGGCGTGGTGGCATAAGCCTGTGGTCCCAACTACTTGGGAGGCTGAAGTAGAAAGATTGCTGGAGCCCAGGAAGTCAAGGCTGGAGTGAGCCATGATCACACCACTGCATTCCAGCTTGGACAGAGCAAGACTCTGTCTCAAGGTAAATAAATAAATAAATAAATACATACATAAATAAATAAATAAAATCTCTCTAAACATCATTGTGTGATCAATTTACAATATATTCCTATTGCCATCTTTATCTACTATGCCTCTAAGTCCTCTGAGAGAACGCACTCACTTGCTTGGAACTTTGTGTTATTGTTTGTACTTCGAATCAGCTGAAATGCCTTTTGGAATCCCACTGCGTGCTGGGTAGGACTGTCTGAAGACTTCACGCTGCTAACAAAGGTGGACATTTTCCTTTTTGTCTCACTGGTGGCTGGAGACAAGAAGGTCTTATAGCACTGGTCTAGTGAGCAAGTCCGGACGGTATCTGCCACAGTTAACACAGAAATCTGCAGGAAAGAAAAAAAAAAAAAACCACCAAACTTGTTATCCTACCGTCTAAAGATTTATTTATTTATGTAACAGAAGAGGCCAAGGAGTAAGAAGGCCTACAGAACAGATTCTGAGAGTTTCAAAATAAATCCCTGGAGCCATCCATCTATCAAATTTGAAAAGGATCCATAAGGATTGGTAAAGTGGGGAAACCCCTAGAGTTTGGTTTTTGTTCCAACATGAAGTGGTAGTATTATGTTCATACATAACATTAAACACACACACAAACTATTTTATGCAGAGAAAAGTCATAGCAAGAATGAACTATCCTGTTTTTCAACCTGGAGGTGAGGGGTGAGGGTAAGAGAGTGAGGTGTGTGTGTTTTAAGCCACTAGGTTAGTGAGCAAAACCTCTGGAGTTGGCAAAGTCAAAATGATGAAGCAGAAAATGTCCACAGGCAATAGATTATCATTAGCTGTACCCACACCTCTCTCTGAGGTGTCCCAGAGATTAGTCAGCCACTAGCGGCTTTCCCTTCTTCCTGACTTCCCAACAATCTTGCAATAAAGTTCAGCCATCCATCAGCATCCAAATCTCCCACCCCTCTCCTCCTCAGCGTAACCTCCAGTGTGAAAGTCATGGCTAATTAGAAACCTTACCATGAGCCATAAAGAAGTATAAGACTAAGCTTGGTGGTAGTTACGAAAGGGATTTTTGGATTTGTGGCTGCTTCCTCAAATATTAGAATAATACTCTTTTCCCAAAGTCTTTTCTTTTCCCAAAGTCCTTTTAAAGATGGATTTAAAAAAATATACAGATGGTCCCTGACATACAATGGTTTGACTTTATGATGGTGAGAAAGCGATAGGCAGGCAGTGAAGCTGTACTTTCAATTTTGGATCTTTTCCCAGGCTCCTGATACTTTCTCATGGTGCTGGACAATGGCAGCGAGCCGCAGCTCCCAGTCAGCCATGCAATCATAAAGGAGAACCGCTGATATAGTATTCTGCAGTGTACTGTATTCAATAAATTCTACGAGATAGCCAACACTTTATTATGTTATAAAATAGGCTTTGTGTTAGATGATTTTCCATAACTGAGGGCTAACCTAGGTGTTCCGACTGTTTAAGGTAGGCTAGCCCAAGCTGTGATGTAGCTCAGGTGTATTAAATGCATTTTCAACTTATGATGGATTTATCAGGATGTAACCCCATTGTAAGTCAAGGAGGATCTGTATATCACAAAACAATAAAGTACTTTAAAAAAGGCATTCAAGGAGAACCTGATGCCATAGGGGTCACAAGGGTCATGGTCACCTTGTCATGTTCATCGATGGCGCTGAGGATGACCTGAGCAGCGTCCTTGGCAATCTGAAGCTGAGTGTCTGTGACTGAAGCCCCGTGGTCCAGAATCACTACTATGTGCTTTGACTGCGGCCGGACTGTAGAGACGTAGATGGGTCTGGAGGGAGAAGAAGCTCTCTGGGGTCAGTCTTGGTTTAGGTAAAGGGCCTCAACTTAACACAGCTGTGAACACTACAGTGCATGGGCATGTTGGTCTCTGTGTTCTCCCAGGGATGGCACAAGGATGGAGAAATCCACATGGAAGGAGAAACCATATTGGTGCATTGAAAATAATACTTAAGACAACAAGGTGTGTCTGTAGAACAGGGATGGGTAATTTATGCCTTTAAAGATCAAAGCAGACAAGAGAAGTTTTTCAGGAGCAAACCCTTTCAGAGGTTGGCTTTTTCAGCATCACTAACATCCTGCTTTTCTCTCTTTTTTTTTTTTTTTTTTTTTTCAGAAAAAAGCAGGATGTTAGTGTTCTTTAACCCAATGCTTTCTGCACAGCTTAAAACTTCTAGTAGTTAAAATCCTCATATAAAATATGCACAACCTCTGCTTGGTATTGCCCAGTGTACCTGTTTTGCTAAAGGATGTGGATGTAGTGGTCCCTTGGGCTGAGAGACCAGCCAAGGAGAAAAAGGTCCCATCACCAGGGTTGGATTCTCCTCTGCAGACTTGCAGAGTGGGGCTTGGTTAGAAGTGAGGCAGCCTATAACCCGTGAGCATGCTGAGCAGCTTTGAATGGCAGGTTTGGTTTCTCTCTTCTCATACAAAGGCTCCTGCTAAGAGGCCCCTTTCCTTTCTGGACTGAAACAATTCACATAGGTCAGCCACCAAAAGGCCCCTTATCTGAGCATTTAAAACTGTGCCATCAAAATTTGTCCAAGTCTGTGATAGCCACTCTTCTTGCCAGGTTTTTGTTTGCCAACATTGAAAAAAAGGGGGTTGGGGGCAGCCACAAAGGAGAAATGCCTCCCATCAAAGCAGCCTTTTGCTAATGTGCAGTGCAGGAAGGTTTGTGAGAAGAGGTTTAATGAGGTCTCTATTCACAGTTTTAAAGCTGGAACAAATTAGAAGGAGTTTAAGAAAGCAAATCAGCCTCAAGAGAATTCTCTCCTTTACTGACATCCTTAAAACACTAGATTTTCCTGTGAAATGTTAGATGCCAGCTGAATCACAAAAGCCTGGGCACAAATTAAGAAACGCAGGCAAAGTACCAAAAAAACTCAAAATCTGGCCAAATTTACACTAGTTGTTCTCAAGCCCAAAGTCCTGCAGTAATTACTAAAGTACCACTATATTTTCATGAGTCGATACCATTGAGCCACTAGGGAAATGCAATAAAAAGAATCCAGGAGAGGTGGCTACAGAAATGAAACAGAGTACAGAAAAGAAGGAAAATTTGATCATCTCAACACTGACAAGTAGGTCAAATATTTAACTTTTTAGATTCTCCAAGCTAGATGGGTGGATTTTCTTTAAAATGACACACTTCCTTTGTTAAAATTCAATTCACATAAATGAAACTTGGGATATGTGTTGGCATTGTCACATTAAGTTGTTAAACGCTGCTTTAGTGGGATATATAAATAGTGATGTTAAATGTACAAACTGGGGGGCAGTCCTCATAGAATGACTGGTATCTACCACTTCCTTTCTTGTGTTGCTATGTCCTGAAATCCATTCCATACTTCCAAAGAATGTAGAGAACTTGGAAAGGCATCATAGGAAAGCAGTTAGGACAAGAAATGTGAATCGCAGTCTATCAGAGAGAAATGTGGATCATTTAGCCAAGGGAAAAGAGGTTCAAGGGCTAATTAGTGCAGATTTAGGGTGGAGATACATGAAAACTTTCCGAATTGCCTTGTGTAGGTGAATGCTGATTTTGACAAGGTTTCACTTTCCTTTTTAAACTTTTCTTCACAGGTGCTTCGTTAAAATCAGCATGCCATCTAGCCCATCTCTTCTTAGAAGCAAATGAGAATTAGATGGTTCATGGTGGCCTTTGTTCTCGTGAGAAGCCATGATCATGGCTTCTGGTCCAGTCTCCAAGACACCCAAGTCTTCACCAGAATGTGTGGGGAGGGAAAGGAAGAAACCACACACACAATAAAAATATCTTAGGACGACTGGGCACGGTGGCTCATGCCTGTAATCCCAGCACTTTGGGAGGCCTGAGGTCAGGAGTTCGAGACTAGCCTGGCCAACATGGCAAAACTTCGTCTCTACTAAAAATACAAAAATTAGCCAGGCATGGTGGTGGGTGCCTGTAATCCCAGGTACTCGGCAGGCTGAGGCAGGAGAATCGCTTGAACCCGGGAGGCAGAGTTTGCAGAGCTGAGATCGTGCCATTGCACTCCAGCCTGGGCAACAAGAGCAAAACTCCATCTCAGGAAAAAAAAAAAAAAAATCTTAGGAAAAGCACAGATGAAGTATTTTCCTTGGGGAAAAATTCTAGATAAAATTTAAAGTGAAGATGAAGGGAAGCTAAAGTAATTGTGTAGACTCCAGAAAATGGTGTGAAAAGTGGGTGCCCTGCACTAGAGCTCCAGATGTTTTGGCATCAAACATCTAACACTGCAAACAGGAAACTGTCAGGATTAAATAGGAAAGTATATTTGCTTCGGGGGGGTTCTATAATTAATGAGTCTTGTCATACAAAGTATCTCACCATTATTGCCCTTCTGGCTACATGGTAGAATCTCAAGTCATGTCTGTGAGAGAAAAGCAGGATGTTAGTAATTTTTAATCCAATGCTTTCTGCTCACCTCAAAACTTCTAATAGTTAAAATCTGCATGTAAATTTCATGCAGTATGGCCAAGCATGTCATCATAGAAAGGGAAGTTGAGTATAACAAACTACTCTGAGATATGTTATAAAGTTATGTTCAAGGGCTGCACTATAGATAAGGTACCATCATTTACATTTCAACAAAGAATTCTGAAACTCAAAACACTCTAGGTGCTTCACACAATTTGACTTCACGAGTAAGTACCTTTTTATATTTGGCATATTAGATAGCTATAGGAAAGCTCTGGGTTTTGTAATTTGCCCTTGCCTGGAATTTCACATCCACATATACTAAATGGTGAATTCATTTCAGAACAAGTACAAATTTCTGAATCCACAGCTTAAAGGCATAGCCATGAGTAGAAATGAGAAGTTTTATATTTCATGTAGATCACTCTTAAGCAATAATTAAAAACTTTAGCATGCAAGTCAACATACCTACTGCGGTGTTCGTAGCTGCCCTTACACCGGAACTTGTGTGCTGGGAAAACAGTGAAAATTCCTTCTTCTGAACTGAAATATTGCCACTTAATTCCAGGGTTGGATTTCAGGTTGTCTGCAAGAACTAGAGGTGTAAGGAAAATGAAATATAACCACCAAATCCACAGGTGCATGCAGGCACTGCTCCTCAGGCATCTGTTTTGCATAAACTGCTTCTAGTATGAAGAAATCCCACTAGATACAAGATTGTAAATTTTCTATGAAACATTTGCTTTCTGCCCCTTAAAAAACACCCCAAGAACAGAAAATACAATGTTTCAGCTAAGTGAAGTTATTACTCTTAATATTGTACCATGACATTATATGTCTTGGATTGTTTTTCCAGTACAAATGATTCATTTGCATTAATCTCTCCCTGCACTGAGCTGGTCCCTGTTGGGCTAGCACACACTAGTTGGCTTGGGGTACAGTCTGTAACTGTAGAAAACAGTGATGTTAATAGGCTGATGTTAATAGGCCTCATCACCAGAGGGACTAGACCTGTGACCTTAACCTTGCCTTTACTTTGCAATGAAGGAAACAGCATACATGGTACTTAAAAAGACAGGCCATAATCATTCAGTAAAGCTGTTACTTATGGAATGATTCCTCTGTGCCAGTGCTGGAATATAGGCTTCCTTATGTTATCTCATGTCATCCATAAAGCAACCCCAAGATGTGGGTGGTATTGTTATCACTACTTTGGAGTCGAGAAAATATGCTTAAGTGATTTATCAAAGACCTCATCAGTAAATGGCCAAGCTGGGATTCAAACCTGGCTGCCCTGACTCCTGTGTTCCTTACATCATGCTATACTGCCTCCCTTCATCTACACAGCATCCCTACCACTGACCTGCGTCTGCCATTCCCTCAGCCCAAGTGCCAACCACCTTGTTGTGTGCAATCCTGTCCCACGACCTCCATGAAGTCTTTCTTACCCTCTCCCGCAATCAGAATTTCCTCTTTTCTGAGCTCTTAGGATCTTTTGTTCTGCTCCATTCTGACTCAGCTATTTATTACACACTTACTATGTGCTGGTCACTGCTTTACATTTGGCAAGATATACAAAGACGAGCACAAAACAAGCCCTATTGTAATAATTGATATACAAGCAGACTTATACAGATGGAAATGGAACAAAAAGAAATTCAGTGGGGGGAAGATTCCGAGCTAAGGTAAAAAGGAAGGAATGCATGAGGTGTATTTGACCAGAAAATACATTAAGCTTTAAACACCCATGTGATCAAATAAGGATCTGTTTATATGACTATAAGGGCTGAGATATGACTCTAACAATGATGATGGATCTTCACCTCTACTGTAGACAAAGAGCTTTCACACAGGATATTTAAGTTGCACAAAATAATACATGATATGTGTTCTTATCTTCAGATTGCATTGAAGAAACTGAAGCTCAAAGAAATTAAATGGCCCTTTATAACACTGACACATTTTATTTTCTTCATAGCATCTATCACCATCTGAAATATCATTTGTTTAATACCAGTTAATTCTTCTCTTCTCCCTCCCCACCCCCAGTTACATTTTAAGGTCCATGCAATGAAGAACTTGGTTGGCCTTGTCCCCCGTATAGCCTAGAAAAATGCATGCACAGTGAGTGTAAATAGTTCCTACACAAATGAATATCCACAGCTAGTAGGTGGTAAGATCATGTCTTGAACATAGCTCTTCTGACTCTGTGTTTCTCACTAAATCCCTCGGCCTCAAATAAAAGTGGGTGGACTAATTACGGTATTATGTTTTTATACCATATGTAGCATCAGGAATTACATTATGAAATGGGAGCTGCAAAGATTTGCAGGATATTGTGGGGGTGATGGTTCCCTGTGAACTCAGGTGCAACAGTCATGTGCCCGCCTCTTCTCCTCTAGAGCATCATGAACTCCAAGAAGGTAAGACGATGGTCTACTCTGTCTCCTTGGCACTCAGAACAGTGACTGTCCTGTTCTGAAGGTTTGTTATATTAGCAGGACTGAATTCCTATTCTATTTTTTTATTTAAAAAATTTTTTTGAGACAGGGTCTCACTCTGTCGCCCAGGTGGGAATGCAGTGGTGTAATCACAGCTCACTGCAGCCTTGATCTCCTGGGCTCAAGTGATCCTCCTGCCTCAGTCTCCTGTGTAGCTAAGACTATAGGTGGGCACCGCCACACTCAGCTAATTTTTTTTATTTTTGTAGAGACAGGGTGTCACTGTGTTGCCCAGGCTGGCCTCAAATTCGTGGCCTCAAGTGATCCTTCTGCCTTGGCCTCTCAAAGTACTAGGATTACAGGCATAAGCCACCATGCCCAGCCCTGAGATTTTATCTGAGACAGACAGGCCTTGCTTCCAGTCTCTGCTGTCTCTAGTTCACTGTATTTATATCCACTATTATTCTGATGTCTGCTTGGCTTTGATCAACTTTTCATGATTTGTTCTTGGCCTACCACAGGCAGGGAATGGCTTTTTGGAATGGAGGTAAGGAGAAAAAAAAAATACTAAATCCTTACCTACAAGAGAAAGACTAATTGAGGGAGATTGGAAATACACACTAAACTTTCAATTAATTATCACAGTATCTGATTAAGAGCTTGCGTGAGGTACAGAGAAGGGCTATGGAAATCCAAAGATAGCAAAGATCTACCTGTTGTCATTGAGATGGTGTTGGGAACAAGTGCTGAGTGAATGCCTGTGACCCTCTAGGCATTATGCTAGGCGCCTTCTACAAAGTATGGTGGACTTTTGCCATTTGGGTATGTACCTTGAAAACATACCCACCTCCCAAGATGACCAATGTGCAAGAGGAGGGGAGTGAGAGCTTTACAGCAGGGTAACTACAGAGAGTGCTCAATTAGCAAGACAGGAAGCCAGAGGCCAAGTTCCTCTCAATGACTTATTAAAGGACAGTGTACATAAGTGCATAGCATTTGCTGTTGCCATCTACATATGATGTAGAGTGCGGAGTGACAATATATTCAACTCCTTTCCCGTTTTCCATCCGAGTGAGGATCACCATTTTTAATGTTTCATTTACTTTGCAGAGGTCTTTCTGCCAGTAGCAATATGTTATCTGAGGACTATCTTTTTGATCTATGGCAAATATTTTGATTGCTTTCCAAAAATTAACACATGTGACAGCCATTAAAATTTGTGGTTGGCGTTAAAATGCCAGTTTCGTCTTTATTTCTAGCATGTACATACTCAGGTATGACTTTAGTGCTGGCTCCGCCTGTCACTGGAACAATTTCAAAGCATGAGGCAAAGATAAAGACATTGGTCAATAAACCTCATTTTAGGCTAATTGTTAACAATAACTTACATAGAAGAAAATACTGGAACAACATGTGACTATTCCATAAAAGTGCCCCATGGTGATGCCTCTGTCAACCTGCCCACTCCCAGAAACTTATGCCCAGAGCCAAACAGGGTTATGCCTATGTGGGGACTGATGAAACATAATGGAGACTCGACTCTAGCAAACATCTCGACTTAGCAAACATCTACCTGGCATCTGCATGTGACAGCTTTGTGCTAATGCTCCCACATATAGCATTTAATTCTCACCTCAACAAACCAGTCTTTTAACATGCACTAAGGTTTCAGGTGTTTAAATCAGAATAGAGCAAAATCCATAGACATTTAGGAACACTTTAAAAAATTTTTTTTTATTTTTATAGATGTAGGGGGTACAAATGCAGTTTTGTTATGTGGATATATTGTGTAGTGATGAAGTCTGAGCTTTTAGGGTAATCATCACATGAATAGCGTACATTATACCCATTAGGTAATTTCTTTTTCTTTTTTTTTTTTTCTGAGACTGAGTCTCACTCTATCACCCAGGCTGGAGTGCAGTGGTGCAATCTCGGCTCACTGCAACCTCTGCCTCCTGAGTTCAAGTGATTCTCCTGCCTCAGCCGCCCAAGTAGCTGGGATTACAGGCATCTGCCAACATGCCCAGCTAATTTTTGTATTTTTAGTAGAGATGGGGTTTCACCATGTTGGAGAGGCTGGTCTTGAACTCCCGACTTCAAGTGATCCGCCTGCCTTGGCCTCCCAAAGTGCTGGGATTACAGGTGTGAACCACCACGCCCATCCCCACTAGGTAATTTCTCATCCCTCACTCCGCCTCCCACCCTCTCACCTTTCCAAGTCCCCAGTGTCTATCATTCCACTCTTTCTGTCCAAATGCACACATTATTTAGCTCCCACTTATAAGTGACAACATTCAGTATTTGACTTTCTGCAGGAACACTTTAGAATTCCCACTCATCCCCTATCCCTCACTGCTTTAAATGACCAGATCTCTGTATAGAAACTTTCCTTCAGTCTGGTACAGTGATCGACCAACTTCTGTAATGGGCCAGATAGTAAATATTTCTGGCTTTGCAGACCATAAGGTCTTTGTCATAATGACCCAAATCTGTCTTTGAGAGGGCAGACATAGACATTTGTAAATGAATGAATGGGCTGTGTGCCAATACAAGTTTATTTACAAAAATCACTGGCAAGCTAGATTTGGTCAGCGGTCCTCTAACAAAGATATGCAAAATATACTACACATAGGACTTAAAGCATTTCCAAAGCCTTAGACTTTTAGCTATTACATCCCTTGCCCTCCCCAGGTCCCTCATGCATACCAAGGGGCTATAACACGTTTTATCCTCACAAAAGTCCTAGGAATAAAAATTATTATCTCCAAGTGACAGCTGAGGAAACAGGCTCAGGGAGCTTGTTTTTGACATGCCTGAGGTTTCACAGTGGGCAAGAAGGGGCCATGAGAGTCAAGGCAGTCTGTGACCACAATGCCTGTCTTCTCGCCTCTCTGCCAGGAAACTTGCCCTTTGTGAGACATCTGGCTGACATGAGTGTGTGTAAACATGGAAGAGGCTTTTTCTCCACCTAGTCTCCTGGGGTCTGAAGCTTTAACCTTGATCTCACATTAGCACTGTTCTCCAGACAGCCCTGCCAACCCCTTAATAAAAAGGCAAACATTGCCTTTGGAAGTAAAGGAAAGCTCAATGACCTCATTTAAAAGTAACATCTGTAACAATAAACAGGCTACAGAAACTATTAAAAGGGGAGCCAATGGGAGCAAGAATGTTTTAAAAATAAATCAGAACTCATATAGTGCATGATACATTTAGTCTCACCACAAAAGATCATTCTGGTTCATTATAATCATTCCAACACTATAGCACAGTTTCAGGCAAGGTTTCTCCAATTCTCCTGCTGAGGACTCCTTTGGCATCTGATTAAATTACATCCATTATTTGGTACTAGCAGAAGATGATGGATATGATGGTAATGAGGCCCCGTGGGCCCAGAAGTAATCTATCAATGTGCTGTGCATCCCAGGCGGCCCCTCTCTGACCTAGATGTGGAGGTGAATGAGAGCCTTATTATCCACACAGGCAACCCAGAGGGGGCTTCCCCCATTCCTATGAGTCAGTTAGGTGTCTAGCCACCGGATAACTTGGGCTGGTGTCTAGCCACAGGGTCCTTCACACTCACTCTTTCCTCAGAAATGTTGGAAGTGGTCCAGGAAAAAAGCTGGGCAGATGCCCAACCCATTAAGCGGTGATGCACAGCATTAGGATTTAAGTGATTAATGGGCAGGGTCTGTATCTGTCTGAATTGCTCTATACACCTACACCTACCTCAGACAGACACATGTGCAGGAGGCAATAAATGGTTTTTTCCTCAGTGAAGTGCATCCCCAAGCTAGAAGTTACTGCACCCTCTTAAATCCTCCTCCGGTGTTTTACCTCTTCCTACCTTCCACTCCGCATTATCGGTGTTATAGGTACGTTCCAGCTCCTCCATCCCTAGATTCTAAGATCCTCGAGGGCAAGATCTATACCTGATTCATCTCTGTATCCTAAAGCAGAGATTCCTAGTTCTTTTCACATTGAGGCACACATTCTCTGAGAGCTGCAGGATTGGTATCTGTAGCACACAGGCCACAGGCTGGGATGATCTGTATGTTTGTGTGTTAAGTTCTAAAATCTTATTTTCTTCTAATGCCATTTTTTTTTTTTGAGGCAGAATCTCACTCTGTTGCTCAGGCTGGAGTGCAGTGGCATGATCTTGGCTCACTGCAACCTCTGCCTCCCAGGTTCAAGCGATTCTCCCACCTCAGCCTTCAGAGTAGCTGGGATTATAGGTACCCGTCACCATGCCCAGCTCATTTTTTTATTAGTAGTAGAGACGGGGTTTCACCATGTTGGCCAGGCTGGTCTTGAACTCCTGACCTCAGGTGATCTGCCCACCTCGGCCTCCCAAAGTGTTGGGATTACAGGCATGAGCCACCAAACCCAACCTACTGCCAAATTTAATTTAAAAAATTAAATATTGTGACATCAATATAGAAGCAATGATAATTTTAAATATGTCTTAAAACCTAGACACTCCCTTCTCCGAACACCACTGCCTTGATTAAGAAAGTTTGCCAATGCAACCAGCATAGAAATAGATAAATGGAGAGATAAAAAGTCTGCTTGTGTGATTTCATGGGTCTATACATGTCCAAATCTACTAACTGCACATGTTAAACATGTGAAGTTTATTGGATGTCAATTATACTTCAATAAAACTGTTTTAATAAAACAGTGAAAATGTATTGAGCATCATACAAAACAGTTTCACATATGGTGTACTACTTTTCACAATTACCTTATGGGTTTGTTATTTTATTCCTATTTTATAGATGCAGAACTAACATGCTCAAGGTGGCAAGAGCACAGCATGATTTGATTGATTTAGGTGTGCTTGCCTTTAACACTACATATAGTACTTCCGTATTAAGAAATACATGCTAGATGAATTAGCAATCAACAGATAAAAAACTTACTGAGTATTCTTGAGAGGCAGAATAAATATATAAACATGCAGGGGTTTCTCAATCAAAATAACAGATTTATTAGTTTGTACATACAATGTAAATAAGTACAATTAAGCAGAGGTGTAACAAAACGAAATGATTTCATAATTGGAATAAAACCTAAGGTGAAACTGACCACTTAATCTTATAAAGAAAAACAAACTGCTGAACGGCTAAAGCTGGCAAACATTAGCTGGGTAGTTCAGGCTGGTTTACCTGGAAAATCGCACAGACACAAGCTACTGCTTAACAGGCAGAGCTGATAGTGCATGTATGACTCTGAGAAACCTTAAACACTAAATAGCATATGTTAGATAAGAGATGGGGTTTTTATATAACTGAGAAATGGTATAGTTGTGATCTCTTAATTATTTTGAGTTGTTCAACAGGTTAGAGACATGAGCCTTAGGTGGCTTTTATTTTTCACTGTCAACCTGAGCAAGTATAAGGAAGCCACTTGGAAAAGGCCTGGTGCTATTTTGCATTTTCTATTTAATTCGGATTGGTACTTATCAACTAGAAAAAAGACCCTGGTAAATCAGAATGGACTGGGAATGAAAAGCCACAGGTTCAAGTCCCATCTCTTAAGACTGGCAAGCTGTCTGACCTTAAATTTACTCAATATATAGCATCCAAAGGCTTCTTTCTAAAATGTAAATCAAATCCCCTGTTGCTTTGCTTAAAACCTTTCAAAGGTTCCCTACTGTACTACACTTAGCATTAAATTCAAACTCTACAAGGCCCTGCATGACCTGGCTCCTTCCTATTCTCCAACCTCACCTCTTCCCCCTTCAACTCAGTACACTGTACATCAAGAGCCAATTCTTTCAGTTCCACAAATGTGCCCTTGGTACAAGGTGATCCTTAGGCCGGGGAAAATTCTTTCTTCACTTTTCATAAAGCTCTTTTTTAATCCTTCAGGTTTTGCCTGAAATTCCACCTTCTAAGAGATCCTCCCCTGACCACTCTCGATTCTTATCCTCTCTTATAGTACCTGGTATTTTCCTTCATAGCAAAAACTGGTAACGTCCTGTGTATTCTTTATGTAGCTATGTGTTTAGTATCTCTTACATAGGAAGCCTTAAGCTCCATGGGGAAGGAAGTATACAGATTTACAAATAGAGAGGAAGAACAAACTTCCAGCTGGCTTTGATCAAGTTTATACAAAAAAAGGGGAAGAGGGGAGCATCCTCACTCCTACTGACTTAGAAGATATAAGTCAGCACTATGAGACTACTATCAATGGCCCAAGACCATATATATGGAATGTCCCAGTGGTACCAGGGAAAGGTTATTTAGACGAACATATGGAAAAAATTTAATGTCAGTCTTTTAAAAACACAGAGCCATCACAGGTAGCTCACTGTGACCACTGATGAGCAAGGGCAAGAGGAAGTGTTTTCTCATTTCAAGTATTCTCATTACAAGCATTTCAAGTATTTACCATTTTAAGTATTAATTATCAGAGCAACCATAAAATCTTTTACTCTAAAGCCCTTACAAGCAGGAATGATATCTAATAATTTAAGATTATTTGGATAGAGCCCAGCAGACTATCAGTGGGCCAGTGGAAGGTGAATTTGGTCCCACTAAAGACTGTGTAGTGGGAATCTTTTTAGTTGGCTGTAAGTTAGGGCCATTCCTCCTCCAACCAACTCTAAGGCACAAGATCTTAATAGTTTCTGTTCCATAAATGCATTGGTAGTCTGGAGAAGACAGAATCTTTGTAAAGCATACAAATAAAACATTTAAGATTACAAAAGAAACCTATTATAAAAATAGTTTCCAAAATATTACAAATGTAAGTTTATGATAATATATGTGCTTCCTATTAATGCATTGAGAAAGATTAATGCATTAAGAAAGAAAGAGTATGGTAGGTCTCATACCTTCCATGATTTGGAAATCATGATGAGTATACACGATATTTCAAGACATTCAACAACTGTTATGTGAGATGAAAATGGCCATGATTTCTTTGATGGCAAACATCGCTGGCATGAAAAGTACACTGTGGATTGTTACATTAATTTATGATTGAATTAGAGATCAATTAAAATAAAGATCTAGTTTATTTAACATCCAAATGGATGAATCTCTTAATTCTATCTGTGAACCCCTTAGGAGGGGATGAGGTCTGTCTCTAAGGGACAATGCACTCCTGTTGATATTAATATTCATATGAATTAGAAATCTGCTTACAAAGGATGTTTCACTGTAAGGATAGTCTCTGTGGTGATCACTATTAAGTCACATTTCTAAACAGCTACATGTAGGTAGGGAGGGAAGATATATAGATATTCACTGTTTCCAAAGTCAATATGGTCTCTATTTTATATTAACAAAAGTTCACAGCAGCTCAGAAAAATCCAAACTGCTTTAAAAAATTAAAACATTGAAGGCCTATGATGCCTGGATGAAAAAACTGATAAGATATGGTGCTGCCAGCCCACTTCTCCTTCTCTAAACCTTTACCAACGAAAAATTCCCAGGGTGCCAAGCAGATAATAAGTAAAGAGGGAGATGAGATTTAGATAAAAATAACAATAAGAGACCAGGTATCATTCTAGATATTTTGCTTATATATTTTTGAAATCTCTTAACAATTCATTTTATAAAGTCAATATAATTACTGTCATTTTACAAAGCAGAAAACTGAAGCTGAGACAAGTGAAGCAACTTATCTATGTCCATACAGTTATTATAACTAGAGGAGGCAAATTCTGATCAATGGATCTAGTAAGTCATCTTGCTTTTTCCCCCTCCTTCTTGCCTTATCAAATATTTATTGAGTCCTGACTACGTGTAAGGCACAGTGCGGGGATCACGCCCTCTGCTTTTGGGTCTAGAACACTTTCTACTAAACCAAGGGAAGATTCTTGGCATGCAGCAGTTAGAATACAGATGAGGGTACCTGAGAGAGAGGTGCTCTTAGATCCGACCTCCAGTGCCTACCACCATTCCAAGATGCTTTTGCCCAGAGCATCCCAGTATGTAAGGCTCTGCAATACAGGTTCTATTTGATCTCCATACTATAAAATACTGACAAAGTAATATCATAAAATGCAAGGAAACAGTTCTTCTGACAAGCTCTATTTCCTCCATCACCCTCCGTGTAAGGACTTCAACAAACTGACTACTTCTTAGAGTTACTATGCTAATTCTAAGCAAACCCCCACAATTTTGTAATAACCATTGGCTTATTTTTCTTCAGCCACAGCACACAAACTGTTGTCAGATACGCAGCTGAAAAAATATGCCTTCTCCATTTCAGGCATTCTCACTTCCCATTTGTTGAGTCTCAAGACCCTCCAGCATATAGTATACTAAACTCTCCATGAATAATTCTAACAGATGGGCCCCAGATTCTCTGACCCCCAGACGTTGTCCTTCCAATTTCACCATCTACATCTAACTGGTTCTTATGTCATCAGCCTCTGCAGTCAAAACAAAACCAACCATGTCCCCCAAACTCCTTGCCTGCCCTCTTTAATTCTTAAACCACCTCATCTATGGGAAAAAGATGGATTTTTGTTGGGTTGCGACTTCTGTTTTTCTCAACAATATTGTCCACCAGAGGTAGGGACACACAGAACATGTTTGTAATGGAAAGCTTATTGCCTCCCACCTCAAGGAAATCTGGGCTTCCTGATGACCAGCCCAACACCACTCAGAAAAACACACCAAGCTGTCCACCTCCCGCGCTTGCCAAATAGAAAATACAAGAGCTATCCTAAATACACAGAGACACAGACAAACGAAAACACACATACTTCCTCAACAGAACAAAACTGACTTAGCACCTCTCAGTAATGTTCTGTACAACAGCAAACATTTTGGAGGAGAAGAAAATAAATTAACATTCTGAGGATTCCAAACAAAATTTCTGGCATCATACTGTGTCCCACCTTCCCAATTCCCACTTCCCACTTACATCTTGAGTATTGTTTTGCCATATACTATTCTGCAGGGGCCATATATTTCAGGGATCACTGGATACTCTTTATGCTGCTCCAGGGGTGGTAAGCATATTGAACACTTGACCATGTACCAGGTAAGGCTTTTATCTACATTACGTCAGTTAATTACTACAACAACCCTATGAGAGATTTTAAGCAGGGGAGGCAAAAGAGCTTTATGGAAAATGGAAGGAAGTGTAGTTAGCCTGGAAGAAGGAGTACCTGGGACCACACTATTGTGGAAAGGGGCCATGGCATAAACAAAATGACTAGATGCAGGTTGAGTGGGATGGCAAGAAGTAGAGAATCGGTGTAGACCACTCTTCTTAGTTGTGTAGCTGAGACAAGGGGAAAGATTACTGATAACTTAGGATACAGGAATGCCTTTCATTGTTATTGCTATTTGTTTTGAGGTAAGTTTTATTATCCACTGTTATTGCTATTTTTTTTAATCTATGAGGTAGGTTTTATTTATTATTCAGGAAACCAAGGCATAGACAGGTTACTTTTTTTTTTTTTTGAGACTGAGTTTCACTCTTGTTGCCCAAGCTGGAGCGC
Source organism: Homo sapiens (assembly GCF_000001405.40). Classification (NCBI taxonomy): domain Eukaryota; kingdom Metazoa; phylum Chordata; class Mammalia; order Primates; family Hominidae; genus Homo; species Homo sapiens. Next base: position 64,618,042 of record NC_000001.11, on the reverse strand, counting down.
AATGGCATGATCTTGACTCACTGCAACCTCTGCCTCCTGCATTCAAGTGATTCTCTTGCCTCAGCCTCCAGAGTAGCTGGGATTACAGGCACATGCCACCACACCCGGCTAATTTTTTGTATTTTTAGTAGAAATGGGGTTTCACCATGTTAGCCAGGCTGGTCTTGAACTTCTGATCTCAGGAGATCCACCCACCTTGGTCTCCCAAAGTATTGGGATTACAGGCATGAGCCACTGCACCCAGCCATTATTACCACTTTCTAAGCTGAGGATATTCTGCTTCAGAAAGGAGGGAGTGACTTAAACCCTGTGACCTGAATGGGACATAGGCCATGTTGCTCAGTGATCTGCCACCACATTGATCATGCCAGTTAAGGCCCATTGCAAAAGTTAAACTAATGACAGTTGACCAAGCCTGTTCCTTGGGGCAATTCAATAATCCTTTCCTATCTCCTTGTTATTATTTTAGTCTAAGACTAAGGAGCAGGCATCCTCAAACCCCTGATTGTGTTCTGAGCTCATAGCTCTTTGTGTCCATTTTAGGTTGATTATATAATGCAAAAATAACCAGTCCATTCTGTCCTTGATTCATTTGAGACAGCCTGGTCATGGGTTCAGGGAATCTAGAATAAACTTCTGGGATAAACTTCTGGGCTCCACCACTCTCTCTTCTTCCTATCTAGTAGACCATTCCCAGAGGACCCAAAGGTCAAGGTGATCTTCAAGCATTTATAAAAGAAATAACAGAAAATTAACAAAAATTTAGTTCTCAAGCCTAGATGATCATCACAGTTTTTAGAACCCACAGATTACCAAGCCAACATTCTGATTCACTAGGTCTGCATGGCGGCTGAACAATAGTTTTGCTGGTTTTTTTTTTTGTTTTGTTTTGTTTTGTTTTTTTTTCACAAAGCATCCCAGGTGACTCTGATGTTCAGTTTGGTTTGGGGCAACTAACCTGAGACATTAATCTCCATTTTCCCATCCGTTTGCTTCACTTCTTTCTCTGTCTTTGGCATGTAAACATTTTTAAGTTTCTCTAACTTAAAAAAAAAAAGCAATAATGATGAAAAACATTCCTATATCCTAAGTTATCAGTAATCTTTCCCCTTGTCTCAGCTATGCAACTAAGAAGGGTGGTCTACACCGATTCTCTACTTCTTGCCATCCCACTCAACCTGCATCTAGCCATTTTGTTTATGCCATGGCCCCTTTCCACTGGCTTCCTTTCACTCTTAGATGACCTTAATGGTCTGGTCCCAGGTACTCCTTCTTCCAGGCTAACTACACTTCCTTCCATTTTCCATAAAGCTCTTTTGCCTCCCCTGCTTAAAATCTCTCAGTTGGTTGGCTTCAGGGTAAAAAACACATAAAACACAACCAGACAAACCCAAACAAAACACCTCAGACTGATATAAATGATCCATTAAAATCTGGCTTAGCATTACTCTTATTTTCTGATACTCAACTACCTCTTAAACAATGATCCATTCTGCATGCATATTTTATAGATTCCAAAATGCATGCTTGCCACAAGCACATCACCTGGGTAATTCTTACCATTTTTAAAAGACCCAGCTCAGAGCTCACAACCTGGGTCAAGTGCCCAGGGTTCACCTTTATCATCACAGCACTTAGCATGTTATCATAATTGAACTTGTCTGTTGATTTTTCTCCTCCTCTCCCCTCTCACCAATACACTTCATTATCTTGGTGTCTGGCACGGTAACCACCACATGCTTGTCACTTGAGAGAAGCTCTTCACGAGGGAGAGCCAGGAAGGAGTCAGAACTTATTCTGGGTCTCAAGATTAGGTAACTAGTAAAATGAAGCTGCTGTTAATTGACATACAGAACATGGGCCAAGGAGGAAGTCTGGGTGGGTAGAGAGACTATTTATAGGTATGGTTTTAGATACAAAGAGTTTCAAGTGTCAGTAGGCAGAATACAGTGATGGAAATACATCTCTTCATCTTAAGCAATCTATCTCAGGGAGGCCATTGACTAGGAGTCAGGACACATAATGTTAAGCCACGTCAATACCAACAATTGCTCATTGACTTTAGGTAGATCAGAACTTCTCATCTGTAAAATGAAGCTTATAACTGCCCTTGGTATCTATGGTAAGAATAAAATGAAAGTATAAAATGGTTTATGAGGTACTAAGAAGGAACGGACTGATTGTTTTGGATATATTGTGTGTCTGGGCTCATCATAGATGGTTTCATGTGACTCTGGAATACATTATTCATTTGTATAGTCTGTGTCACTCCACATCATGGGACATTTATGTGTGTTGATTTGCTGCTTAGCTAAGGAAACCACTGCCAACTAATAGCAAATCACAATCACAATCCTTTTTTCACCGAAGTCCTTCAAAAGTCTTGGTTATTCCATTATACAGAAGAGGAAACAAAAGCACAACAAAAATCCTAGTGACTTTCATTCTTTCTTTCAATAAGAATTTACTGTATACGTGCTATGGGCAAGGCACTGGATTGGGCACTTGGCATACAATAAATAAATAAAAATAAGCACAAGGTCAAGTAGGCATCTCACTTAAAAAATCAAAAATCTGCAGTAAGAATGTGCCATACAGTAAAGTCATAAAGAGTCATAGCTGAGCCAACACAACCCTGGAAGGCCACCCCAGCTTCCAAGCAGTCCTGGGGTTGGCAGAGGCCTTTGCTGACACTGTGTAGAAGCCCTGCTCTCTCCCATTCTCAATTCTCCTTTCCTCCCTTTCTTCATAGGCTGCCAAGGTCCATCTCAGAGTCTGCTTACTCAGAAAGCCAACCTGTTACAACAAACAAGAAATTCTTATCTAGAAGGGTGAGGGGAGGTGACAAGGAAGCTGGATCCTTAGGAATAAGCAATGTTTTACATGTCAGAGGCGGCTGGCAGCGTGCTGTAGGATGAAACAATAATGTGATCAAAAGTACGGAGCGGTGATGGAGGTGGGTGATTCTGAAGAAATGAAAGGGATTTCCTGAGGCTAGAGCCTGGAGGACTCAAGGAAAAGGAGCAGAAGATGGGGGTGCAGGGTCTCCAACGTGAGCTTAGATGTAAAGGGAGCCATCAGAGGCTTTTGAGAAATGCAGTTACAGAGGAGATTTTTTCAAAATACTCAGTGTGTGTTTAGGATGTGTGGAAAAAGAGGGAAGAGAAGCAGGGAAACCTTTTGGGGGGTCTCTACGTTAATTATTCTTCTAGAAGAGAAATGAGGATCTAAATTTACCACAGTAGCAGGGGAAAAAGAAAGGGGATTCAAGACTCATTTTTAGCTACAGAATCTGAGCCAAATTTCCTTTTCAATGAATAGAGGACAATGAGACCTATGTCACAAGTCAGTGTACCAATCAAGAGCCACTCATAGGCAGATGCCCAGCCGGTATCTAGACCAAACAAGAGCAACACACAGGCAGATGCACAGCCGGGTATCTAGGCCTAACAAGAAGAGCAATGCACAAGCAGGTACCCAGCGGGGTGTCTAGACCAAACAAGAGTAACCTATAGGCAAACGTCCAGCCAGGTGTCTAGACCAAACAAGAGCAACCTATAGGCAAATGTCCAACAAGATGTCTAGACCAAAGAAGAACAACCCATAGGCAGGTGTCCATCCAGGTGTCTAGACCACAAAAAGAAAAGCAACACACAGACAGGTGTCCAGCCAGGTGTTTAGATGAAATAAGAAGAACAATGCATAGGCAGATGCCCACTCAGCTGTCCAGACCAAATAAGAAGAGCAACACATAGGCAGATGTCCAGCCAGGTGTCTAGACCAGGCAAGAAAAGCAATCCATAGGCAGATGCCCAGCTGGTGTCTAGACTAAAGAAGAGCAATGCACAGGGAGATGCCCAGCCAGGGGTCTAGTACTTAGTGAATACTTGACAAATATTCACTTATTTATTCATACCCTTACGTGGACAATGACTCGTATTAGGTCAAAATGGATAAAACCTGGAGAAGTACTGAGCGGAAAATGGTGAGGAAAAATTCCCAGTGTAACCAGAATGAAGGTAATACTGAATATGACAGGGAACCCAGACTGGGGAGCAAATTCAAAGGAAAGTTTGTTTTGTGGTACCTACAGGAAAATCACAGTGAGATGTGTGTCCTGAAGGTGGTTATTCAATAAATAAACTCAGAAATAGACCAGGTCTGGAGCTAGAGATTGTGAATTCACCAGCATGTGGCAGGAGCTGGGAAGCTGGCTAAACTTAGAACATTCAGGAAGATAATGATTAGTGAGGTGAGGAGGATGGTAAGAGAGGATATGTGGGGACATCTACTCTGAGCTACAGAATAAAGAAAATGGAGCCCCAGAGGAAAAATAAGGATTAAACAGAGACATAAGAGGATAAATAGCAGAAAGTAATTTTATAGAAACCAAATGATAAGAGAGTTTCAAAAAAGAGGTTTACATGTCAACTACTACAAAATAGTCAAGCAAAACTGTAGAGGAGTCACTTGAAACCCTTCCAGGGAGCAATGAGAGCCTGACTTTTAAACACGTAGCCATACCTTGGAGATACTGCAGCTCAGTTCTCGACCCCTGGAATAAAGTGAGTAAGGCAATAAAGTGAGTCACACGAAGTTTTTGGTTTCCCAGTGCATATGAAAGTTATTTTTACACAACACTATAGTCTTTTTATATTTATATTTTTATTTTTTTATATTTTTATATTTTTACACTACACTACACTATAGCTGCTGTTTCATCAGCTAAATTCATGTAATATTCTAAGTCCTTTGTTGTTATTTCAACAATGTTCACAGCATCTTCACTAGGAGTACATTCCATCTCAAGAAACTATTTTCATTGCTCATCCATAACAAGCAACTCCTCATTTGTCTAAGTTTTATCATAAGATTATACCAATTGAGGCACATCTTCAGGCTCTACTTCTAATTCTAGTTTTCCTGGTATTTCTACCACATTTGCAGTGACTTCCTCCACTGAAATCTTGCCCCTCAAAGTCATCCATGAAGGTTAGAATCAACTTCTTCCAAACTCCTATTAATGTTGATATTTTGACCTCCTTCCATGAATCCCAAATGTTCTTAATGGCATCTAGAATGGTGAATCATTTCCAGAAGGTGTTAATTTACTTTGCCCTGATCCATCAGAGAAATCACTATCTATGAAAGCTACAGCCTTATGAAATGTATTTCTTAAATAATTAGACTTGAAAGTAAAAATCACTCCTTGATCCATTGGCTGCAGAGTGGACACTGTACTAGCAGGCATGAAAACAACATTAATCTCCTGGCACATCTCCATCAGAGCTCTTGGGTGACCAGGTGCACTGTCAATGGGTAGCAATATTTAGAAGGGAATCTTTTTTTTTGAGGAGTGGGGCTCCAGAGTGGGCTTAAAATATTCAGTAAAATATGCTGTAAACAAATGCTTCCAGGTTTTTTGAAAAGAGGGAGAGAATTAATTCTAAGCAGAAAGCCAAATGCATGTGACTCATTTTCCCTGAAAACATCTGAGTATTGTTCTATATACTACTACCTAGACTTATCCTTCAATGACCTAGGTATTTTCCTTACATACTCATTATAAAATTTAGCAACAACGACGATAAGTAACCACCAACATTAATTCAATAAACATTATATAAGCACCTATACAGTGAAGACTGAACAAGATGGTTGCTCATGAGGATATAAAGATAGATAAATGCTTCTGTGATCTCACAGTATGATAGAAAAGGTAAATGCATACAAAAATGGTATTGATATATGGAATCCTATAAAAAAACTTCTATTAGAGATACTTTGTATTAAGATAATATAATAACTTTCATTTGAATTATGCTTTTATGGTTCATGATAGGTTTTGGCTCTGTGTCCCCACCCAAACCTCATCTTGAATTGTAATCCTCACATGTTAGGGAGAAACCTGGTATGAGGCAATTGGATCATGGGGGCAGTTTCCCCCATGCTATTCTCATGATAGTGAGTTCTCACTAAATCTGATGCATTAAGTGTTTGGCAGTTCCCCCACCCCAATCCCCTCCTGTTGCCATGTAAGACATGCCTTGCTTGCCCTTTGCCTTCCAACATGATTACAAGTTTCCCGAGGCCTCCATAGCCATGTGGAACTGTGAGTCAATTAAGCCTCTTTTCTTCACAAACTCCTCAGTCTCATGTAGTATCTGTATAGCAGTATGAGGATGGATTAATACAGAAAATTGGCAATGAGGTAGCGAGGCACTGCTATAAAGATACCTGAGAATGTGGAAGTGACTTTGGGACTGGGTAACCAGCAGAGATTGGAGGGCTCTGAAGAAAACAGGAAGATGAGGGAAAGTCTGGAACTTCCTAGAGACTTGTTGAATGGCTTGGACCAAAATGCTGACAGTGATATGGACAATGAGGTCCAGGCTGAGGTGGTCTCACATGTGGATGAGGAACTTATTGGGAACTGGAGCAAAGGCCACTCTTGCTATGCTTTAGCAAAGAGACTTTTGCTTCTGCCCTGGCAATCTGTGAAACTTTCAACTTGAGAGAGATGATTTAGGGTATCTGGCAAGGAAGAAATTTCTAAGCAACAATGCATTCAAGAGTTGACCTTGCTGTTTCTAAAACTGTATGCATATATGCATGAACAAAGAGATTATCTAAAACTGGAATTTATATTTAAAAGGGAAGCAGAGCATAAATTTTGGAAAATGTGCAGCATGACCATGTGGTAGAAAAGAAAAACCCATTTCCTGGGGAGAAATTCAAGCCAGCTGCAGAAATTTGCCTAAGTAACAAGGAGCCGAATGTTAACAGCCAAGACAATGAGGAAAATGTCTCCAGGGCATGTCACAGACCTTCAGAGCAGCCCCTCCCATCACAGGCCCAGAGGCCTCAGAGGAATAAATGGTTTCTTTGGCCAGGCTCAGGGACCCACTAGTCTGTGCTGCCTCAGGATGTGGTGCTCTGTGTCCCAGCCACTCCAGCTCCAGCCATGGCTAAAAGGGGCCAAGGCACAGCTTGGGCCATGGCTTCAGAGGATGCAAGCCCCAAGTCTTGGCAGGTTCCATGTGGTGTTGGGCCTGTGGGTGTGCAGGCGACAAGAGCCGAGGTTTGGGAGCCTCTGCCTAGATTTCAGAGGATGTATGGAAACACCTGGATGTCCAGGCAGAAGTTTGCTGTAGGGGTGGGGCACTCATGGAGAACCTCTGCTAGGGCAGTGTGGAAGGGAGATGTGGGGTTGGAGCCCCCACACAGAGTACCCACTGGGGCACTGCCTAGCAAAGTTTTGAGAAGAGGACCACCATCCTCCAGACTCCAGAATGGTAGATTCACTGACAGCTTGCACTGTGCACCTGGAAAAGCTGCAAACACTCAAGGCTAGCCCGTGATAGGAGCCAGGAGGTGGGCTTACCCTGCAAAGCCACATGGGCGGAGCTGCCCCAGGCCGTGGGAGCTCATCTCTTGTATCAGCATACCCCTGGATGTGGGACATCTAGTCAAAGGAGATCATTTTGGAACTTTAAAGTTTAATGACTGCCCTCTTTGATTTTCGACTTGCATGGGGCCTGTAGCCCCTTTGTTTTGGCCAATTTCTCCCATTTGTAACAGGTCTATTTGCCCAATGCCTGTACCCCCATTGTATCTAGGAAGTAACTAACTTGCTTTTGATTTTACCAGCTCATAGATGGAAGGGACTTGCCTTGTCTCAGATGAGACTGTGGACTTGGACTTTTGAGTTAATCCTGGAATGAGTTAAGACTTTGGGGGACTCTTAGAAGGGCATGATTATGTTTTGAATTGTCAGGACATTAGTTTTGAGAGGGGCTGAGGCAGAATGATATGGTTTGGCTGTGTCCCCACCTAAATCTCATCTTGAACTGTAGTTTCCATAATCCCCATGTGTCATGGGAGGGACCCAGTGGGAGGTAACTGAATCATGGGGATGGTTACCTTCATGCTGTTCTTGTGAAAGTGAGTTCTCAGGAGATCTGATCGTTTTATAAGGGGCTTTTCCTCCCTGCTTCACTCTTCACTTCTCCTTGCTGCTGCCATGTGAAGAAGGACATGTTTGCTTCCCCTTCAGTCATGATTGTAAGTTTCCTGAGGCCTCCCCAGCCATGCTGAACTGTGAGTCAATTAAACCTCTTTCCTTTATAAATTACCTAGTCTCAGGTATGTCTTTATTATTAGCAGCAAGAGAGTGGACTAATACAATATGTCTACATGTGGGAGCTTAAATAAACAAATTAAGATTTGTTTTATTGATTTTACTGCATAAAATCTTATTTTATGAAAATAAAAAAGTTCAGGATACATTTGCTAAGTTAAAAAAAGGCTATATCCATTATGATATGTAGTATGAGTGTGAGTGTGTATATATATTTGTATTTATATACATATGTTGTGTATATATGTATATATGCCAGTATATGGCTAACAAAATCTTCTGAAGTCAGTGTAATAGGGTCGTTATGAGAAACTATAAGAAAGACCAAACTTTGATATAAGTTTGCAGTATAGGAATAGAGTTTGAAGGGGGAAGCAGGTAAAGAAAGAGACCTTGTTTGTTTAGTTCCTTAATTCTGTGTATGCATATACATAAGTATACACACATACATACGAATATAAACTGAATCATACAAGCTCAAGAATCTACATTTCTGAGTGACTAAACAGCTTTTAAATGTTATACAACTAATTACATATTTTATGACACTAATGCAATCATGAAGCTGAAGCAATTGGGCATAAAAAGGAATGAGAAATTTCTAGCTTGGTTGATTTTTCTTCTTTATTTCAGGTAGAACATGGCCTTTTCATTGAATTGTTACCAGGATAACTTTTCTAATGCATATTTAAAAGGTAATTTTCATGGTATTTTAAAGAGAAAAACCTATAGCACATAGTACATAGCTACTCATTATCATTCATAGAAGGAAATGATGAAGCCACAACAATCGACAGCCTCTAAGGCCCACCTGTACATCCTATCCTATAGCATTTACCTCTGTAACATGACTTATAAATGCCCCTTACACCCCGTGAATCCCGTTTCTCAATGAAGACTGCAATGTTACCAAGATCGAAGTTTGCGACTTCAAATGCTCTTTAAAATCAAACGCAATAAAGAAAGTCCAGACGCTTTTTCTTTCAGTGAGAAAGACTAACTCCTACTTCACTCTCACCTCAATTGCATAACTCAAGAGAGCAAGAGGCAACTTCTCTTGGACTCTTCAAATAAACTCTCTTTAGGGATCAGGCCATGCACAAGAAAATAGCTCAGCAGGAATTTAAAAGAAAAAAAAGAGAGAGAGTGAGAAAGTAGGGATAAAAGCAGGAAAGAACCTGAGCAAAACATTACCAGAACCATAATATAACACATGCACTGTCAAACTTTAGTTATTTGAATAGACTCAGGGACAAGGAGTCAATTTAGAAAGTAGGGATCTGGCTGGGGTGGTTTTAAGAAAAAGAATACACATATGTGTTGGATGAATGGACACACGACCCAGTTTTGGACAAATGAAGTTAAGAATGGTTTATAATTTATGTGAGTCTGCTTCCAGCTAGTCTGAGAGGCAATCTGAAACTGTGTTATCAATTAGGGGCCCATTGATGAATTATATACAGTATGAAAGAGCCTAAGGCTGGACATCTTGCAGATGTAAATATCAGACATGTGATAACCTACAAAGTACATTAATTCTGCTCTGAAAAGGGGCATGAGCTGTACAGGAGGAAAAGGGGGAACTCTGAGGTCACCTTTCACCATGTCCCACTCCTCTCATATTACAAATAACTGCTCAAGTATGTGGACTTTGGGATGTAGCCACTGCCTAGTAGAATGTTGCAAAACTTCAAATGCAAGCAAGTCAGTTCTTAAATACCTGAATATTGCCAAAATCTGCTTGTAAATCTAGCTGTGTCAACTGTGCTGAGAACAACTCTTGTTATGTAGTAGGTTATACTTGAGACATGCTCACAGAAATATAAAAATTCAAGATCTGGTCTTTATATTCTACTTACCTCTGCCCTCTCCACACTCTTCTTCCCCACCCTCTGAATTTTCAAACTATCTGAACTCTCTTCCTTCACAAATAAACACTGAAATACATCAGCATTTTGTTGGGATTATTTGTGCACTGAGTTTCAGTCTAAACCTCAGTAACAGGAGGTAATCTTAGTACCACTAACAGGTCTTTAATGCTTATTCCCTGGTCCTCACTCTCAGCTGATGATCTTGCTTTCTAATTCTCTGAAAAAACAGAATCACTAAGAAGGGAGTGTCCCCACGTTCATACCCATCATCATATGAGCATCTCCATCCATGTACTCTTCCTTTCCTCTTCTTGCTATGAATGAATGCTCTGTGCTTCTAGGTCCTCTACTGGTGATGCAGTATCTCTTACCTAATCAGGGAAAAAGCTCTAGCAATCTTCTCCCCTTGCTCTTGTGTCAATCTCTACTGGATTATTCCCTTTGGCACATAAACTGAGTATAATTTCTCTCAATTAAAAAATATCTTCTTGATCTCATCTGGCCTTCTAACTTTCCTTTGAGCAAATCTCAGGAGTTCAAGTCCTTATTTCCTCTGACTCCTCTCCTCCGTTCTCCAGAGCTTGAACCCTCTAGGATCAGCCTATGCTACTATTCTACCAAACAACCCTTGACAAGCTCACCCATAGCCTCTACATTGCTAAATCATATGGCTGGTTTTCTGGACCCTCAGCATACAGGGACTAGGTGACAAAGTTGATCTCTCCCTCTTTCTTGCAACACTTTCTTCACTTGGCTTCAGGGAGACAGTCCTCTTGGTCCTCTTTCTACCTGCCTGACTGCCCTTCTCAGCTCCCTTTCCAGCTTCCTCTTCATCTCAGTGTCACCTCAGCAGTAAAGCACCCCAAGACTCAGTCCCTGGAGCCCTTCTCTTTTCTACCCACAGTCACTTGCTACGTGATCTAAATGAGCCTCATGATTTTAGTACTACCTATACACAATGAATCTCTAGCCTTGGCTATTACCTAGACTGCAGACTTGTATATCCAACTGCTTATGAGGCCCTTCTACTTAGATATCCAATGAGCATCTCAAACGTAACTTTTAATAACCTGCCTCTCACACAAACCTGCTCTTCTCCCAGCATTCCCCATCACAATAAATGACAACTCTGTCCTTCTCCTTGTAAGGCCAAGGATCTTAGAAGTCTTTCTGGACTCCTCTCTTACTCTCACATACCTGGTCCCCTACCCTGCCCACCATCCAATGGACCAGCAAATCCTACTGATTCTACCTTCAAAACATATTCAGAATTCAACTGCTTCTCATCACCTCCACTGTCACTGCACTATTAATGCTATCATCATCTGCTGCCTGGATTTTGGAGTAACTTTCTAAGTTGTCTTCCCCTACTTCTACCTTTGCCTTGTCCAGTCTAGTCTTGGCTCAGTAAACCTTTTAACCGAAGTCAAATCATGTCACTTCTCTATGTAACTACCCCACCACATGATGGCTTTCTATCTCATTCAGAGCAAAAGCTAAAGTCCTTATAATGGCCAGTAAAATAAGGCTCTTGGTGACCTGGCCCCCGACTGCCTCTCTGGCCTAATCTACTCCCAGCTCTTTCACACCACCACAGTTACAGTGGCCTTCTTGCAGTTTCCAAGCACACCAAACAGTCACTCAATTCAAGGTCTTTGCCCCAGATATGCTGCCCCCAGATAAACCCATAGTCTACAATCCCACTTACTCAGATCTCACCCACAAACCCTTAGATGAAATAGTAAGTCATCTGCTCCTCCCCCCGACAGCCAACCGTATTCCCTATGTCTCATCTCTGCTTTACTTTTCCTTGATAGCATTCATCATCTTCTAACATATCACTTGTTTCTATGTCTCCTGGCCCCTGGCCTCCAGATTATAAGCTGTGTGCGTGTGTGTGCGTGTGTGTGTGTGTGTGTGTGTGTTTACAGCTCCTGACCTAGAACAAAAGAGTACTTACTATGCAGAAGGCATTTAATAAATATTTGTCAAATGACTTCTAGTTGTACTTATTCCTTCCACTTAACAGGTAGGAGACCATTCTTCCAGGTTATGGCCATATACTAGAGAGGCCACTCCCCAGATTCCCCTGTGTAAAGTCTCCCAATGGCCTTCTAACTCATTCAGAGCAAAAGCTAAAGTCCATAACCTGGAAGAATGGCCTGAGTATTCACTAAGAAAAAGTAACACTACTTCTAACAATGAAGCCAGATCTCAACAATGTGCTCATTATCAGAAACAATACAATAAATAGACAAAAAATAAGGCAATGAGGATGAGGCCCTGGCTGCCACAGCCTCCAGATCCTCCAAGATCTGACCGACCCACTGATGTGGGTGGTCTTGGCAGGGGACCATCATTCTGGACCCCAAGTGAGCACACCCCCCACTCAGTCTGCCCAAGCCTGCCCTTTCCTACTGTCCCAGTCACACAGCCAGGAGGTTAATGGAGCTTCTAGAATCTCAACACCAGACTTAGGATCTATTATCAGAAATACGTTAAGGAAGGTACTGTCTACTAGAAAGGAGTGAAAATGCATTTGAAAGTCGTCCATAATTCCTTCTTTTTTTATTTTTTCCCTGATTATAAAAACAGCAAATGCTTAATTTAAGATTAAGAAAATTAATAAGGAAGTAAAAATATCCCACTGTTTCATCATTAAAAAATAACTATTAACATTTATGTGTGATCCATCTAGATCTTATTTAAATACACACTAATATTTAAAACTTAATTATTGTATAAATGCACACTAATTCTTAAATCTTGGTAGGCACGGTGGCTCATGCTTGTAATCCCAGAACTTTAGGAGGCCGAGGCAGGTGGACCACCTGAGTTTAGGAGTTCGAGACCAGCCTGGCCAACATGGTGAAACCCTATCTCTACTAAAAATACAAAAATTAGCCGGTCGGTGGTGGGTGTCTGTAATCCCAGCTACTTGGGAGACTGAGGCAGGAGAATCGCTTGAACCCAAAAGGCAGAGGTTGCAGTGAGCCAAGACTGCATCACTGCACTCCAGCCTGGGTGACAGAGCAAGACTCTGTCTTTAAAAAAAAAAAACAAAGAAAAAAAAGAAAAAAAGCCTAGGCGAGGTGGCTCATGCCTGTAATCCCAGTACTTTGGAAGGCCGAGGCGGGTAGACCACAAGGTTAGGAGTTCGAGACCAGCCTGTCCAACATGGTGAAACCCCATCTCCACAAAAAATACAAAAATTAGCTGGGTGTGGTGGTGGGCACCTATAATCCCAGCTACTTGGGAGGCTGAGGCAGGAGAATTGCTTGAACCCGGGAGGCAGGGGTTGCAGTGAGCCATGATCACGCCACTGCACTCCAGCCTGGGCAACATAGCAAGACTCTATCTCAAAGAAAAAAAGAAACAACCCATGAGTTACCATGACTTGTAAAAAATTTAACTACATACAATGTTGGATTACAGTATGTATTTTTGGAACGCTTACATCTGATCCTATTCAGATTGCTATTTCAACCTCAAGTCTTCAGAACAAGCAACATCTCTCATGTACCTGGGAATGTTTTAGGGAAAAAACTGAATTTGGGAACCTGGAGACTCGATTTCCAGCTTTGCACCCTGTGCCAGTTGTGGAATCCTCCCCGTTAATTTACCTGCCCATTCCATGCCCTTGTCTACCCTCTTTTGTTATTTTTGTAATGAAAACCATTCTCATTTAGCTTCCTTTCTAGTAGTAAACCTCACTTGCTACAGAGGGTTCCAGATGATCTGACCAATGAAAAATGATATGCCTAGCAGATTTGCAGATTTAGGTTGGATCATTTATCTAGCAGCTATAGTTTTATTATGCCTAAGAAACATGCAACTTACAGCTTATTCTTTTCAGACCTAATAGATTACATGATTTGTGTATACAATTCCCAAAGATTACAATTTCTGCCCCAAACTGAGACCTACTGGGGCCCTAAAAGTAAATATTCTGGTCCTCTGCCTTTCTCTTCGGCTTTATGTGTCTACATGAGACCTGGAATTTGGGAAGTATGGTTCTTCATGTTTAAGGATGCTTTGTCTTTCCAGCAATAAGGAAAGTCTTTGGGGGGGTTCCCGTGCTTTAGATTTTTTTCTTGGTAAAATCTGAGGATTGGAGATGGTATTATTTCTTAAGTTCCTTCCAGCTCTTAAACGGTGAACCCTCTAGGTTCTGAGATGTATCAATCAACAAGAGTACATAAGACAAAAAGAAAGAGAAATATGGAGTGGAACTCTAGGGCAAAAAAGTGGAGATATCAGGTCACTTTGGAGCTAACCAGTAGTTATATAAATATGAGTACCCAGTAGTTATTAACACCACCTTCAGCTGAGTTCCAATGAGAACAGGAAGAAAGTTCAACCTTGGTATATGGTATTATGGCCCTAAGTTTATTAATAGAAAAGCTCTCACAGCATTTTTCCAGAAAAATCCCAAAACAGATTAAAAATTGTAACTAGGGAATGCAAAGAAAATCCAATACCTCCTATTGCAAAGATAACTGGGTCTCTAAAATAACCTTTAAAATAACAGATGTAAAATTCATGATAAATGAGTTAATAGATTGAAGAGCATAGAAAGGTATTTGGCATGTACCATATATAGCTATCTAGTAGAAGCTTAAGATATTGGCCGGGCGTGGTGGCTCACGCCTGTAATCTCAGCACTTTGGGAGGCCAAGGCCAGCAGATCATGAGGTCAGGAGATTGAGACCATCCTGGCTAACACAGTGAAAACCCGTCTCTACTAAAAATACAAAAAATTAACCGGGTGTGGTGGTGGGCGCCTGTAGTCCCAGCTACTCGGGAGGCTGAGGCAGGAGAATGGTGTGAACCCGGGAGGCGGAGCTTGCAGTGAGCCGAGATCGCGGCACTGCACTCCAGCCTGGGCAACAGAGTGAGACTGTTTCAAAAAAAAAAAAAAAAAAAAAAAAAGATGTAAGCTTGATTTTTTCTTCTTCCTCTCCCTCTCTTGAGGGTTAACTTTCCAGCAAGAAATATCCAATCTTAAGTATATAATACTTCTCTTCAAAAATTAAAAAAAAAAATTGAAGCAATATGTTTATTCAACTTGAATGCAGTAGAATACAGTTCATCTTTATAAAGCCAATGGATTACTGACCTGAATTTAAGTCTCGTCCTGGATTGAAGGCCCGGCTATTAACAGTAGTAGAAAGTCGATCACAACTAATTGTTCTAGACACATTGGTATTAAAGTTCCCATCGAATCTGAAACAATAGGAGAGAATTAGCAATACTTATTCAGGCCAGAAAAACCAACCAACAAAAATAATGGTTTACATTGTGTACAAGATAGGTCAGCCCGTAAACAGTACAACTATGATTTAGATTTAAATATTCAAAAAAATAATTTCGGAACTCTGTGTGTGGTGGGGGGAACACCTGCCTCTAGAAGGTTTTAGAAATCAAATTCAATTCAAAGATAAAAACAACCATTCTTCAAATCGACTTTTCTCCAATGAACTTAAGTCAGTACTACTGATAAAATCATACAGAAAATAGATGACAAAATTCAAAATAGAGCTACAAAAAAAAAAAAAAAATCAGATGGGAGCTCTGATGTTACATGTAAAACAGAATTCTTTAAATTATCCTATTTGAAAACCAATGACCAAGTACAAAAATAGACAGTAGTGAAGGTTGAATGGGTGTGGAGTAGGAATGGTCTAGATGTGAAACCCTGCTCTGTCACTATTAGAAAGATTATTCAATTTTTCTGGGTCTCAGTTTTCTTATCTGAAAAAGATAATAAAACTTATTTTCCAAAGCCATAAAAAAAATTAAAAATAATGTATGGAAGTTCCTCTTATAGTACATGACACAGCTTGTACCTGCTAGGCTGTCATGCAAATAAGGCAAAAGTCTTTTGATTTCCAGTGGTAGTGTAATGCTAGTACTAGAGCTAGAACAATGCTATTATTCTAGCTAGTAGCTTATCAATAAATATTAGTGGAATCAATGATCCATTGCTATAGCAACCAACAATCTGAAAGAATATAATAGGAAAACATACCAGCTTATTTACATATAGTCATAAAGAGTATTTTTAAGTGAATTTCATCCAGGAGTAACAAAAGTGAAGGATCTTGAACTTCTAAGTAAACTATTTAGGATTTCAGACCCTGAGAGGACTCTCAAAGTTTCTAAGAGATCCTCACATAAATGCAACTTGAAATAAGGTTTTAAAAAAATTTGTGTTAAAATGTAAACTTCAGGAACCACTAATGCAACTCCATGAACCCAAATAGAGAAGCTATAAAGCTAGGAGAAATATTCCTAAAAAGCAATATCCATTTGACCACTGGCATGAACTTTAATTATCTGTTGATCACATCTCCTAACACATAAGAACACATAAGAACACGTGGAACTGATTGTACAAGCAAGGGGACTAGGTTTTCACATGGTATGTTGGTTTCAACAGCAAAAGCTAAAAACAGTCTTGCTTTATTTCATACCATCTCAAAGAAGGAGATAGCTGGATTTTACTGTTAGTCCAGGCTCTAACCTAGTGCAGAGTTACACCGACAATGTCAACTGTGCCTCAAAGGACACAGTTGCTTCACCAACGTGGCTGCCCTTCCTTGGACCTGCTCCAGTTTGTCTAGACGAGAAGACTGCTGCCTCAGAAGCCACAGATGGAGGGAAAATAAGAGATTAATACAGCAGCTGCTGCTGTGTCCATGCTGGCAAGGCACTATCACTATAATCTCACTTCTCTCTATGCTATAGCTAGCCACACTAAGTCTATTCCCTCCCTGATGTTTTTATAAAAGGATAGATAATAGTTTAGGCTTTGTGGGCCATAAAGACTGTTGCAACTGCTCTGCCATTGTAGTGTGAAAGCAGCTACTGAAAATACATAAAAAATTGAGTATGGCTGTGTTCCAATAAAACTTAATTTTCAAAAACAGGTGGTATTCCAGACCTGTTTCACCACTGCTGGTCTAGACCAGGGCAATCCAAGAGAAGTCTCTGGGATGATGAAAATGTATTATATTTGCACTGTCCAACATGTTAGACACATGTGGCTACTGAGCATTTGAAATGTGGCTAGCATAACAGAGACACTAAATTTTCTATTTTATTTCGTCTTAGTTTGTAAATAGTCACTGAAGAGTGGCTACCATATTGGAAATGGAAGGCTAGAAGGTTCTCCTGATTACTTGTCTAGTAATCCTTCAGGTCTCTCTTCACGTTTCCCTTCTTCAGAAAGGCCTATCCTGATTGTGATGACTTCCCAAGTCTATGTCAACTGCCTCCATATTCTGTCAAGGCATGTGCCATAATTTTAAAATTATTGTTCTATTCATGTTTTTTATAGATCAGATTCCATAAATAGACAAGAGTGCCATGAAGGGAAGCACCATGTCTTGTTGATTTTGTTCACCACTGCATACATTGCTTAGCATTGTTCTGGTCATAAGTAGGTGCTCATATTACCTGGTCTTTTATGACCATCCACACCATCCAGGGTACCTACTCCTGTTCTGGGCTCCCCTGAAGGCTCCAAGAAATCTTGGCAAGTGAGGACCATGACTCAGTCGAATGGTTCCAATACTAAAAGTCTAGCTACTTCAGAACCACCTGGGATGTATGTTAGAATGCAGATTCCTGGGATCCACCGTTAAGAGAGTCTGATTTAGTGAGTCTGGGGTGAGGCCAAGGAATCTGATTTGCACAGGCTCTGGAGGAATGAGAAGTACCCTCCAATCCTGCTATGCAGATTCTTTTAGAAATAAAGCAAAGTAATGGCTTTCTGCATGAGCACTGGTACTTCCCTGTAGGTCTCAAAGAGACCGAAGACACCGGATCTTCTGATTGGATTTAGATGAAGAGAATAGGGTAGTTCTGAGGTACATCTGCAGCTGACATCTGGACTTTGCTCTCCAAGTTATGAACCCTTTCTCCTACCCATTTCACAGTTGAGAAAAATGACACCAAAGATCACATAGCAAGTCAGGGACCTAAGAGAGACTTAAACCCATCACTCAACTCCTTTCCAGAGACAAACCACATACGATTCTGCATAAGTGATAAATAAAGAAGAACTTGCAACTCAAGAGGGTTACTGACAAATCTTCCCAGGAAATGTATAAACCTGGAGAGAGCCTTTGTCTATCTGGATGAAGTCTCCACAGAGAGCACGTCGCTTTCAGCATCACCCCTTGAGAGAGCTGAAGTCCAATGCTGAGGATACATAGATTTTTCTGGACCTTTGTGAAATGCAGGCTGGCTCGTGGGACCAGGGACATCAGGGAACTATTATTATAGGTTGTTTTACTTCCTTTGCTGAAAAGGTAATCTCTAACAGCATTAAAGAAAAACATTTTTATAACAATAAAAATGACAGTGACTCATTAACAAAAGTAGGTGCTTGATAAACATTTCTCCATCATAAAGTAGTTTCACCATGTGGTACTTGTCAACAATAATCTATCCGACCTTCTCTTCCCACCAACTCCTATCCTACACTTCTAACGAAACTGGCCCCTCCCTATGTGCTCTTCTGTTCGACCCCAATTGTGATGCTCTCCAGTGTCCACTCCACCCTTTCTTCAAAGCCCAGCTCAACTCTTCTTCCTCTTTCAAATTTCTCCCTAGTACTGGCCCATGATGAGTCCTTCCTCCTCCAAGCTGACTAATGCCATTCTGCTTCTTAACTATATGCCTATGTCTTCTTCCTATTTTTCTTATTTTGTAATCAAACAACATAATATCACAGTCCTATCTATTAGATATAGATTTTTTTTAAGATTCTGCTTATACCAACAAAACACTAATCAATTGTCTTCGTCCATTTGGACTATAAACTAGCTGGTTCATGAACAACAGAAATTCATTTCTCACAAGTCTGGAGGCTGGGAAGTCCATGATTAAGGTACTGGCAGATTTAGTGTCTGGTGAGGGGCCACTTTCTGGTTCATAGATGTGGCCTTTTCACTGTGACCTCAGTGACAGGGGTAAGGCAGCTCTCTGAGACCTCTTTTGTAAGGGCACTAATGCCATTCATGGGGGCTCTGCCTTCATGATCTAATTATTTCCCAAAGGCAATGATATTAATATATATTAATATTAATATATAATAATATTAATGATATTAATATATCTAATCATATTCCTCCTAATATGATCACATTGGTGATTAGTTTCCAACACATAAATTTGGGACAGAGAAGGCAAACATTCAGACCATTGCATCAATAAAATTTAAAAATAAGATTTATTATAAATAATGAACAAATTATCTTATTCATTTTGCCTTCCCCCTATGCCAAATACATGTGTGTTACAGTTACATGGGGTTGAAATTCCAAAAGATGATTATCATGGAACCCCTATTTGACTAAACCCTATCCATGTAGCTCTTGAATTCTCAATTCTCTCTAAAACCTTTTATGCACTTGAGAAATTTTAGCTTCCCCCAATGGGACTGTAGGTTACTGGAGGATTTATATTTCTCTCTCACGTCTAGCACAGTTGCTGGAAGGTGGGGCATTCCATAAATTCTTACTGGTTGACTGAGTAACGAGAAAGGGCAGAGAGTTAAGTCACCAGAAAGCTCTGGGCATTTTATTTCATAATATTCATTGAACATCTACTGTATTTCATAAGAGTCTCAACTGCCGTGAGTTCTCTCACATGTGCTGAATTTCAGCCGTGCAGCATTCACTCGCCAGTCAAGTTAGCATGAAAAGCCTAGAAATCAACCTCACTCTGCTGCTTTTCTCACTACCACTGATGTGCCGGTCAGATAAAGAAGGAGGTGTCAATAGGGGCTTAAGATATACAGGGCTGGTGGACTGGCTAGGCTAGCAGGAGTAACTACTGGAAGCAAAAGTGAAGAGTGCTTATCTTTCTACCCTTCACTAACACTCCAATGCCTGCCGCTTTTTCTGGACTCCGGACTCCACACGCAGGGATAAAACATGCTCAGCCATCCTTGTTACTTTAGCTACCTCTGGTCCCCAGAGGAAGAGTCACCTTGCCAAAGACAGGAATGCATTTTATGCCCATATGCCTTTGAGAAAAGTGACTTATAAAAAGAAACATGCTATTCGCCCTGATTTGGAGAATGTGAGAAATATAAAGCTCATACTTAGGACACTTTATAAAAACATGTCACTTATTCTTAGGGGTTACCTAAAAGATTTTTCATTAAGAAGTACATTAGCTGCCAGTCACATTTATATAATTCCGGGTTTATGGAAAGGCCAAGAAGTGGTAAAATCATAGATTTTCATACAAAATGAATGGGCAATTCAACTTAAGAGGTTTGGTTTGCTTCATTCCTCATGCCTGTGCTTTTAAAAAGTTAGTAATGACAATAGAAAACTCTGATCTAAATCTCCTTTAGACCCTGACTCTATAACTGCATTCTATGCTCATTTTCATAAGATAAAACCAGTGTCTGAAATTCAGTTTCAAGAGAAATAACTCCATCTCTCCAACCCCTGTAAGTTAAAAAAAAAAAAAAAAAAAAAAAAAACAACAAAAAAAAAACTTCCTTCTGGATTTACTTTCATGAACAACTGATCGAAACTGCATCCCGAGGGAGAAAACAGAACTGTGACTCCCACTTTGATCTCTTCCCCATGGAGAAATTCACTCCCTGCCTGGCTTGCAAGATGTTCACTTGATTGACGTTTGCTCTGATGTGCAAACTGCTTTGAACTTCAGACATTTAATTCCCATCAGGCTGCAGTCATTTTTATTCTCCTTCAACAGGATTTACAAGCAGGAGATCAGCAAATGTAGAAGATAAAATAAATTTGCAGAAGCTTTGAATCTTACATCAAAACAGTGTTCAAGTGAGTTCCAATTGGATTTCATTCAGCCTCGATTCACAGTGTAAATCAACTTTTCAGTGGAGTCCCAGTTTAGAAAGAAAGAGATATAAAGACCCCGCCTCCCCTCCAGCACCCCCCCACTCACACACCAGTTGGGGTTTACTTCCTTTCTTGGTCTTTGTTTAAATTTCCTAGGGAAGGTGATTTGCCAGGCAAATCACTCAGAAACCTGGGTTTTTCTCAATATTTCCAGAGAAGTCTGCCTCATTTATCACATAGCATATAAAAATCACACCCACAGTGTCAGTTCCAAGGGCAGTGATGAAATGTGGAATTGTTCATGGATGAATTTTTAAGGTAATGATTAAAAAGCAAATCCCTGTGGAAACTGATCATCAAGTCCACACACAAAGCCAATGTAATGATAGCTAATAGGGTAGGGAATATTCTTTACTTGTTTGCTTGTTTTTAATCACTGCTAAAATGCTGAGATAAGTGCAAAAGGTTAAAAAAAATCATTTCTTCTGAAAGCAAAACTTGGTATCAGATCAGAAGTGGGTATGGAAGAAATGCTGAGAGGCTTCTGATGGGAGGTCACAACACAAGCAGGCCTTTGCTGCCAGTGCCACTGAATTACCAAGCTTTGTTTTTAGAACAGCACACGTTTTTCTGGAAAACAAAGGCGGCAAAAACCCTTCACCAGTAGCTGCAGGAGCTGCTAAAGGAAGGTTCTGGACACTGAGAAACACTCAGGCCTACTAAGCCCCTGGGCCCTAGTAACAGCCTAACAGGGTCTGGTTTACTGTGATATGACACGGAGACATATCTCTTCACCTCTATTCAACCAGGTTCCCGCTCATTCTTTCTGGGAAGCATCTGCTCTCCAAATATTTGAGCAACACCAGTTGAAAAGAATTAAACAAGAACCTCCTTATCGTCCACTTAACCACCCATGAGAATAAAGTTAAACAAAGAAAGAGCTAAGATAAAAATCAAACATCTGCACTGGCAAATATTTAAACTCTGTTTGAATGGTAGAGGAAAGGGGCAAGAGCAGGATCACTTCAAAAAGGAACTATCACATTTATAAAGTAAATAATACTCAACCCCCCCCTCGACTGAGTTTACTTATTCAAACACCTAAATAGATGGGCCAACCAAAAAGCTGTCAAATAACATGTAATCACATTCCGAGAAATAGTTTTTCCTTCCATCTCTGCAGAGATTGGAGTGATAAGTCACATTCTTTCTTTCTTATCAGTAATAAGGATTAAACCTTCAGGGTTCAGCAACTCAGCCAGATTGGAAACAAGGGCTGGTTTCAAATGCCCTTGGAAGGTAAGGCTTTCAGAGCAATAAAGTGTCTCCCTCTCTATTAAGTCTAAGTATCACACAGACCAACCATATTTCTTTTTCGCCATTTCCCTACCACAACAGATTATGGAGAGAAGGCCCTGCTGTGACCTTGTGTCTCACTTCTATATTCAAACAGATGGTATTATCATTCAATTCACTTTCTCATAAAAGCTTGGAAAATTGCACAGGTGACATCTAGGGTGAATTGGAAGTGGGCGCACAACCACATTAAATATTTATCCTTATCTTCCTCATCACCAGGTTGGACTGGGGCACATGAAGAAAGACGGGTATCTGGAAAAATCAAAGAGAGAACAGGCTGGGGAGAGCAGCTTGGTGGGGTCTGCAGGCTGCCTCTGTGATGTTCCATAGCACCCCTGTCCATCCTGCCACTTGACCTCTAATAGGGACTTGACACACTTTACAGTTATTTATTTATATACCCTTCTCCCTTGCTTGGTAGACACAAAGGGAGAGGTCTTTTCTTATGTTTCTTTATACCCAGGGCCTAGCTCAGAGTCTCCTTGTGAAGAGCAAAAGTTTAGTCAATGTCTGCTGGATAAATACACACAGAAAGCCCAAGAGGTTGAGATTTCCCAGGACTAGAGACCGGAGACTGTAAATTGGGTGTGTTCTCTCCCCTCACACATACTGAGTATTCAGTACACAGCAGACAACTGTGAGTGGTATGACACAGACACAAAAGAGAGGCACTAACAACTAAGAGTTAGCAGATGACCTTGGAGATTAACTGGTTCCATCTACCAGCACACATGCACCGAGGAGGGAAGAGTCCTGTCCATACATCTCCCTGTTCTGTTAAAGAAACAGAAAAATATAAGATGCAGAATACTTATGGCTGATTCTACAAAAGGAATACTATCCCAATGTTAACAAGTTAATAAAGCTAGAGTGTAAAGACAGATATCTACATCATCGTACCAGATAAGTCAAGTCCCCAGAAAGAGATTATAGATAGATTTTTAAATCTGGGCCTTCTTTGAAATTGCTTTGGTATTTTTCACAATAAAAATGCACAAAAAGGTTGCTTTTCAGCTAAGACAGGTTCTATTTCTTAAAGCTGGTATAGTCTGCTAGGCAGTTTTCTACAGAGATCAGATTTTAAAAAGAAAGAAAAATCACAAAACCATCTCTATTTAAAATCCATAAAAGGCAGCTGGTGAAATTCAATAGCGTAAGCAGTGAGGCAGGTTTCCCATTCTTCCTTCAATGAAGGTCACACGAAAAACGCAGGAAGCTAGATTCTCAGCAGATCCAAATGCAGGCGCTTTCTGCTATAAGGGTACTCATCAAGACTCCTAAAGATAAAGACATCTACCTAATGCACACACACAAGCACACACAGGGAAATGGCACAAATTGCTGCAGGTCAGCCAATTTAGCAACTTTGGAGGGTCATCTAGTTACCTCAAGTAGAATTCTAAGAAGGAACACATAGTTTAGCATTTCACTTGGCAGATGAGCCATTCTAATTTTACTACTGGTCAGAGTACCATTAAAAGAAAACAGCATTTGGAATCAGAAAACCTAAATTCCAAACCTGGCTCTCCAGTAAGTCCTGCCATAACCTTTCTTTCTTTTTTTTTTTTTTTTAGACAAAGTTTTGCTCTTGCTGCCCAGGCTGGAGTGCAATGGCACGATCTCAGCTCACTGCAACCTCTGCCTCCCGAGTTCAAGCGATTCTCTTACTTCAGCCTCCCAACTAGCTGGGATTACAGGCGCCCACCATCATGCGCAGCTAATTTTTGTATTTTTTGTAGAGATGGGGTTTCACCATGTTGGACAGGCTGGTCTCGAACTCCTAACCTCAGATGATCCCCACGCCTCGGCCTCCCAAAGTGCTGGGATTACCCTGCCATAAACTTTCTAAGCCTATTTCCTAATCTGTAAAAGTGGGGATGAGGGAGGTGGGCAGAGACAGTTTCTACCCCACCAGGTTGTTCAGAGAAACATATGAAGAATGTAATGTAAGTAACACATTGTTTAAAGAGGAACAGGCCTAAAAAAGTATTTCACTGAAGTATAAACATATGTAACTAAGTTTTCATAAATACAAAGCTTTCTGTAATATCTTTGTTAAATTTGAGCTCAACTCCAGTCCTCTGGTACCAATATCCAGAAAGGCTATCAGTAACATTTAGTCGGCCTGCAGGTAATAATAATTTTTAAAGGCATTGGAAATGGAAGTGTGAGATAAGGCAGTGAAAATGACTTGAAAGACTAAGACTTGCCATACAACACTTCATTGGGCATAAACACAAAACATATCTTCATGGAGAAATAATATGACTTGCAAAAAATTTAAACTCAGTTGTTCAGGACCAAGCTTGTCACATTATTTGACCTTGTGACACAGAGATAACAAAGGAACAAAAGTTATAAGCACCTAAGTCACATTATTTTATTTCTCATAAAAACAGTAATAATAAGAAATAAGATGTATATAAGGTTAAACATTTTATATCATATTTTCCATGTGCACTACCTTAAAATTGGATTAGAAAAAAATAGGAGTTGCCAACTTATGGGTCAGCTGTATGTCTTGAAACATCATTCTACACAAAACTGTACATTAATACAACATTAAAAGTAGACATCTCAAATTTCACCTTCACCTGAACTGCCATGCACATGACATAGTTACAGGCGTAAAAATATTAGTGGGATGATAATAAAATGGTGCTGCAGGTTAATCTCAGCTGCTTAGCAAACATCTCCCAAGAATGATCTACGTGCAACTCCAAATCAGCATGTTTATACTGGATCCATCATTTTTCTCCTAAAAGTTTTCTTTTGCTCCTCTTTTCACCCTTTAGTTAATAGATTCCCATCTCCTAAAATGCTCAATTTAAAATTTGGAGCTGTGATTTCTAATCTTCCTCCTTACCAAACTCTCCAAGAAAACCTAGTTGCCAGATTCCACATACTGTACATCCCTATTTTGACACTCTATATAATACACCAGCCCCTGGACGTCTTTGCTTTTGTACCTTTGTACCTTAAGGTGTCATTACTTTGTCTGTGATTATCTAACTGGCCCAACTTGACAAGCAACTTGCCCTTCTACCGTAATTTATTCTTCATTTGCCAACTAATTAATTTGCCCAAGACCTGACCACAGCCGTTCCTTGCTTTAAAACTACTGCTTACCGAGAGAAATTTGTGTAGCTGACCTAGTGTTTCAAGCCCACCATGGTGTTTCTCTTTTCCATTGTGCCAGCTGGGTCTTCCACCTCCCCATCCTCAATTGCTATATGGACACTTGCTGTTTTCTGGTCTGAAGCATTTTTCCCCTAGATCTATCTGTGGAAGTTCCACTCTTCAAGGCCTTGACTACCACTTTTTCACCAAGCTTGAGCATTACGAGGCCTTTGTTCATAATCTCTTCCTCCTCTAAAAGTCTTTGGATTTCTTTTATGACATTTGCCACAGACTGCCTTAGCTTACTCTACATGTGTCCTATGAGCTCTTGGAGGTACATACTGTGTTATTCATCTTTGTCCATCAGACAGTACCTAGTACAATGTCTTATACATTAACTGCCTTGAAGATGGTACAGACAAGTTGAGTCGAAAATGATATACATGTATGTCAGCATTTGGGAATGTATATTTTTTAAATTCATCATGCATATAACAAAACTGTTAAGCATAACTGATAACTGAGATAACTAAATCAATATCAAACATGTTTCACATCAGAGCTTGTAATAACACTGTTCAGATTAAAACAATGACTATCATGAATAGGCAAAAAAGTATTTAATAATATTGTTCAATTTCTGCCCAGAAGGTAAGTAGCTTGTTAATTCTGACAGCATCATAGTGACTGAGACTCAAACACTAAAAACAAAGTCAGTTTTGCTACCACAAACTAACTCCTTTGGCAAATATTTATCGAGGACCTATTTAAGCAAGGTATTGAATACAGTTGTATCTGACAGGGTCCCTGAACTAAAGTAACTAAGAAAGATGAGAGAGTACATAAAGAACAAATATGCCTTAGCACCTGGTACCATCACTCTCAGTTACCCAAAATCAACTTTGGCCACCTATGATTCCTCCCTCTTCCAAAACTCAAGAAGTAGGAGCCAACATCCAAGTCCAGGCCTCCTCTTGCTCTTTGCTTACATAAATGAAATCAGGTTCTAGTTACTTCTAGTTGTTACATGATTAAGAAGTGGAATTCCCTTAAAGTTCAGGTCTCATCATTTTACTCCCTTTCTCAAGAACTCATAAATTAATTCCCTCATTCAAGCAACCAATATTTATTGAGTGTCTACTATGTATTAGACCATAGATACAGAAGCAAGAGAAAGATAGACATTGTTCTTTACTTCACTTATGGAGCCTAAACCCTACTGAACAAAGTTTAAATTCTCCAGTCTAGCATTTGAGGATCCTTATGATCTAATATTGATCCAACTTCTTAGCTGCCTCTTCCATCATTTGCTCCATATGCAAGTCCCTCTTCAGTGCTCCTGGTCATTTCTACGCTTGGGGTTTCTTCATATTGAGCTTCCTCTCCTGGAAAGCTCTTCCTCCATATCTCCATATATTCAAATCCTCTTCCTGCTTAAATACCCAGCTGAAATGTTTCTTCCATAAACCATTCCACAAGCCTTTATTTTTTCAAACGAATGGATGAGTGAGTGATTTAACCTCTGTAAGTCTTGCTGCATATCATCTTTTATCCCCCCATAAGGTCACTCTCAAAAAGATAAAAACAAACTCTCTCATGGAACCCAGAATTTATTAATTTGAGCAGTAGGAAAAGTTGCCTATAATGGCAAATGGCTCCAGTTTAAAAACAAACAAACAACCAAACAAACTTCTAAGGAGTTTGAGGAAAATTATATCAGTCTTCAAAGTTGGAAGAGTCTCTGAAATATAGTTCAAACTGCTCATTTTACAGTTGAGGAAACTGAGGACCAAAGATGTTAAGTGAACGTCCCAAGATTACATGGCAAAGTGGCAGAGTGGAGGCCCATCCACTCTTTGTACTACATGACTCAGGTATAATTTACATCACAACTGAACTTACTGCTTATGATACTTCTTTTGCACCATAGTAGCTGCAAATAAAATAAAAAGACTTGCCTCTTCTTAGAAATGATAGAAGCTCATGCTTGAGTTCAGTTTAAAAACAAATAATTAAAAAACAAAACAAAACAAAACAAAACAAAACCCTTGACTTGAAGCTAAGTCCCTTAAGAATGGAAATTGTATCTTTTAAATCTACTATAAATTCCTAAAGAGCTAAGTACAGGAATCTGAACATTATGGGTCAGCATGTTAATCATCAAAATTAAAAACAACCCTCTGAGTAAGTTACCTCTGGCTCATATGACGTCAATAATACTTAAAGAACTTGAAATCCTATTATAGAAATGTATACAACATCTAAATCATGCCACAAAATACACAACCAATTTACAGGGAAAAAAGAATTACTCAAATGCTGAGATTCCTTTCCAGGCAGCTCAGTTACATGAGCATTAACTTTTTTTTTTTTTTTTTTTTTTGAGACAGAGTCTTGCTCTGTTGCCCAGGCTGGAGTGCCGTGGCGCCGATCTTGGCTCACTGCAAGCTCTGCCTCCCAGGTTCATGCCATTCTCCTGCCTCAGCCTCCCGAGTAGCTGGGACTACAGGCGCCTGCCACCACGCCCGGCTAATTTTTTGTTTGTTTGTTTTGTTTGTTTTTAGTAGAGACGGGTTTTTACCATGTTAGCCAGGATGATCTCGATCTCCTGACCTCGTGATCCGCCCACCTCAGCCTCCCAAAGTGTTGGGATTACAGGCGTGAGCCACTGCGCCCGGCTGAGCATTAACTTTTTTAAGAGAAGCTGTGTAGGAGAATACGGTAGAAAGTTCTGTGAGAGTTTAGCCTTCTCCAGTCTAAATCCGAAGGTTAACAAAACCTTAATTTTAATGATAGGTTTAGTAGTACACTTTTCTATCCTTTCTAAAGATAAAAGGGGTAAAAGGGCAGGAGGGATAACTTTATATCAACTTGGCTGGGCTATGTTACCCAGATAGGTTTGGCCAAACACTATTTTAGATGTTTCTGTGAAGAAAATGTTTTAGATGAGATTAACATTTAAATAATAGGTGATGAGTAAAGTTGATTATTCTCCATAACATCAGTGGGCCTCATCAATTGAAGGACTTAGTAGAACAATGACAGACGTTCTGTAAGCAAGAAGAAATTTCCCTAGCAGACTGCCTTTGAACTCCAACTGCAACTCTCCTTTGAGTCTCCAGCTTGCCAGCCTACCATGTATTTTGGACTTGTACCTCCACAATACTAATTCCTAACAATAAATATCCATCTCTCTGTATGTACACACACACACGCACGCACACACACACACGCTATTGGTTCTACTTCTTTGGAGGACCCTATCTAACACAAGGTTATAACGGTGCTATTCATGAGAATTATTATAATCAGGAGCCTGTGTTCTTGTATCAAAACCTAATGCTAATTGCTTTGTCTGCAGCACAATACCCTCAAGAGGTTGAATAAGATGGGATTCCTGAAATCATATAATTCAAGTGGGTGCCAGCTGGAAATGCACTAAATTTGTGTTCTTAAAAGATGAGATGAGTCCTATCTGCCTTCCACAGTGACTATATCAATCTCAGTGGATGCCCCAACTCAAAGAGCTCCCTGTAAAATAGCAGGAATCCAATTTGACAATGGTTCCAAGAGTTTCTTCATTTTTGGAATCAGTGAAGCTTTTTAAGTTTCCCCTGAGAGAATATCTATTCAGCTGAAGTCTTCCAGCTCCAGGTGGCTGGCTTCAGAGAACCTTGGAAACAAGTTGCTTACTTACTCTAACTCCATCAGAGCATCCATTTGCTCATCAAGCCAGACAGATGCCTTAATGCCAGTTCTAACCATGATTAGCCAATTAACATGCATTAACTAAATGAGGATAACAGCACTGAACCCCACTTGGAGACACAAAAAAGAATAAAAATCTAAATTCATCTTTCCAGTATTTCCTCCGTAGCTTATGCTCCCCTTTGCCCCCTTCTTTTTAAATAAAGACACCAAAAATTAAAAAAATAAGAATACCAACAGGTAGTAACGTCTATAGAAGAAATTGGGGAAAGAAATAGATAAATCAATTAAGTGATGTGGACAATAAAAGTATTGATCTGGGCCCAGCATGGTGGCTCATGCCTGTAATCCCAGCACTTTGGGAGGCTGAGGCGGGTAGATCACTTGAGTCCAGGAGTTCGAGACCAGCCTGGCCAACACAGTGAAACCGCTTCTCTACAAAAATACAAAAATTAGCTGGGCGTGGTGGCGCACCTGTAATCCCAGCTACTCAGCAGGCTGAGGCATGAGATCGTGCCACTGCACTCCAGCCTGGACAACAGAGCGAGACTCTGTCTTAAGAAAAAAAAAAAAAAAAGTATTGATTTGTTTATATAAAAGCCAAGGATCAGTATGGCCTGCTGAATAAACAATAGCTTTAGAAGCACACATCAGAACCTCATCTCTGTGGCAAGCTGGGTTTCAGGGATAGCTATTCTTAGTGTTATGCCTAAAGGAGTTATATTCTTTAAAACTTGAGAGAATGAGAATGGACATTTTTAAGTTGGCATAACAGGGAAGGCACATGGATAAGACATTTTTCTTAAGTCAAATCTATTAATATCGTATGGTCTTTTAAGGTCAGGAATTGCAAATTCACAGCTAAGGTGGGCCAAATAGTGATATAAATCAGGAAAATAGGTTGGGTATAACACATCAGGTCAGGAACTCATCCCCTGTCCTGAAAGGGGAGCTGCTCTTCATGAAAGCAGACTGTTACCAAGTAGCAGTGTGGATCCAGTATTGCCAAATCTTCTGATTTTTCAAGAGAGGAGAGATATTTGGATTTCTAAATTGCTAATCTTTCAAAGTTTAAATGTTGGCAACAGATTTTAAAATTTACAAATTTAAAAACCTTTAAAACACTGAGGGCCGAAAAAAATATGCCTGTAGATCAGATATAGTCCATAGGTGTAATTATGCATTTGTTCACTCCTTGTGGGAGAGCCCAGGATCTCCTGTGTCCCTAGCACCTCACCTAAAGGAACACAAAGGGAGCTGCGAATTAAATTATATAAATAAATGAGCCCACTCTCAAAACTATGTTGTTTTAAGTGATACCGTTGAAAATGAGTTTGTTTTTGATTAAATTTAGCCTATTTTTTTCCATATTGAAGAATGCAAATTCTTTAGATCATTCCTTCAACAACAAACATTGACAGAGTACCTAATCACTAGGCAGCGTCTTGTGCAGAATAATTAACTTCTAAGGCTCCTGTGCAAGAATTTTAAGAGTTGACTGGTCTGAGAAGGAAAGTATGAAACCCGTCTGAAAAATGAATTTTCTGCCACTTTGCAGGTTCTCTCTGTTGTCGTCATACTATAGCCTAATGCTCTGTAACAAAGGTCTTTAAAGCTCCTCTCTCTTCAGAACTAGGCATTTTATTTTTAAAAAATATGTACTATTAAGCACTACTGGAGAAAACCAAATATGGATTATAATCATTAAAAATGAAAAGTTAGGCCTGAGACAAAAAGTAAAAATTAGCCATTAGTTAAAATTACTTATAAAAACATTGTCTAGTTCTAACTAATCTTTAGTATATTTGGAGAAGAAGCAAGGTCAATAGGCCACAGGCACTTAAAATGTTAGTAACAAACAGCCATCATACCACTGGGTCAGTGCTGAGTTTAAAAAAAATGTTCATAAGGCCCAGATGACTTAAGAATGAAGAAGATTCAGAACTAAGACTGGAGGTCTCTTATCTGAGGTCCAACTGCTTATATTTATTATAAAGGCAGTATTAATACATATACATATGGCAAGATACAGTCCATAGGCATAAACGGTTTTAAAGCGTTTGCCTCATAGAACTACAATATCTTACAGTTTGGAAGGACTTTAGCAATAATCTTGAGCCCATTTTTCATGAACTTCAGTCACTACTACATGTCTATCACTTTCAAACATTTGGTCACATTCACTTAATGTTTTCATTTAAAATAATTCAATTTTATTTAGCTACATTTACATTAAAAAGAAACTTTGTTATTGCCAGTAGAGAAAAAAAAACTGTTGACATAGTAAATATTGAAGTAAATACTTAATCAAATTTAAAAAAATGTCTAAGTATAACCTAAAAACATCTCCTCTATAACAACCATGTGAGGTGGGTACTCTCATTATCCTCATCTCACTGATGAGGAAACTGAGGCTCAGAATAAGTGACTTCCAAAGGTCCACATATGAGTTCATGAGATTCAAAACCAAATCTCCCTAGTATTAAAAAAAAAGTTTTTAACCACATCCTTAGACTGCTTCAAAAGACTAGGAGATCTTCCTTTCCTCACCTAACTCCAACATGAAGTTGTTAAGATTCAAAATAGAGACATTTTTGGAAGGATTGGAATATAGGAAAGTGTCAGCTGGGTGCAGTCGCTCAAGTGTGGCTCAAGCCTGTAATTCCAGCACTTTGGGAGGCCAAGGTGGGTGGATCACCTGAGGTCAGAAGCTTGAGACCAGCCTGGCCAAAATGGTGAAACCCCATCTCTACTAAAAATACAAAAATTAGCCGGGCGTGGTGGCACGCCCCTGTAGTCCCAGCTTCTTGGGAGACTGAGGCGTGAGAAGCGCTTGAGCCTGGTAGATGGAGGCTGAAGTGAGCCGAGACGGTGCCATCACACTCCAGCCTGGGTGACAGAGTGAGACTCTATCTCCAAAAAAACAAAAGGAAGGCGTGAACTGAAAATGTGTTCAGCAGGCACCCCAGCTGTTAGAATATGCAGATAAAGCACTTTCTGAGGGGTTGGAACAAAGGTGGCTAGCTGAGAATTTGTACCCTTGTTCACTGCAACAACATACTACTAACTCTTTCCATTTTTAAATCTTCATTAAAAAACTGAGGAGTTCCTGTAATTTTACAAAGTGCTTGTGTTCAACCAAAGTCTAGAAAAGTATCAGCTCAGGGTTCACTCCCAAAATTCCTTCACACATTTCACTGGAAAGTGGGCTCCATTCAAAGCCAAGTAGACACAGTATAATTGAAGGGAGTCCTCACAGGCCACTTCCTGTTGCAAAAGATCTCTCTGTTGTCAGGTATCTTTAAAATTTGTTGAAGGAGGTTCATTGTATTGCTTATCTGTACATTCTCTGATTGTTCAGCTTTACCTTCAGAACTGCTTTGGTTTTCCAATATCCACCCCAAGCAGTTCTTGGCTCTGTCAACTACTCCTGGTCAGGAGAGAATACTGCATCTTCAGCATTCAGTGCAGAGGTCCCACCTCTGAAGGAGGAACATTCTCTCCTACTAATCTGCTTACTTGGTGTGTATTTTTCTAGGGGTACAGTTAAGGTCTCATGGATGTTCAACTAACTAAATGAGAAGTTCCTAAAGGACAGAAACTACATTTTATGCTTGATTGTATTAACAAAAAGGTTGACCACTGGGTTTTACCAAATTAGATGGCCTCTATCCCAGACCTGAACCCTTATCTCAACATATTCAAAATGGAAATCACTGTCTTTACTCCCAAACTTAATGCACACATGTGTGTTCTTGGCTTTTTGGCTAATATCAAGTGTAATGTATGCATGTGTGTATGTATGTCTGACCATTCTCACAAGTCAGCTTCAACAGCATGGCTGCATCTTACCATCTCATATATATGGATGTGATACAATTTTCCTAACTAATCCTCTATTGCTAGAAATTTAGAGTATTTATAATTTTCTCTATTCTAAATGGTACTGCGGTATTTTTCTTTACATGTTTATATTATATATATTTTTGTGATGTTCCTCCTAATGGCCAAATCAAGTAAGAGGCATATTTCTGAAGTTCATAAAATCATTTCCAATACAACCTATCTGGTATAGTTCTCTGCTTTGAGGAACCACAATACCTCTCTGCTATGTCACATTTTGCCCTATTAATTATGCTCAATATTTGCCACTCCACACCCAGTAACTTATACATTTCTAGAGAGTAGACACCTTCTTACTCGTTCCTATATCAATTTAAATCAATTCAGATTCCAACAAATAGTATAAAAATTAAATACAATGGCCAGGTGCTAGGGGTAATAAAAGATGAGGTGTAATTCCTGCCCAGAACAGAAGGGGAGGCCAACTCACAACAAGGTCTGATACATTAAGTTCTACACTATATAGAGATGTATGGAAATTACTATGGGAATAAAGATGAGAGAGCAATAAATTCTTCCAGGGACAAAAGGGAATAAGGAGAGGAAAGAAAGAGGTAATTGGAAGCTATGAAGAAAGGGCAATTGTTGAGTTGCTCCTTGAAACATTCATAGAAATTCACCAGGTGGGCAAGTGACTGGGTAGATTCACCAGTAGCAGCCAGCCAATTCAAGTTTCAGGTTTTTTCCCCTCTAGAGCACTAGTTCTACTTAGGAATTTATGAAGATCCCCAATGTGCTAAGCCAGGGTTTTTCAACCTTGGCACTACTGTCATTTTGGGCAAGGTAATTCTTTGTCTTGGGGAGCTGTCCTGAATGTTATAGGATGTTTAGCAGTATCCCTGGACTCTACTCACGAGATGCCAGGAGCTTTCTTCCAGCCTTTTAAGTTGTGACAACTGAAAATGCGTCCAGACATTGCCACATGTCTTTCCCTAGGAGAAAAATGCATAAATCTAGCTCTAAGAACTTCTCCTTACCTTACTATCTGTTCTTCCTGCCCTGAAAATGGTTTCTTCTTTGGGCCTAAAACCCAACTGGACCCTCATTTTATTTTTAGATAGTGGTAAGGTTGTCAAAACATTAAGTTACAGGTGCCCCACTATAAAAGATAATCTTTGATTATACCTAATATGGTTTGGCTGTGTCCCCACCTAAATCTCATCTTGAATTGTAGCTCCCATAATCCCCACATATCATGGGAAGGACCCAGTGGGAGATGATTGAATCGGTGGGTGGGTTTTCCTGTGCTGTTCTCGTGACAGTGAGTAAGTTTCACGAGATCTGACGGTTTTATAAAGGGCAGCTCCCCTGTACACACTCTTTCCTGCCACCATATAAGACGTGTCTTTGCTCCTCCTTCACTTTCCGCCATGATTGTGAGGCCTCCCCAGCCATGTGGAACTGTAAGTCCACTAAACCTCTTTTCCTTTATAAATTACCCAGTCTAAAGTATGTCTTTATTAGTGGTGTGAGAAGGAACTAATACCTAACAAAAATTGAAATGTTCACTCTGATATGAAGGTATACAAATATGCAATATTACAGCTAATACTTGTTTAGAACATTACAGTTTACAAACTACTTTCACATTTGATTTCACTGAAATGTTCACAACATCCTGGAGTATTAGTTATTGTTCTCATTCCAGAAATAAAGACAGGGTTGCTCAAAGACACCAAATATCCAAAGACCATGTGGGTATTGAGTGTTAGGGGTAGAATTCCTATCCAGACAGTCTCATTCCAAATTATATATGCTTTCCATTTAGTTTAGAGAACAACTAGTATGAGTTTCTTCAGGCCACAGACAGGGTAAGCCAGACAAAGGCACATCTTAACATCATATAAATGGAGAAATAAAATGACTTGAGGATGCCCTGCTACCTAAAAGCCCAGCAAGAAATCATAATAAGTAAAAACTTGCTTATGGAAACAAAGCATCATTTAACCACCAAAAACCATTATATCCATCCTTTGCCTAGCCGCAAGAGCACTTGTCATGCAAAGAGAGGAATAATAAATACTAATTTACATTTACACTCATATTTTAAAAACATATTAACGTCTTTTATTTATTCTAAGTAGCACTAGAAAATTGGTATAAGATTATTTTCCACATTGGTAGAAAACTGAGCATAAAAATAAACATTAAGTAACTTGATGAAGGACACACAGCTAATTAAAGACCAAGTCAAACTTAAAACTAAGCTCTTTGCACCTCCAGATAAGTGTTCTTTCCACTACAATTTCCAGCATCCCATAGCCCTATACCCCTCCAGATATAAGTATCACTAGGCCAATAAATAAAAATATCCTCAATCATGCAGATACAAACCTGTTTCAATATGATCTGAAAACACATTTCCCATAGGAGTTTTAAAGATAGTATCTACTAAAGTAAGGAATGGGAATTTTTGGTTACTCTTTTAAAGACAAAAGGCACTCCCTTAAATTAAGCAAGTGACATGGCTTAATAGTTGACTCATGACAAAGCATTTCCAATTTTCTAGATTTAGATTCTGTACTCAAATAAATAGTTGATACTCCTCAACTTGCATTTCATCAGGAGAAAAAGGTGAGTAGGGAGGGTCCAGGAATTTCCTGGCTATAGAACACTGAATCACATTTTCTTTAAAAATCACTTATCTAAAGATAAAGGGCTTATCTTAAATAGTGGGAAACAAGCTACACAATTTGCAATAAATAAACACAGGTATTTTGAATATGAAATGAAATGTATAAGCAATTCAATGTCTGGTTTATACAACAACAAAAAGTTTTAAAGTCTTACTCCATCATGGAAGGTGGGATAGTACAGCAGTCTTGAATTGCAGTTAGGGGAGAGGTTAGGTGAGCCGTATAGGATGCTTCTACAACTTGCTTGTTCCGATTGACCACATCCAAGTAACGGTTGAACTTCTCTCGGATTTTTTTGGCTAGCTGTGGGATGACAGTGAGCAAAATAAATCGAAAGTCCAAGACAATAACTCATTGTATTTTTTTCTAATAAACTAGTAATCTGTGTCACAAGCTGCATATATTAAAATTCAAGTAAAACAAACAACACACACCCAAGTCATATTCCCCTGTGTGGGTTGAGATAAAAATTGCACAATGCCCAGAAGTCATAGAAGGATACTCAGACAACAGTAAAATTATATCTTCTTGTAACAGATGACGGCACGTTAAATAGAACAATACCTATCCATAAAATACCTTGCTGGAAAAAGGAAAACAAAGACTGTTGACATTATTGTCAGCATGACAGTGGGCATTGTGTGTTACAGAGCAACGACAATGACTGGGAGAATAAAGAGGAGAGACATTATCTGTTACTTGTGGTTCTGGGTTCACGGTTTTTCAAGGGGGATAATAACAGAAGGAAAGGAAACAACATTCAGTGTCTCCTGCTACACAGTCCCAGGGGACACCATTCTCAGTCTTCCATGTGAATGGCAATTCCTTGGAGTTGTACAATCCATATAAATGAAATGCACACTTAGAAATATACTTGTGTTTGGTCTGCTACACCTTTAAGATGAACAAATGTCTTTCTTAACTGCTGTGAACAGAACACTTCATCATGATTTACTTTCATGCAGGAATAATAAAAGCAAATTGGTAAGCATACTGCTTTTTCCTCCATTGTTCCCATCAAATACCACAGCTTCATCAAAGATCTCCAAGGAAAACTGTGTTGTTTTTTCTTCCCTTTAAACAAAATGTTACCCAAAGGAAATGACTGATAGAATTATAGCTAATTGGTTTTGTAGTGCTATTCATTATCATCACACTGGAGGAAAACTAATCATCTCCTTTGGGTCATGCGTCTCACACAATCCAATAGCTTCCAGGCTGAGAACATGGAGTCAAATCAAAATATCTTCATTTGTTATTTTCAAGCCAATTTTAAATCTTGATTTTGTTCCAGGGATATTCTATAGCTTTCAGGGTCTCAATTAAATAACTGAGGTTCTCAGCCTTGCTAGAAATTATATAAACTATAAAGTTTAGAAAAACTTCCAGACATAACAAAGGGATATGAGTATAATGTTTAATTGGATAATGGGTTGTCCAAATTCATTTTATCATTTTCAAAGGAGGAGTTGTGGGTCTTGGAAATGTACAAAATGACTCACAATACTCCCTGACCTAGACTTCTTACTATTAAAATAAAGTAGGTTTTCCTCATTGAGGTCATTGAATTAAAACATATAAACCCAGTTTAATTTAGACAACTGTTGGTTTTGCCACCCTCAGGGGACATTTGGAGAAAATTTTGATTGTCACAACTTGGTGGAGAATGCTGCAAAGTAGATAGATAGAGGCCAGGGATTCTCCTAAACATCCTACAATGCACAGGACAGCACCCCAAAACCAAGAATTATCTGGTTCAAATGCCACTAATGGCCCAGATGAGAAACCTTGAAACCTCGATTGATTGCTTTTTTAACAGGTGTTGGAAAATCACTTTTTAAGCAAAAAATTCACATTTTATTAAGGATATTAATATAACCCTTTCAGGGGTCCTCTAAAAATCTTTAGCAGTATCCTCTGATTGCAGTCAAATAATTATTAACCAGATGTTTTATTTAAGGGCTATTCTTGGGTATGATTCTGACCAATTTATTTTTTCTTTTCCAATTTTTATTTTAGGTTCGGGGGTACATGAGCACATTTGTTACATGGATAAATTGCACGTTACTAGGGTTTGCTGTACAAATGATTTTGTCACCCAGAAAAACTTTGATTGAGAGAAAAATCAGTAAATTATCCCAATTTGTAATTCAGTCAATAGGTTCCAAACTGTTCTTCTATTTGAATTCTCCACCCATCCAAAATGATAACTTATCAGGGAAAAAAAATCCTGTACATTTCAACAACTGCAATTTTTTTCATTCTTTGTTTTTCCTTCCCCAAAGCAATATTAAACAGGCCATCACACGTGGCCTAGATATGGAGAGAGGACTATTCACTCATTATCAAACGTGTTAACGTGGTTTTTAAACAGCAGCTTGCAACTAATCTAACAACCCTCTTTTCCTAGACTTTCACATTCAGTGGGCAGTAGAGGGTGTCAGAGCAATAGGCCCAGCTTGAAAACCTTATATTCTCATAATGCCCTGCATAAGCCATCTCATAACACACATTAAATTTGATGCTGTTTTTTTTTTTTAACATCTGGCTATCTCATGAGACTACAAGCACTGTTAGGACATACAGTCTCGTGAGATAGCCAGATGTTAAAAGATAACATACGATATATGTTTTTGTTCACCACTGTATCTTCAGGCTCTAGCACACTGCCTGGCATTATAGACATAGAAAAAATATTTAATGAAGTGATAAAGATTTTAAAAATTCATTCCTGAGAGTCATCAACCTTATCTTCTGTTCTAATAATCAACTCTTTTAAAACATACTTATTTTTAAAATATACAACAATATGTATTTCTGGAAGCTCCATCAAGAAGCAAGTTCTACCTTTTCTTTGTAGGTCCTGACTTCTGATAAAGTAAATATCATTAATTTCCCACATAGGAGTATTAAGTGCATAGTCCTTTATTGCCCTTGGGAATAAATGTTTTGTAACATAATGAACATAAGATGTAATTAAAAGAACTAAATTTTGAAATATCTTCACAAATTCACTTTAAAATAAAAACAAAATTTGTAGTCATATGTCCTTCTCTCTCACACACACACTCTTAATTCCACTTGAGAAATACCCAAGGGTTTCTTCTACACATTTGGAGGATTCTAACTTTGAAGAGTCAGATCTAGCTAAACTCAAGATATTCCAATCTGGTCCACTGCCTCTTTCTACATAGGCCATGAGCTAAGAATGATTCTTACACTTTTAAATGTTTTTTAAAGGAGAATATTTTTAATATTTAGTAGTTACATGAAATTCTAATTTTACTGTTAATATTTATTGGAACATGATCATTTGTTTACATATTGTTTACGGCTGCTTTCATTTTACAATGGCAGATTAAGTAGCTGCAAGAGTCTGTATGGCCTGCTTTGCTATAGGTAGAAGCCAGCGGCCCTAATTTATCCCCAGATGGAAACATAATCCCAGTGTGGTGCCATAATCCTAGTGTAGTGGTTTTATAGAAATTTCCTACAAATTCTTTAACAGGTCTACCCTTTGGCAGGTGGGGTCTACATGTCCCCCTGTCCCCACTGCTTAAATCTGGGTAGGCTTATGATGGCTTCTACTAGTGGAGTACAGAGAAAGTGATACTACGTGACTCCTAAAGCTAGGTCATAAAAGGACATGCCTGTCTCTTGGAACGCTTACTCTTGGTAGCTGTCAGCTACGCAGCTGTAAGAAGTCCAAGACACATGGAGAGGCCACAGTCAGTGCTTAGTTGGCAGCTCCCCAGCTTAGCATGTCTTCCAAGTCATCCCAGCCCAAGTTGTGGCATGAACCAAGAAACTTCCAGATAATTTCAGCCCCCAGAGTAGCCCCTTGATGAAGCCATGGACATCATGAAGCAGAGATAAGCCATCCTTGCTGTGCCTGGTCAAAATCCTGACCCACAGAATTTGTAAGCATGTTTGTTTATGCCACTAAGTTTTGGGTGGTTTGTTATGCAACAACAGAAAACTGGAAAATGCAGGATCAGCTGAATTCCATCCTAGGATATACATATTGAAGCAGGTGAAACAAAGCTCCTAAATGTAGGCACTGCATCTAAATCATCAAAATTATCAAGATTGTACCCTGTGAGTTGTAAATCTGTTGCAAAGAGATTTCAGGGTTCTTCAGAAAATTTTAATAGCTACCAGGACCTTACAGTGTGGGTATTCTCATTTTATATCAATGAGTTAAGTGATGAGCCCAAAGCCACAAAGTAAGTGGAAGAGCCATTCACTTATACAAATTCAAAGTCTGTGTGCTCATGCACTCGCTGCGGTGCCTCAGACAAACCAAACCTAAAAGAAGCTGCAATGGTGGCTTGAAATATTAAAATATGACAAATCACACAGGCTGAGAATTTCTGTTAACATAATCAAACAAGGCAAAGAGCAGAATGTTAAAAGGTCCTCAACTCTGGGCTGGCTGTGGAACTGAATCTTCCTTGGGATTGCAGGGTGACTGGTTGATGGGAGAGCAGCCCTGGCAGAGGTGTGTTTTACTGGGGGATCGGGGTAGAATGTCTGCCTTTGCCTTCCTGGTTAGGGTGGGCCTTCAGCTGCATTCTTCATCAATAGAGACAGAAAGTACCAAGAATACAGAGTCCAAACACCTATGGCACTTCACAAAAGGTGTCAAATCCATGCTCTGTCTACTTGGATTCACAGCTGTCAGTCAGAAATTCCCCAGTCTTTCATGTAGCAACATTCTATCTTGCCTTACTAAGAAAAATGCCAACATCTGCTGAGTGCCAACTATGTACAAGTCACAATTTTAGGCCTCTCACATGCATATACCAACTTAATCCTTTAAAGGACCCTATTAGGTGCACACTTCCATTTTCCAGAAGTAGACACTAAGGGGTAATTTGCTCAAGGTTACAAAGCTAGTAAGTGGTAGGGCTGGGATTCAAACCCATATTCTGACTTCAGAGCCCAAACCTTCAACCTTTACTCAACATTGCTTCTCTTTGTAATATGGAGATCAACCCTCTCCCCACATTTCTTTTCAAATCAATTTTAACAAATGTTGTGAAATGCTTGGCAGGATACCATAAGCTATGCACAGTCTCATTACTTTATAATAAGAATTAGATTTTTAAAAATTAATATGATTTCTAATAATATTCTTCAAAATTCCTATGAAAATCAAGTACTTTGAAGAAGTTTAGAATTATTAAATTTTACCACAAATATAAAAAAGGGGCCAGGAGCAGGGGCTCACACCTGTAATCCCAACACTTTGGGAGGCTGAGGCAGGTGGATCACTTGAGCCCAAGAGTTCAAGACCAGTCTGGGCAAC
The DNA here is from genome assembly GCF_000001405.40 of Homo sapiens. Classification (NCBI taxonomy): domain Eukaryota; kingdom Metazoa; phylum Chordata; class Mammalia; order Primates; family Hominidae; genus Homo; species Homo sapiens. The sequence continues at coordinate 64,577,147 of NC_000001.11, read as the reverse complement.
ATAGCGGGACACTGTCTCTTCCAAAAAATACAAAAAATTAGCCAAGAATATTGGTGTGCATCTGTAGTCCCAGCTACCCAGAGGGCTGAGGCGGGAGGATCACCTGAGCCCAGGATGTTGCGGCTGCAGTGAGCCTTGATCGTGCCACTGCACTCCACCCTATGATACCCCATCCCCACCTCCCAAGAAAGAGGTGGGGATATGATCAAATTTGTTATAAAGAATTCTAAAAAAAAAAAACAAACAAACAAACCCACCAAAACCTAATATTACCTGAGTACCATGGAATAAATTACATTAAACTATTTTAAATTGTTCAAATTACTCAAGGGGTTTTTGTTGGTTTGCCACCTGGCAAGAGAACAGAGTGCTAGTATTGTTCCTTTTCTTCAGAATTCAGTATTTTCCTAAAGAATTTCACCTTGACTATGTACCATTATAGGATAGTAAGAGAACACTGTGATGCCCAGTTTACAAGTGAAGAAACTGAGGCATATGGAGCATACAAGTCTCTTGACTACTGGGGGTGCTCTTGCCTCCCTCCACCTCACTGCCTGAGAGGAGCTCCCTGTGTGCTTCTGACGAGGAATGTGATGGTGACACACTATGGAAACCTCATCTTGTGCTCCACTATCGCGTCTTTTTTTTTTTTTCTTCCCTCTAAAAGGAATCTCTGTTAGCACGCCAACCAAACCCAGGCTGCTCAGCAAGCATAACAGAACCTCAGAGTAAAGACAGCCCACAGAGAGGTTAATCCTGAATGTATCCAATAAACTGAAGAGGACCGAAGGGCCAATGTAGACCCTTCCAAAAAGCCAGACAGATTCTGGGTCTGTATCCTGCCATGATCCCTGCAGACAGAAGAAAACAAAGACATTCTCAACAGAAAGCTACAGGTGGACCCACAATCCTCCTCAGTGTAATTAAAAACATTTTTCTTTCCACAGCTCAGCTTTCATCTTTTATCCTTCTTTATCCTTTCCCCTTCATCCCCTAAGGGGTTCCTGAATACGGATGAGACAACAGGACTAAAACCATCTTGTCATCTTTTGGGTCAATTCTTAGGCTAGCCAACATCCAGCCACGGGTCAAATGATCAGTAGGTAGCGTGCGGTCCCCATGGGAACGGATTCTAATTTGTCATTATCTCCAGTGACAACGTTTCATCACAACATCAATGAATTTCTTTCTTGCTGAATTTCTTTTCCCTTAATTTTCCCATAGACATTTCTGTCATTTGCATACTTCCCCAGAGCCCTTTTTTAAAAGCTCTTTTTACCTTAGCTTTATACTTCAGAAGATTGGGGGTGGGGTGGGCACATAGTTAGAAAAAGGTAAAAGAAAACAAAAATGCAAAGGCATAGTGGGTACTTTATTTATGTCTGCTTCCTAAAAGGAAGGGCCGGAAGGAGTTTTGAATGTTAGGGAAAGCTTTATTTAAAATACGTAACAATGAAGCTGACAGGCACAGACAGGAAATATATCCTAGGGGACTGAAGATTCATAGCAAAATTCCTATTGAACCTAGAAAAGTTTAACATTTGACATTCAAAAACCTTTGTGCCATGGTAAGAATTTAATAGTTGATCCTTATTTCCTTCAACTCTAGCCTTACCACTAAAGAATAAACCTTGCATTTTGTTTTCTAGTAAGTTTCAGAGTTTAGTTATTTGAATGTATGTGACATAAAAATAATTTTAAGCACAAATATTTAACATCTCTGAACCTCACACCACTGCATTCTGAAGTTCTTCGTAGAAAATATTCTCATTGTTTCATGTTGCACATCATATACAGGATATAAGAAATGCTCTCACTCTCTGCTATTCTTTCTATTAGTAATAGTCATAATGGTTCAGACAGACATAGAGCTCTCTCGCTTATTAGCTGGGAATTTGGGCAAATTCCTTGACTTCCCTTAGCATCAGTTCCTCATGAGTAAAACAGAAATGATATCCCTTAAAGGACTTATTGTGATGTTCAAATGAAACACAGTGAATATACAAAGGCTAGGACAAATACAAGGGATTATTCTTACTATCATAGTGGACAGTCTCTGGCCTAGAAAGGTAGTAGTAACTGGGGAAATATTGTGGGGTCTAAATTTTCTAACAACAGAGCTAGAAGTAAAAGGATAAAGCTATAAGTAATAAACTGAATGTTAACTAACCATTTTATTCATTTAACTCATCCATATGGTTAATTCTACATGGGAAATCTGGCACAAGGTCTTGTGGGGGAAAGCATTTTTTCTTAGATTAAAAGCAAAATGGCACAGAGGGCTGTAGTCAAAGAAGTTTCAGTTAAATTCAGCTGTCATTTACTAGCTGAAGGAGACGAGGCAAGTTATTTTTCTAAGCCTCAACTTAATTACCTCTAAATTGGATATAATAATAGCTGCTTTGTGATGTTGCTTGAGAACTAAGTGGGATAAAGTTTGTAAAGTACTTAGCAGAGTATCCAATGTATTATAAGCGCCAAATAAATGGTAGTGGCTGTTTACTATTACTATTATTGTAATGGTTATTATTGTTTGAGGAACTTAACAATGGCTGGGTACAAATGGAGAATCCAAAGAACATTCTCTGTACGTGGAGAAGGGTGAGTAGTCAACACAGTCAGGATAGATGTGTCAGCAGTAGGCCATGACCTTACTACAGCTGTCAGTGACTCTTCTAAAGCACTGTGTCATACAGGATAGGTAATTACAGTCTCGGGCAGCTCAGACTTTTTCTGGGATCCTCTTTTAAGACTCTAATAATGACCTTACTCTTGTGTTGTTGCATTTCACCATTTTCAAAGCATTTTTACCTGAAGTGTCTCATTTGTGCCTTATAACAACCCTGGGAGCTAGGCGGAGCAGATATTCTCTCTGTCCCAGTTTTACAATCAAGGAAATCGAGGCTCAGTGGTTTGCCCAAGCTCGTGCTGAGTAAAGGTAGAAAACAAAAAGACCTTTTCTTCTAATCTCTAGCTCAATTCTCTTTCTGCTAACAAGCTCCCTCAAATTGAAGAAAAATGTGAACTCTCCCAGATCAAATTATCTAAATTCTACTCATTCCTTCTGGTTCCAGCCCAATTTCAACCTCTTTGAAGCCTTCTCTGTCCTTTTCCAGAATTTCCTAGGACTCACCATTTGTTCCACTCACTTTCTGCTTCACACTGTTCTTGTTCTTACCTCATTTGAAGACCCTGTTTATCCCAACAAACCAATAACACAACAATAATTAGAACTAATTGATTGCTGATTATGTTTAGGGCACTGTGTGACATGTGACTTTACCTGATGCCTTTTAATCTTCACAACAGCCCTTGGTAATCACCCTATGCTATTTTTACAGGTGATTCCAATGGACTGACTTGCCCAAGGTCACAAAGCTAATAAACAGAATAATTAGATCACATTCATCCTCTTGAACCACTGCACTGTGCATTTTTATTTGTTGCCTGGCACATAGAAGAGACTTAAAGATGTTAATGTCACATGCCCCCACACAATATACCATTATTTGCCATATTGGAAAGATCTTCCTCTGAGTGTAGACAAAGGCAGATAACCTATGACTATTACTCATATCTGGTTCAAGCCAATCAGAAGCTTCAGGGCCTCTCCAGTTCCCTATCTTGATCTGCTTCCTAGGTAATATCAGCTGCTCTAAAGCAAGTCTTGCTGTCTTAGCTCCAACTATTCTACAAATACTATACAGTGGCATAAACAACAAATATTTATTTCTCATAGTTCTGTAAAGTGGGAAGTCAAAGATCAAGATGACAGCAGATTCAGTGTGTGGTGAGGGCCCTCCTTCCTAGCTTGCAGATGGCAACCTTCTGGTATCCACACATGGCAGACAGAGTGTCTGTCTCTTCCTCGTCTTATATAGAGTACTCTAGTGTTTCTGTCTCTTCTTACAAAAGCTTAAATTCCATCATGGGGGCTCCACCCTCACGGCCTCATCTAACCCTAATTACTTCCCAAAGGCCCCACCTCCAAATACCATCACATTGGGGGTTAGGGCTTCAGCATATGAATTTGGGGAAGACACAAACATTCAGTCCATACTTGCCCCCAAAAGAGCACCTGTTCAGAAAGGTATACTGATAGCAACTGGCCGCTGTCATGATATGGCTGCTCATCACCACTAGTTTGGGCCTCATGAAATTACTCAGTAGGACAGAGCCTGGGCATGGCAGGAAACGATACAGGACAAGATAGATGAAGACCTGGAGATGCAGTAGGGCCAGTCTGAATTTCCACTGGCCTGTGGAGACTTCAGGGTAGTCTGACAGATGTGAGGGAATAGCCCATCCAACAGAGAAACAGGGCAGCTGCTGACAGACGATCTGCAGGTGGACCAGAAAGATTTATGTGCAAGGCTGTCTGGGCTCCAGGGTCACATACCCTGATCCTGCGAGAGGTGGGGCCCCTGTGCTGAGCTGGGAGGAGTACAATGGAAAAAACAGGAGGCAAGTGCTGACATGCCAGAGAACAGGGGGAGGCTGAGCCCTGGGAAACAGTTGAGACCAGCAGCTTAGCTTCTTTCTTCATGCAAAATGAACATTTGCTTTAAAGGTTATAATGGGGTTGGTTTGGATAACAGTTTGTGTTGGGTATTGCAGGAGAGTCACTGCAATACACACCCAAGCCTCCCAAAAGCCAAGGTTATCAACTCAAGGGCTCAATGGACTCTTGCCCTGTTTTTCACCCCACTCTACCCTTAACAACCAGATCATAACAAAAGAAACAAAGGGAAAGGCAGGCTTCAACCCACTTCTCCTCACTTCACTCTGTAACAGGAGCCCCTGACCCGAGATTCTTTTACATCTGAAATAAGCCCAGGCCTTGAAAGTTTACCGTCTATTCCTTCACAAGGAAAAAGAAGTTCCACCTATTCTTGACCTTAGAAAAAAAATCGAGAAGCTGAGAATTGGGAAGAGGAGAGAGCAGGAGCCACAGAATAATCTCCAACATTTTACGTCACAACTTTTTGTGTAGAATATTAATCACGAGGGAAAGGGGAAAATACTATGGGTTCGTGAACTTGGGAATTCTCTGGTGGCCTGTGAAAGACCAGGCTTTCTACACTCAACTGTAGAAAAGAAAAGCAAACCCAGTCACTTCCTACATAAAACTCTTACTTGAAGAACAAATATCTGTGCATAACTTATAAACACTAAGTGTAACATAGACGCATTTCAAATAAAAGGGAGGCCGCTAGACAATGGGGATGGATAGGTCAGAAAGGCTCTGGGAACCTGAAATTTCACAGAGCCCAGACTCTCTTCTCCAGACCCAATGCAAATAATATCTTGTCACAAACCAACCTTGTGACCTGGGCCAGAGCCTGGCACACTATGCAGAAACTCAGAAAAATGTTTGCTGCATAAATGAAGGACGAAACCTGACCTAGCCTCCCGTTAGAGGATAACTGACCACAGCATGTTAGGGTTCTTCAAGGGCTTCTTTGAGAGAATATCGATCAAACATTTGCCAGCAAGCGTCAATTAGCTCAGCAGTGGAGTGGAAAGATGACACTGGCAAGGAAACAAGTATCTGTTACCACTAAGCACTTCCTTACCCTCACACTGGCCAAGTACTTACTGAATCCAAGTCCTGGGATGACAATCTTGAGACACAATGACCTTCTCTAAAATTTTTAAAAATCTAGATGTTTCTATTTCCCCTTTTAAAATAATATTAACTTAGCATGCCTTTTGAATGAAATATATCATTGTGCCATTTTAAGATTTCATTGATACTATGAGCTCAATTACAGTAATTGCAAGGTCTCTCCCTCCTAGTGCCTCATTTAAAAAGATAATTGCAAGACACAGCCTCATGTGCAGTGGAGTTCTATATTTAGAGTAACAAATTTGTACAAAGTAAATTCCTTTTAAAACTAAGGAAAGAAAAACAGTACAAAAGGAAGCATCTTATGAATGTTTGATTTCTTCAATTGTTAAAGACTGGCCTTGAGTATCCACATTACCTGAGTCTTGAGTATGACGTGGCATTAGGAGGCAGGAGCACTTTCTCTTCTGGTCCTACCTTTGAACAATGAAGCCAGTTGTAATGCGCTAATATCACTCAATAGAGAAAAGGCCTTTCTAGGCTTCAGTTTCAAGATACTTTAGCAGTGGCAAAGCAACTCTTGAGATTTTGGGGTCTTTACAATGCAGGCATATAGCTGTAAGTGTTGATCCAGAGGTACAAGTTTTTTTTTAATATCATTGGGAAAAAAAATTTTTTAAGCCAACAGTAACAGCACCCTCACCCCCGCCCGCCCCCCACAACTTAGTGAGGTGCAAATGTTGGGTGCTGCTGGAAAGTACATTGCCTGCTATTAAGACTTGCTAGAAACAACAACAAAAAGAAATGTTTCCCGTATGGGTTTCCAACCAGAGGAATGAGGATATTTGCCTGAACCGCAACAATTTTATTATATCCTTCTCTGAACTATTCTGTGTGTTCCCTTGCCAAGCTGCATCTAATATCACTCTCTAAGTCACAGGTGGATTTAGGAAGGTCTTCTCATCCCCTATCTGATGACAGGGCGAACTGCAAACAGAAGAACTGGGGCATGCCTGCTTTCTATTGGCTGTTTGGCTGCAGGATTCACCGCTAACACCTTCCTTTAGAGGCTGGTGCCATGGTAGGCCTGACATGCATGTCAGCGGATGTGACAGTGACACTTCCTCATGACTCCGCAGCATGTAAAAGGACTAAACTAATGGCTGCTTAAGTGACACCCAGTGTGAATGCCCATGAACAGCTATTTCAACATGATCCCTACCTCCCCAGAGTCTTTTAATATTAAAATAAAGCTATAGTTCTTGGCAGGTTTCCAGTTTTACCACACCACATGTTATTTCATGGGTCCAGATTTTCAAAGCATTTACTGAATTCAGGGGTTCCTGATATGAGCAGTAATTAATTCCTTCACATCATTACCAAAATATTTCCTATTGCACCATGGGATATGTTAGGGATGAGTGGTCCCTGTTCTTGAGTTGCTCGCCAGGTTTTATAATATGTTCTCAGATGAGTTTATGTTTACTCATTCTGCCAGTACAGATAATTTGAGGTTATTTTATTTTTCAGTGGGTGCGGCCATTTTAGGTGGAGGATGGAGTCAGGTAGGGCTGGGGTAGGGAGAGGGCTGGAGAAGTCTTGGCTGTTCCCTTAGCAGCATTTCCAAATACGATTCAACCTTGAGATATTGGAAATGCATGTAAAATGGGCTTACTTGTTTCCATTTTTAGTGGAATGTTCATTTCTCATGATACAGGCTTGCTGGCCTTTAAAATGAGGACTTGGACTCAGTCTATTCCCTTCTAGTTAAATGAAGTTTGACTATTTGAGTAAAAAGCCCAGATCCATGTTTTTTTCAAGGGTCTGCTTCACTGAAAGAAGACATCTGCACATACATAGATCGCAGAGCTATGTGAAAAGCTGACTTTTATAAAACTAAACTAATGGCTGCTTACGTAACACCCAGTGTGTTTCCTTCAGCTGGAACACAGAGAGAGGCACACCAGAGTGGGAGCTTACATGTCTCTTCCTGCCCTGCCGCAAGGCCCCCGCTGCTCCTCTCCAGCTGGGCCTGCCTGCAACACCCATTCCCCCTAAAGAAGCAGTACCAGTCCCTTCATTTGTTTCCTTAGAGTGGGAACACAAACTATGAGAATCAAGGGAATGAGGAAATGGACTAATCTGTGGTTTTGCTCAAACAACACTACCACTAAAAAAAACCTGTAACCAGAATTTCCAAGACTTAAATGTGTGTGGTGGTGGCAGTGATGGTGAGAGATTTAAATATTCTATTTTCTATAGATGGCATAGGTGTATATTTTTAAATTTGTATATTTGTGTGTGTTTATTTTTTTATTTGTATTTCTATTTTTACAAATATAAAAATACTGTGCATAAGGCTGGGCGTGGTGGCTCATGCCTGTAATCCCAGCACTTCGGGAGGCTGAGGTGGGTGGATCACCTGATGTCGGGAGTTCGAGACCAGCATGACCAACATGGAGAGACCCCATCTCTACTAAAAATAAAAAATTAGCCGGGTGTGGTGGCGCATGCCTGTAATCCCAGCTACTCGGGAGGCTGAGGCAGGAAAATCGTTTGAATCCAGGAGGCGGAGGTTGTGGTGAGATGAGATCACGCCATTGCACTCCAGCTTGGGCAAGAAGAGTGAAACTCCATCTCAAAACAAACAAACAAACAAAAAAACCAAAAAACTGTACATACAAAGAGTAAATATGTGCCTGGAGTACAATTAATAACTGTAAACAATAGATATATATTGCTTTTGTGTGTACATGGTTAATACAATACATAAAACATGTGCATACACAGGGTGTGTGCATGAGTGTATGTAAGCAGGATTATCTCAGCTTACCTCAACACCAGGCACATACATTGACTAATGTACTATACATACCCCTGAAGTCAATGGGTCTATATTTAGTACAGAAATTTAAGCTTTCATGCATGCATTCACATATATTTTAACTTGCAAATATATATATAAGAATACAGAACAGAGGTTACATGTATGTTTTCCTTAAAATAGAAACAAGATGGCTCCAAATCCCAAATGGGGGGTGGGGAGATGGGGAGCTATCAGGTGGCTTCCTCTCTCTGTGCCCATCTCGTTTTTTCCTAGCTGAACAGTACTCCAAGCATCCTGACTATTGTCCAGGCTTCATATGGGAAGAGAGATCCGGGAGTTCTGAGAGGTATCTAAGGGTTGCTATATCCTCCAGGGAAACCATACTAACAGAAGCTTACCAACCACAGTTCTACACTAAGAATGCCAAGTTGTTATCAGCTTCTCCCGTGTGACAGAAAGGGAGAAAGCGTAACAATGTTACGCTTTCATCCCACAAACTGGTCCAACAGCTGCAGTTTTTCACTCACTCAATTAGCTAAAAGTTCTTATTTAGGAGGTACTTACTTTAAAACAAAACAAAACAAAACAAAACCCCAATAGCCCAACAGAAATTCCATGAGGATACAAATTATAACCAACTGTCTTAAGGTTATGTTAATAATGGAATAATGATGAATTGGGAAGAAAGACAAAAGAGTCATCAAGGACTTCACTTATTTTTATGTCTTGTTTATGTTCCTGCAGGATGATCCATTAGTAATATAACGCGCTTCCTCCTAAGGCTCCAGTTATATCCTTGTGATTTATGAGAGCTAAAAGCTCGTCGCTAACAGCACAGAAGGCACCCTCCACCATTGTTTTACCCCTGACAACTGAGCATTTAAACTTGCTTTTCCTCATTTAGCAGCTAAGTTTTCATCATAGTACTTACATTGTTTAGACATATTATTTATCTTATATCAGCTGATGTAAGACTCTCAAGAGAAAATAAACCACCTTCATTTTAAAAATTGAAAACGTACAGATGAATTTGCAGCAGAAAAAGTATGAAAAACAACACAGCATATGTTTTTAGAACATGGTTAAGAACATGGGTTTTAGAGTTAGACCACTTTGGCTAAAATCCCAATCCTATCACCTAATTCAACCATGATTCTAGGAAATTACTTAATGTCTCTGAGTCTCGATTTCCTCAAAATGAGGCGAAGAACTGTATTTGTATCAGAGGGTTGTGGCACAAATTTAATGGGATGACTTATGTGAAGCAGTGTTTGTTAAATGAATACAAACTATCATGTTGAATAAATAAAATCTTTTCCAAAATGCAACACGATTTATATGTGTACTAATTCTTGCAACCGTCTGGCATTTGTTAGGATTCTAGGGACACATACATAATTTGAACAGAAATGAAGGTAATGCCACACTAGATGAGATCCACAGTCCATCAGGGCATCACCCTCAAGAGATTAGCAAGAAATATCAAATGCATGAACAAATGCTCCTGCAATTTAACAACGTCCTTGGGATAAGCTCTTTGTTTCTCTTCCTACAATGCCAAGTATAGAATAAGTACTCAACAAATGTGTGCTGAGTTCATCACCTGCCTACCACTTACTAGAGGTATGCTTAGAATCTCTCCCTCAAAGAGATCATAATCTAGTTTATCCACTCATTCCCCAGTATCTACAGAGCACTACAGTGTGAACTATTCTGTCATGGTCCCTATACTCAGGAGTTTAACTTCCACAAGAAACCTAATTTTGGCTTTTAGAGGAGGCAACACATACCATTTACTCTCTGCAATAAACATATACATACCCCTAATAATATTTAATTCTAAATATTATTAGAGCTAAAAGCTCTAACATATATGTGAATATATTATCTATTAGCTCTAATAATATTTATTTTTTTCTTGCCTCTTCCAAACTTTAAAGAGCATCCCAATTACAATATTGTTGCATGTTTTAAAAAGAAATTCAGATTCAGCTTTGCATAATTATTGCTGTAGTATAATTGTTTGTAAATCTTCCCTTTAAAAAAAAAAAAGTGATAGACCATTTAAAAAAAAGCCTCATTCCAAACAAATAAGATGAATTGCTGGGGGAAAACGAAAGACCATTAAAAAAAAAAAGCCTCATACTAACCTTCAATATACCAAACAAATAAGAGGAATTGCTAGGGGAAGGAGTGAGGAGGACAGAGTCTAGCCCCTTCCATTCTGTGGTAAGACAGGCAGTACTTCCCCCATACCTTGTGGGGGGGGGGGAATTGAAAACATACAGTGGAGCACTGAATCTAAATACACTTGAATTTCAAATCAGTTCTCTAACCCCCTACTTGGGTGACCCTGGAAAGGGAATTTCTTTGTGCATAATTTTTCTTGTCAGTAAATCTGGAAGAGTTGTTTTTGAGGATTATTAATTCATGCAGCAAATTTTTACTGAGCACCTGCCATATACTACATGGACAAAGTTTTAATAGTGCTGGGGGCACATCAAGACATGGAACAGACAAAAATCCACGCCCTCACGGAGCTTCTATTCTATTAGGGAAAGATACACAATGAAAAACATAAATACATACCTATGTCCTACATGATAAACTGTAAGGAGATAAAATAGAGAAGGGGGTAAAAACTAAAGAGAGATGCAATTAATAAAATTTATAAATGAGTGGTCAAGGAAGCCCTCCCTGAGAGGTATCATTTCAGCCAAGAATAAAAGGATGTAAGGGAACTAGCAAGGGAACCAGCCAAGTTATGTGAGAAAAGATTTAATCATAGTGCTTAATTAATCATACATTCAATACGTAATGCTGATTATTATCACGGCCAGTACAATATAAATAAAGAAAACACTAAACTTGGATTAAACATCTGGTCACTGCCACATTCATTTCTGAGGTCTTGAACAATTTATACTTATTACCTCTCTGAAATAGTTTACTCCTATGGAAAATAGGATAATAATACCTGCTCTTCTTATGTCATTAAGAGGATAAAATGAGAAAATATGTGTAGAAGCACAAAGAAAACTGATAAAGAAACATAAATATTAGAACAATTATGTCTCCTCTCAGGCTCTCTTTCAGAAATGACAGACCACCAGCCTCTTTTATTCACAGGGAATACAATGATTTGATAAGAGGCTCAGGAAGAGGGTTTCTAAGATGATAAAAATTAGCTTCTTTTCTGTAGAGTCAGACCAACAACAGTAAGAGCTAAGACGGACAGAGATTGATTTCCAATCAAGGAAACATAAACACTAAACCAGGTAAACCTGCCAGGGCTCTGGTTGGACAGAACAGCCCCCTGTTTACTCTGGTCCTTGCTTGATTCATTGTAAATTCTCCATCTGGGTGGCATCAATACCTCTCAACCTTTCTTTTGCCTTCCTACAGATTTAGTGCCTTCCATTCATTCATTCAATGAACATTTAGCAAGCACAATCAACACAGAGCCAAGTGTGGATCTGGGTAAGAGGGTGAACTAAACCAGGACCCAACCTGAACAAATTCCCTGGGTACAGATGAGGGAAAAATTGGGGACAAAGAAAGAACGGAATTCATCCACCCCACCTTCCAGATTCCTGCAGCCTGGACAAGTCTGAGCCTTTAAAATACTTCAGTAGGTAAATTGTAAACAAAATGAGAGCCCTCAGGCTACCACCATACTAGATTACACTTGGCAAGGCAACCCGAAACAAATCCAGATCCTGGAAATATGAATATTGAGGTGCCAGAGTATCTCCAGTCATTATTCAACAAATATGTATTAAATACCTGCCTAGTGCTCAACTCTTCTGTACCCGCTCTTGTCTAACCATTGTCCCTTTTCTTCCTGTGGCTCAGTACACAATTCAAGAACACACTCAAGCTTTCTTATAGTGGAAAGTGTTTGGGAGTAGAAATACAAAAGTAATACAAATGCAAAGCTAATATAATGTCCAGTCTCACACTTCTCAATTAGTTTTGCTTCTATTAAAAGCTTCTACTAGCTCCTTCCAGGGCCTTCTGTGAACATTTTCTCTTGAAAATTCCCCTTTTAAAGTTTACAGATTTACAGATTTTTCCTTCTAGGCCTTACCCAAGAGGATTAAATAACAAATTAAGAATAGCAATCTTCTCTGTAGCACACTGCAGGGGAGAGAAAATGGCATCCCACTACCCTTCCAGGTTCCTTGGCTGGGTTACAAATTAAACTGACATAAGACAGGAGAAAGACTTATGTAAATATTTAATTACATAAGTATGCACAGGAGTCTCACAAAATAGGAGCCTCAAAGAAGGGTCAGATGATTGATGCTGATACAGCATCCCAAGTTACAGAAAGGCATCAGGGCTTGGGGCTTCTGGGGAAGGGGGTGGCGACACAAGTTATGGGAGGGTGAGGGGAAGAAATGCACGGGGAATAAAGGTTGTCTTGTTATACAGATAAAAAGTCGGTAATAAAAGTTGTTTCTGAGCAGCCCTTAGAAGAGGTGATAGTCTGGGCATAGGGTCAACCTCTAGTCTCCCCTCCTGTGATCCAAGTTAATCTTCCCTGGTTGATAAAATTCCCAGGGAGGGGATTCATGACAATTGAGTTCCTTTCGGAGGATCCGTCTTTAGACAGATAAGAGGAGCTCAGAGAAAAGGCTCTGCATGCAAGTGGTGCTCAGAGAAAGCCTCTACTTGCACCTGCTGTTCCCCAAGTACCCTCAGTTCAAAGTAATATTTTGGGGTGACATTTCATGAATTCTTTTGGTATCCTTATATTGACATTATATCACCCTTTTGTAATCTGGAAGCAGAACACAAAATACTGAATGCCTACTACAGAGTAGGCAACCACCTAATCTTTTAAACAACTTTTATCTACATTTTATAGATAAAATTGATGTAGACACTGAAAGGCTAAATACCTGTTACAAATCAAACAGTAAATGACAGAGTCTTGCTTGGACCTTGAGTTTTCCATCTCAAAAGATGAGGCTCTTTGATTCTGTATCCCACACTACCCTTACTGAGGCTGTCCAAAAAAGACTAGAGAAAAGTTTCCTAACCCCTTTGGCCTTGTCTCCATGGTATCTGAGTATACCAGCTCCAAAATTCTAAAACATCACCTTAGTTAGGACTGATGATTCACATCGGGGCACATAAAGTGCTGTCTCTTTAAGGTTCACCCTCAATTCAAAATTTCTTTAAAGAAAGAGCTATTCTGTGTTTGTAGGCCACATGTAAGTTGTTCTGCTACCAGGCATCTTTATTCTCATATGAACAAAAGGATAGAATTTCATGCAAGGTCTACATCTGGAAGTATATCTTGCTTTCAGGTGAATTCTAGTTCATTGCTTTGACCTTTTCCAATTCTTCATGTCTAGAGCCTTGAGTGTATACTTGAGTAAAATAATTATTTGGAGTATTAATACCTGCTAAGTATCATTTTCTTATAAAACCAAACTGCTTCTCCTTTACAATGTCCCAGCAGATATTTGGAGAAATAAAACATCAAATTTTAAACCTTTCCTGTAAAATTCTCATTATCAAATAACAACTCAGAAAAATACTCCAAAAAACTGTCTGTCAGAATATATTTTAAATACTAGAGTACTGGGTGGGGGTGGGGCAGAAAAATTCTTAAATCCCTGAACTGTATGTGTGCAGGGCAAACTCTATCTAAAGATAAACTGAGCTGAGTTTTGAGCAGTTGTCTAAAAAATAGATTAGCAGTTTGATTCCAGTCAAGTTAATTGCCTGCTAAAACAAACAAACACTCCTCACAAGAATATAACAGAATCCAGATTTTTCCACAATACCAGGATACAACCAAAACTTTTTGATATATGAAGAAAAAAGCAGTGTGACCAATTCTCAAGAAAAAAGACAGTCAACAGAGATAAACCTCAAACCATTTTTAGATGTTAAAATGAGCAGACGAAATGTTAAAGCAGCTATTATAACTATGCTCAAGAATGCAAAGATAATACGCTTGAATAAAATGAGAAATTTCAGTACAGAAACAGAATTATTAAAAAGAAACAAATAGGGCCAGGCACAGTGGCTCACTCCTGTAATCCCAGCACTTTGGGAGGCCAAGGCAGGCAGATCACAAGGTCAGGAGATCGACACCATCTTGGTCAACATGGTGAAACCCCATCTCTACTAAAATACAAAAAAAAAAAAAAAAAAATTAGCCAGGTGTGGTGGCACATGCCTGTAATCCCAGCTACTTGGGAGGCTGAGGCAGGGAAATTGCTTGAACCTGGGAGGCGGAGGTTGCAGTGAGCTGAGATCATGCCACTGCACTCCAGCCTGGTGGCAGAGCAAGACTCTGTCTCAAAAAAAAAAAAAAAAAAAGGAAATTCTGCAGCATAAGAATAAACCATCTTTATCTTTATCCAAGAGAAAAAAAATTTAAAAAGAGAAGAAAAAGACACTGTCTCAGGGATTTGTAGTAAAATATCAAAAGATCTAGCATACCTGTAATCAGAGACCTACAAGGAGAGCAAATAATGAGACAGAAAATATATTTGAAAAAATCATGGTCCCAAAGTCCCCAAATTTGATGAAAGACACAAATTTACAGATTCCAAAAGCTCAACAAACACCAAGCAGAATCAATATTTAAACCATTATGTCTAGGGAGGCATAATCATAGTCAAATTGCTGAAAACGGAAGCAGAGAAAAATCTTGAGCGCAGCCAGAATAATTAAATGAATAAACAAAAAACATTGCATACAGGGTAACAAAAACTTTCACTGATTTATCATCAGAAACTACAGAGTCCAGCAGACAGTGGAACATTTTTAAAGTGTTCAAAAAACAAACTGTCAATTCAGAATTCTATCTAAAGCAAAAATATCTTTTAAGAAAAAAGGCAAAATAGAAACTTTTTTTTTTTTTTTTTGGAGACAGTGTCTTGCTCTGTTCCCCAGACTGGAGTGCAGCGGCATCATCACAGTTCACTGTAGCCTCAACCTCCTTGGCTCAACCAATCGTCCCACCTCAGCCTCCTGAATAGCTGGGACTACAGGCATGTGCCACCACTCCTAGCTAATTAAAAAGAAAAAAATTGTAGACAATGGGTGTCTCCCTATGTTGCCTGGGCTGGTCTTGAACTCCTGGGCTCAAGCGATCCTCCCATCTCAGCTTCTCAAAGTGCTGGGATTACGAGTGTGAGCTACTGCATGTAGCCAAGAAACATTTTCTGTATACAAGAAATAATAAAAAACTAAGAGGATTTGTCACTAGGGTATCTTCACTACAAGAAATATTAAAGGAACTTCAGATTCAATATCAGCTGTTATCTTTAGAAAGAAACAAAGAGCATAAGAAATATAGTAATTATGTGAGAATATACAATATTTTTTCTTTTAACTTCATTAAATATGGCAATTTAGAGCAAAAGCTATAACATTTTCTTGTGCAGTTTGTAATATACGCAGATGTAATAGATATGATAACTAGCATAAAGAATAGCGTTAGAGAAATGAACCTGTAAGTTGCAAGGGTTTTAGATTTTGTGTGAAGTTGATAGAATATTAACAGATAAAATTCAAAAGTGGGTTGGGAAGGAGGAGCTAATGAAAAAAAAAACAGAAAAAAAACCCAAAATATTAATTTATTAAACATTTCCCCTAAATATTCCTAATAATAAAATCAGAAATTTTCAGAATAGATTTAAAAAAAAACAAGTCTCATCTATATGCTATCTATAATTGAAAGTAAATGCTTCTGAAAAGGCACACCATGTAAACAGTAAGTATATAAAGGATGGAGTTGCTATATCAATATTGAGTAAAATAGACTTTAAGGAGAGAATAATATTACTGGAGAATAACATTTCATAATGTTCTAATTCACAACTCATCAGGAAGACATAATCTTAAATGTGTATATAAAGACATATCAGGCAAAAATGAACAGAATTAAATGGAAACAATACTATTTCACCATTACAGTTGAAGATTTTAACATCCCTTTCAACAAATGATAGAAAATAAAAATCAAACAAAATAAAAATCAGCCCATACACAAATGATGTGAACAACATTATCAACCACCTTAATACATAAAGAACACCTAAAAACTGCAGAACACATGTTCTTTACAAGTTCACTTGGTATATCCACCAAGACTGATCATATGTAGAGCCATAAAACCCAGGTCTCAATTAATTAAAAAGGATTGAAATCAAACAGTATGTTCTCTGACCATAATGGAATTAAATTAGAAATCAATAACAATAAGATATCTAAAGACCACAACGTTTTGAAAATTGAACAAAATACTTAAAAATCCATGGGTCAAAATTTAAAAATCACAAGAGAAATCAGAAAATATGTAAAACTGAATGATGATAGAAATACATCATGTCAAACTTTGAGGTATATAAAGTGTACTAAGAGAAACGTTTATAGCTTTAAATGCATCCATTTGAAAAAAAGGTAAAAAAATCAGTGATCTAATGTTCCAACCTAAAACACTAGAAAAAGAACAAAACCTAAAGTACAAGGAAGGAAATAATAAAGAACATAAATCTGTGTAATAGAAAACAAGAGAAAATTAAGGAAGCCAAATTCATTTTTTGAAAAAATAAGTCATCACTAATATTTTACCATTCATTCTATCTCTGATTTTGTCTGTCTAGCTAGAAGTTGATCCATTTTATTGATCTTTTCAAAGAACTAGCCAGCATTTGGTTTTATTGACTTGGCTCTATTGCTCTTCTTCTTGCTGATAGATATTAAAAAGATACAGATTATTACAAACACCTTTATGCCAACAAATTTGACAGCTTAGATGAAAATAGCAAATTTCTTTTTTAAAATATCAACTTACCAAAATTGACATACTAGGATACAGAAGATCTAAAAAACAAGGAAACAAAAACAAAAGGACAGCAGCAAAAACAAAATAAGAAACTCTATCTATATCTATTAAAGAAACTGGATGCTCAAAAACCTGCTCGCAGAGAAAATATCAGGTCCAGATGGTGCTCTCCTGAATTCTATCAAACACTGCAGGAAGAAATAACACCTTTCCTTCAGAAAGTAAAGGAGGAAGGAATACTTCCAAACTTGTTTTTTTGGTTTGTTTGTTTATTTTGTTTTTTTAATTTTAGGTTTGGGTGTACATGTGAAGGTTTGTTCATAGAGAAACACATGTCATGGGGGTTTGTTGTACATATTATTTTATCACCCAGGTATTAAGCTCAGTACCCAGTAGTCATCTTTTCTGCTCCTCTCCCTCCTCCTATCCTCTCCTGTCAAGTAAACCCCAGTGTCTGTTGTTTCCTTCTTTGTGTTCATGAGTTCTCATCATTTAGCTCCCACTTACTTATAAGTGAGAACATACAGTATTTGGTTTGCTGTTTCTGCATTAGTTTGCTAAGGGTAATAGCCTTCAGCTCCATCCATGTTCCTGCAAAAGACATGATCTTGTTTTATGGTTGCATAATATTCCATAGTGTACATATATACCACAATTTCTTTATCCAGTTTGTCATTGATGGGCATTTAGGTTGATTCCAAGTCTTTGCTATCGTGAACAGTGTGGCAATGAACATTCGCACACATGTGTCTTTAGAGTAGAATGCTTATATTCCTCTGGGTATATACCCAATAATGGGATTGCTGGATCAAATGATAGTTCCATTTTTAGCTCTTCGAGGAATCGCCATACTGCTTTCCACAATGGTTGAACTAATTTACACTCCCACCAACAGTGTATTAGTGTTCCCTTTTCTCTGCAACCTCGCCAGCATCTGTTAATTTTTGGCTTTTTTGATGATAGCCATTCTGACTGGTGTGAGATGGTATCTCATTGTGGTTCTGATTTGCATTTCTCTAATGATCAGTGATATTGAGCTTTTCTTCATATGCTTGTTGGGAAGATGTATGTCTTCTTTTGAGAAGTGTCTGTTCACGTTCTTTGCCCACTTTTTAATGGGGTTGTTTTTCTCTTGTAAATTTGTTTAAGTTCCTTATAGATGCTAGATGTTACACCTTTGTCAGATGTATAGTTTGCAAAAATTTTCTCCCTTTCTGTAGGTTGCCTATTTACTCTGTTGATAGCTTCTTTCGCTGTGCAGAGGCTCTTACCTTCAATTAGATCCCGTTTGTCAATTTTTGCTTTTGTTGAAATTGCTCTTGGTGTCTTTGTCGTGAAATCTTTGCCTGTTCCAATGTCCAGGATGGTTATTGCTTAGCTTGTCTTCCAGAATTTTCATAGCCAAACTGGTTTTATCAAGTCAGTATCTAAATCCAAAAAGTGATAAGTGATAGGGGAAAAAAGGAAATATGGAACAAGGAAAAGGAAAATCAGGAGCATGGAAGCAAGGTGGGCTGCAGCTTTGAAAATGGTGCTCACCTCATTGAGAAGGTGACATGGGAGAACAGACTTGAAGGAGGTGAGGGCCCATGGGGATCTTCGTCTGAACAGCACCTTGTGCAAAGGAATGTGCCTGGAAAGGCAAGGAGGCAAGCGTGCTATTCCAAAGACCCAAGTTAGGAAGATTTATCAAGGAAGATGAAAAGGATCAACTGTTCAACACTAATGTTAGTTAAGTAAATGAGGAATTAGCAAAGTAGTGGTCCTTGGTGATCTTAAAGAGAGTAGATTTGTGGGATGGGTAGGACTGAAGTAGGCTTAAGAGAAAATGGCAGAGGGCCTGGTGTGGTGGCTCATGCCTGTAATCCCAGCACTTTGGGAGGCCGAGGTGGGTGGATCACAAGGTCAGGAGTTCGAGAAAAGCCTGGCCAACATGGTGAAACCCTGTCTCTACTAAAAATACAAAAATTAGCTGGGCGTGGAGGCACATGCCTGTAATCCCAGCTGCTCGAGAGGCTGAGGCAGAAGAACTGCTTGAACCCAGGAAGCGGAGGTTGCAGTTAGCCGAGATCGCTGCATTGCACTCCAGGCTGGGTGACTGGGAGAGACTCTGTTAAAATAAATAATAATAATAATAATAATAATTTTTTAAAAAGAGAAAAAGAAAAAGAAAATGGCAGAACTGGATCTAATGAGTGTGGACACCTCTTTTGATGGGTTGTGACTCAAAGGGAAACAAAGAAATTAGACAGCAGTTGGAAAGGAAAGTGGGGTCAAGAAAAGGGTCTTTTGTTTGTTTAATATAGGTGAAATGTGTTTACGTGGTGATGGATATGATCCAAAACAGATCAAAAACCGCAGAAGAGCAGGGAGAGCTGCTAGAGGAATGCCCTTGACCAGATGTCAGGTACGTCTCCTGTATAAGGAGTTCTCTCAGTTCTCTCTGACCCATTTCAAAGGAATTCTGAAATCCTCTAAAACCATCACTGCCATCAATTCAACAGTTTCTGAAACACTATGAAAATATGTTTGCAATTTCATTGAGTAAATTATTAATATAAATAATTACTAGAGCATTTGAGAAAAAGTTAAGAGTAAACTCTTGAAACAAGTCCAAGGTGGCTCTGATCCATTTAATGATCCAATCAAGCCCCCCAAGAAGCTCCTTCTCCTTTTGTTTCTTCTTTGTGTTTTGCAGACCATATTTTGCTACTTTCTGAGGCATTTGCTCAGAAATTTATTTTTCTTGATTCAAGTTCAACTTTATATAATACCCTTAAGCAAACACACAACTTAATTTTTTTTTTTTTTTCGAGATGGAGTCTTGCTCTGTTGCCCAGGCTGGAGTGCAGTGGTGTGATCTCAGCTCACTGCAAGCTCCGCCTCCCGGGCTCACGCGCCATTCTCCTGCCTCAGCCTCCCAAGTAGCTGGGACTACAGGCGCCCGCCACCACGCCCGGCTAATTTTTTGTATTTTTAGTAGAGACGGGGGTTTCACCGTGTTAGCCAGGATGGTCTCGATCTCCTGACCTCATGATCCACCCGCCTTGCCAATTTCTTAAAGTATTAAAAAATGAAGTCTATGAGAGGTGTTCCACACAAGAATGTGTGCGTGGAATTTTAATTTTTCCAAGGCTGTTGCCATAGTTTCTTTGGCAGCAAAACTACATATAGTGAACTAATTAAGGATTTAAAACACATTGTTAGACAATTTAGACCCACACTCTCTGAAGGTTAGTTTAAAAGAAATGAGTAAAAGCAAGTAAAACTGTATACCCAAGAGTAAAAAATCACAAAATGTTTTTTATTAGTGTTAATTCCTTTGCTCCCCTAACCAGAGGACATTAACAACATGTTAGATTTCCTGCCAAGTTAGATAGTATGCACAAGAAAGATCCAACTCTCAACAAGATTTGATTAGTAAAGAGGGAGGGCAAGAACCCATGGGCATCTAATTTTCATTAACCCAAAGGAGAAATAATGGATAGAAAATGCAAGCCAGAATTCTAGATAATACAAAATATACAAAACCAAGCATAAAGAAACGGTTCCCTTTCACCTAAAGGTTGTGAGCTAAAAGCACACAGGTCAATAATCTGCTTTGAATAACTAACCTATTTTTACTTTATCAAACAAATCCTATAAGCGGTTACAATTGTTCTTATAACTATTAAGAAGTGGGGAAACTGGTGAATTGCTGTTAGGAAGACTGAGTCCTCAAACAAAGTGAAAGCAGGAAATCTAGGAGGTAAGCCCATGTCACACCCTGCTTTCTTCCTGAGAATGTGGGCATAATCTGGAGACCTTGACCTTTTACTTTAATGACAGCACAGAGCACCAGGGATAGGAGATAAACCTCAGGGTTTGAAGATGGGAAACCAAGGAATCTAAATGCAGGGAGTGGTATTACCCAACCAGATTTCAAAACTTGTTATAAAACTAGTCACTAAGATAATGTGGTACTGGCACAAGGATAGATAAATAGACTAATGGAACCAAATCAAATTCATACATACACAAAAACTCAACTAATGACAGAAAACACACTGAAAACAAATGAAGAAAGTACAGATTGTTTGACAGAGATAGAATATTTGAAAACACATATGGGGGAAGAAAAGGAAATTGGATATCTACTAAAGAAAAGGAAATTGGATACCTACTTCACATCCAACACCAAAATCAATTCCAGGTGGATAAAATACTTAAATGAGGCCAGGCGGGGTGGCTCATGCCTGTAATCCCAGGACTTTGGGAGACTGAGGCGGACAGATCACCTGAGGTCAGGAGTTCAAGATCAGACCAGTCAACATGGCAAAACCCCATCTCTACTAAAACTACAAAAATTACCCGGGCATGGTGGTGGACTCCTGTAGTCCCGGCTCCTCGGGAGGCTAAGGGCAGAAGAATCCCTTGAACCCAGGAGGCGGAGGTTGCAGTGAGCTGAGATCGTGCCACTGCACTCCAGCCTGGGTGACAGAGCAAGACTCCATCTCAAAACAAACAAACAAACAAAAAGAAGTCTTAAGTGAGAGAGGCAGAAGTTTTAGAAGGCAGTATAGGAGAATATCTTTATGTCTAAAGATCGATTTTTTAAAAAACTGAGTTAAAATTAAAACGTTAATTCTTTAAAAGATAAAATGAGGCCAGCTGCAGTGGCTCATGCCTGTAATCGCAGTACTTTGGGGAGGGCAAGGATGGTGGATTGCTTGAGCTCAGGAGTTCAAGACCAGCCTGGGCAACGTGGAGAAACCCTGTCTCCACAAAAAATACAAAAATGAACTGGGCATGGTGGTGCCTGCCTGTGGTCCCAGCTATTTGGGAGGCTGAAGCGGGAGGAATGCTTGAGCCCCAAAGGTGGAGGCTGTAGTGAGCTGTGATTGCACCAAGCACTCAAACTGGAGTGACAGAGCAAAACCCTATCTCAAAACCAAACAAAACATAAAAACAATAAAATGAGATGAAAAGACAAGGAAGGCAAAAACTAAAAGGACTTATTTACGAATCATAAATCTGCACAGCAACCTAATATGGTAACTACCAGCCACATGTAGCTATTTTATTTAAAATTTAATTATCAGTAGCTCTAGACACATTTCAGTTACTCGGTAGTCATACATGGCTGGTAGCTACTCTACTTGCCCTAATATGGAACATCATCATCTCAGAAAGTTCTCTTTGGACAGCACTGATCTAGAACATATACAGCATTTTTAAACTTCTAAAATAAACAACTAAAAAACTGGACAAGGAGCATTCATAGATATTTGACAAAACAAAACCACAAAAATTTACTATAAGCATGCAAAAAGGTGTTTCAACTTCATTAGTAATCAGAGCGAGGCAAATGAAACTCGCCTGATACCATTTCAGACACCCCACATTTGGCAAAGGATTAAAAATCAGACAATATCAGATATTAAAGGAGATGCAGATAAGCAAGTGACCCATGACAGCCACTGTGGAAGCAGTCTGGCATTATTCAGTCATGTTGAACACTGACACCCAGCACTTCTACTCTAGAGAAGTGATTCTCCACCTGAGCTGAATAGTGTCACCTGCCCCACTATTTAGGGCAGTGGTGTGTGGAGACACACATACAACACACAGTTCTACCATCATTAAGTTGGCAGGAGGCCAAGGATAATAAAATTCCTGCAATTAAGGGAATTATTCCTTCTGTACTATGTACGGAGGTATGAACAAAAATCAAAACATTAGAATAAAATTTTAAAAATTAGCCAGATTTAGTGGTGTACATGTAGTCCCAACTACTCGGGAGGCTGAGGCAGGAGGATTGCTTGAGCTCAGGAGTTTGAGGCTGCAATGGGCAATGATCGTGCCACTGCACTCCAGCCTGGGCAACAGAGCGAGAACCTGTCTCTTAAAAAACAAAACAACAACAAAATTAGAAACAGCCCAAACAATGTCAGCTATAAAATGGATACATAAATTGCATATAATGGAATACCACAGAAATGGAAATAAATGACCCTTAATTACAGATGTCAACATGGGTGCTTCTAATGAATATGAAGCTGAGTGAAACTAGCAAGATATGTGAATATAAACATATGCTTAAAATTTATATAAAGAACAAAAATAGCCAAACACAAAATTAATTTGGGGATAAGTACATATAAAACAAATCAAAACAAAAAAATGCAAGGGAATTGCTAACAAAAAATTAGGATAAGGCTACCTCTGAGAGGGAGAGAGGAAGATATTCTCTTTGGAAGGTCATACAAGGGCCTTCTAAGTTTGGTAATGCTTCATTTCTTTAGCTGGGTAGTAAGTTAAGATGTTCATTTTAATATATTTATTTATATGTATGTTTTACACGTCTCCATATATTTGATAAATTTCACAACTGTTTTAAAAGCCAGCTTAATTACCTACTAGCTGGGATCCGTGGCCTTTCTGAACATTGCTAATAACAATACTGCCACCTACCTCATGGAGTTGTTCTGAAGTTCAAAGGACATAGAAGTGTGAGTGATTGTGATGGCGGATATTTTACAGAATAGGAAACATACGAGGTAAACATGTCCCTAAAGATTTCATTCTGGGTACTGTCCAGGACCACAGAGTCTAGAATGTCTAAGCAGTTATTTAAGTCAAGAAGGTACTGAAGTGTCTGTGTTCTCATTGTAGAATGAGAAATCCCGTGTTCAATTCAACCCATGGGAGAACCATCATAATGAAGTGATAGCAAATTTTTCAATAAATGCGTAAATATGAGCTTTTATTGTTATGTTGTTGTAATAATGACCACAGTACTGAAAGGATCTGGAAATCATGTCACAGAAGAAGAAATTATTTAAGACCTGTTTATACTAAAATTTAGGCTAAATGATAATAACAACGACACAACTGTCCTCATTTTTGGGATAAACAACAGACACAGATCTATTTGTTAAGTGTTCTTCCAGAGGATGGAGTGGAGAGACTGGAGGAATTTAAAAGTCAGTACCCTTCTGGTTCAAATAAAAAAGAACTTTTTGACAATCAGTAATAAGACACACAGAATAGATTGTACGATAATTCCCTTGCACTTGAATTATTCAGATAAAGACAGTTTAGCAGAGACTCCTGTATCTGATGAAAACATGTATTTTAAAAATAAACTATGTTAAATTAAAAATACAGATAATAGGCTGGGCACAGTGGCCCATGCCTGTAATCCCAGCACTTTGGAAGGCCATGGCAGGAGGATTGTTTGCGCTGAGGAGTTTGAGACCAGCCTGGGCAACATGGCAAGACCTCATCTTTACTAAAAACAACAACAAAAAATCAGCCGGGCATGTGGGCATGTGCCTGTAGTCCAAGTTACTTGAGAGGCTGAGATGGGAGGATCACTTGATCAAGCCTGGAAGATAAAGGATGCAGTGAGCTATGATCCCACCACTGCACTCCAGCATGGGCGACAGAGCAAGATCCTGTCTCAAAAAAAAAAAAAAAACAAAACAAAATAAAAGTACAAATAATAAAACTTTCTGTCATATTTATTTCAAAAGCTAGCTGTCCTGCTTGATATCCATCAACTACAAATAACTTATTTTACCTCTTGGAGCCCCAATTTCCTCATCTGTAATAAGATATCTTTCCTTCAAGGTTATTTGGTAAAAATCAATGTGATATACATGGAAGTTGCCTAGCCCTGATGTTCCATAAGTGCTCAGTCAGCAGGTATAATTTCTAAAATTATTGTTAAAGGCTTCTAAACTTGTTCCTAGCTAGATAAATAAAAAATGACATCAGTGCAAAGGGGGTGGGGGGAAAAAACTTTCACATTTGACAACAGCCTAAGTAAGAACTTGTATCTGTTACTTGAAGGAAAGTGGCAAAACTGATATCCCTGGATCAGTTTCTTTAAAATGTTATCAAATGGCCTCTGGTCTCCCAGAAAGTTTCCTTGAACATGCTTCGTTCAGAAATCTTCGCCCACAAAAAATCTCTTAAATTTCACGACCATAAAGAACTTTCTAGTTTGCTGAAATAAAAATAAGACAGGAATTATGAAGATAAGACTTAGCACAGCAAACTACATCCTATTTACTACAATAAATAAATACTCAGGCCATCAGCTTTTAAAAATATCTAAAGCTAAGAAAAAGAACATACATATACATGACTATTTATATCCTCTATATTTAACCTGCAGAAACTCAATCTTTAAAAACTCAATGTCTATAAACAGGAAATGCTGCACTTCAAGATTAAACCACGGTAATTTATTATAAGTAAATAAGTATCCTACAAACAACTTTACTATAAGGACACTTGCAAATGTCAAGCTGTTCTCCATGAACATAATAATGGCGGAATCTCAGAGAGTTCAAAATCGTATGCAGTTTACTATAGTTATCTTTCTATTCTGTGGAAGCAGTCTGCTACACTCTGGTTTTTAGCTTGGTTCTGTTTTTTACTTGAGTTTCAAACCTAGCTTCAAATTACTAGTTGATGGTGTTGATGGTCACATACTGTAATGAAGTTGGTGGATTCGCTGAAATTAAAACCAACTCCTATTTACCACCCTTCTTTTCAAGCACAGATCAATTATTTACGACCAGGTTCATCAACACTATATTTTAGGAGGCAGTTCATCTGAAGCCAGCTATAAATAAAGTAAATAGAATCTGACCTCAAAACTTCTTGACTCCACAGAGAACTGAAAGAAGATGGGAGGGGAGAAGCAAAGGAAAAAAAAAAAGAGGAAAGAAAAAGAAAAGAACAAAAGAAGCCAACATCCAATGAGCTGCTTCTATGCCAGAATTACAATTTTATTTCATTCTTGGTCAATTTGTCATCATTTAATTCTCACAACCCCATAAGGCAGTATTATGTTCCTCTTATTTAAGATTGAGAAACTGCAGCTCAAAAAGGCTAAATTGCTTACTGGGGCTACAAAATAAGGAGGAAAACCAGAATTTGACGTGGGGTCTGTCTGATTCCAAAGCCTGGACACTTATTTTCTACATCAGATAAAATAATTTTCAGTGTTTTTAGGTGTGAGTCATTTAGGAATTTTTAAAACAAAAAGGAATTAAATAGTTCCAAATTATAGCGTGGATAGCAGAAAACCATGCATATAAGTTTTTAACCGCCTCTAAGAATCTGAAGTGTAAGGTTGTCACCATTATGCATGAGATGCACGTGAAATTATACAGAGAGAAAGAACAGGAAACCTCAAGTGGAGATTGCTTGGAAAGAGTGACGAAGCCACATCTAAAAGCAAGACAAAGACAGGGAGTGTCAAGTACTCATTGCCTCTTACCTGCTGTACTTCACTTTCTCCATTTGAGATTTTCTCAGTGTAAACAAAGGAGTTGAATATCCGCTGCAATGAAAAGAAAATGAACATGAGATTTTCTAAATAAGTCATTTTCTACATGAGTGTGTATGTGAATAATTTGTTTACAACAAATAGAATCTAGTAGAAAAAAAATTTAATTAAAATGCAGTAATTTTACAGAGAGAAACCCAAGTATCAGCCAAAGTCAATCACACTTATGTAAGCAATACCCAGGCACCTCTGTAGCAAAATAAACCAGGTGTTACACTATATTTTTCATTTTCAAAAATACATTTAATTATAGATTTCTGGAGTCCATGCCATTTTATCCGACTAGTATAATCTGACCAAGTTGTGTTTCTCATTTAAATCCTGCGCTCCCTGAATGCTGTAATTGTTTACGGACACTAACATCTAATGCAATAAAGATCTTTAAAAGGGATTCTTTCCATATTCTCTCATGTCCCTGTTCAGTCAGTACCTACCCAATATTATCTATCACCTTCGTTACTCAAGTACCCCGTCAGGAGAGTAACATAATAGGGCTTGCCAAATATGTGTGGACTTAAGAGAAGATCCAGTTCTTACATGCCAGGAAATATGACAGCTGTGCCAAGACATTAGGCCAAACTACAGCACACAAGCACACACATTCTTCCACTGGTCCCTGCCTAGATGGTACCTACTCCTCCATACATTGCCTCTATTTAAAATGTCTCTGCAGACTTATGACTTTACCAAACTGTACCGTTACTGAGTAATCACAAGAGATTAACATATAACAAACTAAAAAATGAGAATCTAAGTTATGTATCTGCTAGAGGAGCAAAAAAATAAAAAAAATAAAAAGAGCAGCAGCCTTATCATTTATCTTCAAGCTTTAAAGATACCACTGAACTCTCCAGATGAGTAAGGAGTCAGACCTGGAGATGTCAGCCAAAATTTCCTTCTTCCTTTCCATCCTGCTGCCAAGGGTTTGTCAGCATCTGGGACAGCTTCCCAGACGGCCTAACACACCTGCATGGTTGTGGTACAGAAGATAAGTGAAGCCAAGTTCATCATGCAATGTACATCTAAACAGACCAAATGGAGGAAGATCAAGCTGCTGGGGCTTAGAGGGAGGTTTGGTCGGGGGGTGGAGTGCAGGATGGAGGGAAGCAAACAAACTTGAGAAGGACTAGGATGAAATTACAGTCTGGAAAATTATTACAAATCATGGTGCCTCCCATCATTCTCCAATGTGTCACTCATTCATTCAACAGATGTTTACTGTCATTTTCTTTTCTGAAAATGACTCTGCTGGTATGAAAGTTCATTACAGGTCTCTAGTAATGTTCATAATGATATTATCATTGGCTAATATCTACTGAATACTTACAATGGAGTGGACACTATTCTAAGCACATTACATTTATTTATTTAACTTTCACAAAACACCTTTGTGATAGGCACTATTATTATCCCTACATAGATGAGGAAACTGAAGCATATTTACCAAGTGCCTAGGGCAATCCAGATATTGTGCCTCATGTGTATATTTTATTTAATGTTCATTTCAAAATTACTGTAGCTTTAAAGATGAAAAACTAAGGGTCTGGGAGATTAAATAACATACCCCCAAATCACTTGGCAAGGCTGGAATCTGAACCCAGGCAATATGACTTCAGATCTGGCGCTCCTAACTCTATTGTCTTATAAGAATTTGCTACCTGATTGCTTTACATACATTAAAAGATGCTGCGGTCATGAGCTAACACCTGAACATAATGCAGATCAACAATCCCTATGTGTAATTTCAAAATTCAAAAGGCTCTGAAAATCAAAAGTTTTACATAACACATTTGTTAGCAAAATACGGAATAGCCTGAACTTATTTGGCAGTGAATCCTAACTTGAACTGATGTGTATGTATAGTCCTTGTTAAACCACTTAGTGTGCTATTTATACATTTTGATGCAGATCTCAACCAATGTATTTGATTATGGGGCTCTGCTCTAGATACCACTACCGGTGTTTTACATTCAGGGGGCATTAGGATTCTAAATCCTGAAATACTCATTTTGGAAGAAGGATTAAGAACCCACAGACCTCTCCCAGATCTTTGGGGGACATCTTAGTTCACTACATTATAATGCTCTTAGAGGCCTGGTCAATGTCATTACCACCCATGCCCCCCAGAATATATTCTCTATTCTCATACAATTTGATTTCCAAAAGCTGTTAAATAGTGCCAACAGTACATTTGTATTAAAAGTAACATAATTCATATAGTGACTCCAGATCTTGATAAACATGGTCAATTTCTTATTTCCTTTCTGGCAGTGATATTCCAATTGATACAGTATCTGTTCTATCTTGGCAAATGCTTCCACCAGAGTTGACTGATGAAGGAGGCATGAACTACTCCAGATGCACCCTGCTCAAGCCAACACCCACAAAGGGCCAAATCAGATACTTCCTTCTCCTTTTTGTTAAAACAAAGGTGAAGTCCTCAGTAGTAATAAAGAATATATGCCCGGAAGGGTTCAGGAGGCTGTGTTTTGGTCCCTATTTTACTCATTTATTATCTTAACAGGAGTGATTACTAATACTTTTATCTTAGTAGATCTTTTTATGACATAAGCATTTTTATATTCTTCATATCTAATAAATGTGGGTGGGCAAAAGAAAATTTTAAAAGCAAGAAAGATGTTTTAAATGTAAGCAGTAGTAATTCTATAGACTACTTATTTTGTATAAACCCGTATCGATCCCAGAAGTGAAAGGGGATGTGTTAGGTTATAGTTCGGGGCTATCACCAAAGCAAAACATTTTTTTTACCCCTTCTCCTTCCTCAAGTAGTTGGGGTGTGGGATGGAGAGGAGCTTTAAGAACTTTAGTGAGATGCCATGGGAAGCCAGTAGAACTTAGACAAGTAACTCATGACTTAACCAATTAGCCACATTTGGTGCAAGGTTAAAAGTTCAGGCTTAGGCTGGGTGCGGTGGCTCATGCCTGTAATCCCAGCACCTTGGGAGGCTTAGGTGGGCAGATCACCTGAGGTCAGGAGTTCAAGACAAGCCCGGCTAACATGGTGAAACCCCGTTTCTATTAAAAATACAAAAAATTAGCCAGGCATGGTGGTGCACACCTGTAATCCCGGCTACTTGGGAGGCTGAGGGAGGAGAATTGCTCGAACCCAGGAGGCAGAGGTTGCAGTGAGTCAAGAAAGCACCATTGCACTCCAGCTTGGGCAACAAGAGCGAAACTCTGTCTCAGAAAAACAAACAAAACAACAACAAAAAAGTTCAGGCTTATGTGTGTGCACAAGATCTCAAACTACAGGGTGAATTTTCACTA
Source organism: Homo sapiens (assembly GCF_000001405.40). Taxonomy (NCBI): domain Eukaryota; kingdom Metazoa; phylum Chordata; class Mammalia; order Primates; family Hominidae; genus Homo; species Homo sapiens. Next base: position 64,547,299 of record NC_000001.11, on the reverse strand, counting down.
TGCTCTAGGTCAATGGACAGTAATCGTCTTTCTTAAAATGCAGGACCTGCTAAGCCCAGCTCTCAAAGGCTTAGTACTTTTATACTTTACAATTTCACATAAATTATTGCATTTGATCTTCATAACAACTGTATGTGGTAGGCAGGGCAGGGGTCTGAAACCACATTTTACAGACTAAAAAACTACACTTCCAAAGGTAGAAAATATATCCCAGGTAAAAAGTTAAAGCATTGAGGCCTAAATCTAGACCTTGAGTTAAAAACAGGCACTGTATTTAGCAAAGCTATTAAACAAATTCATTCATATCACCTTCTTCTTCTGTATAGCCTAGGAATCCTAATACTTGCATGTAGGAAAAAAAATGAGCATTTGGGGGTTTTTTTCTATCCATTTTATTTTAAGCAAGATATATTGTCCAGGGTAATTAAAGAATCCCAGACAAAGGTTTTATATTTTTTATTACTTCTATTGCTACGTAAAATTATAAAAGAAATAGAGTACGGGGCTTTTGGGAGCTTTTGATTTTAATGCAAGAGCCAGGAATTCAAAATGATACACCTAGCCAACATTTTTGTGACTTCAGGGTAAAGATTTTCCTGGTTAATAGAGGACTTGGAAAATGGAAATGGAAAGGAAAATTTTTCCTAAAACATGAAAATGATCAGCCACTGGGAGTGGTGGCTCATGCTGTAATCCCAGAATTTTGGGGGGCTGAGGCAGGTGGATCACTTAAGCTTAGGAGTTCAAGACCAGCCTGGCCAACATAGCAAAACCTCATCTATATGAAAAAATATAAATATTAGCCGGGTGTGACGGCACCCACGGGTAGTTCAGCTACTCAGGAGGCAGAGGTGGGAGGATCACTTGAGCCCAGGAGGCAGAGGCTGCAGTGAGCCAAGATTGTGCTACTGCACTCCAGCCTGGCTAACAGAATCAGACCATGTCTCAAAAAAAAAAAAGTAAACGAAAAAGAGAAAAGAAAAGAAAATGAAGAGCCATCATGACAGGTCTGATCCTTCAGTCCTCTTGGATGATTTACTCACAGTAACAGGGTTAGGGTAGGCAGGGTGAGCATTCTGCTTTCTATTCCAAGTTGTCACTTTCCTTTATCCCAACTCCCCGGAGGGCTAAAGGAATCCCAGAAATCTGAACTCTTACTGTGAACACAACCCCAAGGGAGTCAGAAGTTAACTCTCCTCACTTTGCAAATCCCTGGAAATGAAGCCAAAGATACTGCCCAGCCCTGCCCATTACTCTTTCTTGTTTTTAAAATTCTTTATCAAATACTAAAACTAAAAATATATTTTATTATATAGTGAACAGATTAAAATAGGTGAGGAGTTTTAAAATGTTATTTTAAATAGAAACATTTCACAGAATCTTCTGTTACATTTATTTCTGTAATTAAAAGAAAACAAGAACAAAATGTCTTATTCTTATGTGCATGGTAACCAAGCACTCTGATTTAGAGACAAAACTGACCTTTCTCTCATTAATGCATGCACCTTGGAAAACTGGCGGTATCTTCTCAAGTTAATTATATGGATATTTATGACTCAGCAATTCCAATCCTTGGTATACACCTTGCAGACACATGGTTGTGTGTTCATCAAAAGACAAGTACAGTACACAACAATGTTCACACAGCAAAACTACTCGTAGTAGCACCTACCTAGAATACTCAAATGCCTATCAGCAATAGAAAATTAAACTGTGGTGAATTCGCATAACAGAATATTCAGTGATGAGAATGAAAAACGATTGCAACATGCATCAACATGATGAATCTCACAAACATGATACTGAGTGAAAGATGCCAGACACTAGCATACAAAGTATATAATTCCATTTACATAAAGTTCAAAACCAGGCAAAACTAATCTAGCCTGTTAAAAGTCAGGATAGTGGTTATTCTTTGTGGGAGAATGAATAGAATAGGGCATAAAAGGAGCTTCCGGGATGCTGACATTTTCTGTTTCTTGATGTGGTTGCTGGTTACCGGATGTGTTCACTTTTGTGAGAATTCATCAAGATGTACACTTTGTGCATTCTTCTGTATGCTATGCTTCAATAAATTTACTTTAAACATACATTCTAGGTAGTCTCTCTAAAATATACTCTACTCAAATGTTTTTGTAAATACACAAATGTTTTGTATATTTTTAAAACTATTGATGCATTCTTAAAAAGGAAGGGCAAGACTCTAGTAACTGGGCTATTATAAAAACTCAAAGAAAAATCTAAACCCCAATCCATAATCCAGATAAAACTGGGGCTATGCTAACTGAAGAGTCACCTAGCAATTCACAGATAAGGTCTCCTGAGCCTTCCCCGAGGCTACATTTTAATTGCTCCCTCACACTTTAAGTATATACAATATTGCTTAGTTCTCCAGCTTCCCAACTAACAGTACTGTACAAATCTGAATTTTCAGCAAGAAAAGGGGTATCTTTACTGAGTTTCATCCAACCTAGATGTTCTAAAGGTATGTTACATTATTAAATCAAATCTCTTTACATATTCCTTTCTTTTATTCCCTAAGCACTGCCTCCCCGCTCCCTCCCCAAAAGAGCAGGTTCAACACAAATGAAGTTAAAAATTAGAGTCACATAATAACAGTTGAATACAGTTCCCCCTACCTCTACTCCAAGGGGAAGAAAAAAAAAAAAGACAAACATCTTGGTGTGTGTGTGTGTTTGTGCGCACGTGTGCATGGGTAGCCTGCTTTCCCCACCTTGTACTGGCTGCACCTTAGTCCTTCCCTCTCTCCATCCACTGACCCACCCTCCCAAACCATCATCTCCTCCCTTACCAAATCTCCCAAATTAATTGAGCCTGCTTGACAGATAGCAAGAGAATTCCACTTTGCTGGAACAAGGACAATTACATGTGTGTTTAATAAGATGGTCAGTCCAGACAGTTGGCCCAACCTTCACGCCACCAACAACTCTGCCAAATTTTAACTAGATATTGAAATGAATGCTACAGCAGAATACCACAGCAAAGAAATAAATACCTTTGCAAGCCTAATGAGATTCTCTGGGTCTCCCTCCCTGATATTTGCTAAGAAAATGTGGACTGAGTTTTTATTCAAAAGCTTATTCTCTTGCTATTTATGGGTCTCTGTGGCAAGCACATATGGCTGACAGTTCAGTAATGGCTTCATTCAGCTCTGGATCTGTTCCTATGATTCCAGGCATTGTGGTTAAAGGGGAGGAAAGTATAGATCACCACTGTTATCGCAAGAGGCTGACCAACACTAACCCCTAAAAGACAAAATGCTGTCATTTAAACAAATTTTTTTAAAAATCATGGGGCTGGGTGTGGTGACTCATGCCTGTAATCCTAGCCCTTTGGGAGGCCGAGGCCGGTGGATCACATGGCTGACATGGCGAAGCCCTGTTTCTACCAAAAAAAAAAAAAAAAAAAAAAAGCACTGAAAAGGTAATTAATGAAAACCTAATTTAAGTATTTTAAGAAATAAAATGTGTATGACTGTATTCTTCCCTAAGTATACCCCATGAATAATCTTTTACCAGGTTTGAAGGGAACCCTCCTGTCCAGATTAGACCTCATCTGATTTTTACCAGACTATTTAACCTCATACTATTAAACAAATGGAAGGCCCAATAAAAACGGCATTCTCTGATGAGGCTAATTATTCTGCATTCTGAGGTCAAAAATCTGTTGCTATAGATCTTGGTCACTTTTAAAATTATTATTTTAGAGACAGTCTCACTGTGCTACCCAGGCTGGAGTGCAGTAGCATGATCCTAGCTCACTGCAGCTTTGAATTCCTGGGCTCAAGTGATCCTCTCGCCTCAGCCTCCCAAGTAGCTAGGACGTGTGCATCACCACTGCTGGCTAATTTAAATATATATATATATATATATATATGTATTTTTTTTTAGAGATAGGATCTCGCTATGTCACTGAGATTGGTCTCAAACTTCTTGCCTCAAGCCATCTTCCCACCTTGGCCTCCCAAAGTGCTGGGATAACAGGCATGAGCCGCCATGCCTGGCCTTTGGTCAATTTTTAATCTCAGAATTTGTTCATTTTGGATACAGGTGGTTCAAGAAAATAGTTTGCCAAGAGTATGGAAAAGGTTACCACTAAAAAGAAAAATAGAAAATAACCTAAGTATCCAACAATAGGAAACCAATTAAAAGACTCTTCATCCAATCAAAAACATTGTGCAGCTATTAAAAGCATGTTTATATAAAAAATTTATTGTTAATATGTGTAAAGCAGCATTTAAATATATAAATATTATTCTAATTATGCGTGTGTGTGTGTGTGTGTGTGTGTTGATGTGTGTGTGGATGTACTATGTATCATAATGTTGCCATGTATCCCAAGGGCCTGGAATGCACTCAGGTGCTTTGCAACATATTGTCTCATTTAATATTTACAATGACCTTTATAACTACATCCTCATTTTACAGATGAGGGAACTGAGGTTCTGAGAGATTAATTTGATAAAGCTGAATATTGTAAGTACATGGTCAAGTCTGAATACAAAGCCTGTCTTACTCCTAAATTTATCTGTAATCCCCTATGCAAAGATCATCTTTAATAGAGTTTAATAGAGAAAACTTACGTAACACCTAGAAGTTGATCAAAATAGTAACAGGGCTTGCCTGTAAATAATATATATCTAAAATATATATTTTTCCTTTCTTCCCCCACAAATCTTAAAATTGAATATATAACAGAGAAAGACAAACATTTTTCAGAGTTGTCAAACTCACAAAAGCACATACATCCAAAGTTACAACTAGACTCTACACCACCTCAAGAGCTTTCTGAGGAGAAAATAAATTCAGAGGCTTATGTTTGATGCTCACTATAAAAACTATGTCTTGAATGGCACAGTGACTTGCGAGAAACCAGGGCTATTCCAGTTTGTATAACAAAGGGAAATGCTTAGTTACTGAAAACCATGGCAAAGGAAGAGGCTTACTTTGGGAATTAAAAAAAAATGCATCAGTGACACAATAGACGACCTTGTGCAAATCAAACTGTACGCCCAGGTACACATGACCCAGGTCAACAAACTTCCTTATTTTGTTTTAATGTTGCTATAAATAATGATAATAGCTAATGCTTATATAGTGCTTACTATCTGTCAGGCACTAAGTGCTTTACATAACTCATTTATCTCATAAACGAGAAGATGAATTCATATAGAGCGCACTAAAAATATTATAAATGTACTTCACACACCATTATGATAGTTATCTACTATTATTCTATTTTACTATAGTTAATCCTTTAAGACTATAATAACATTCTATTAATGATAGTTGTTCTATGATAGTCTACTATTATTCTATTTTACTATAGTTAATCCTTTAAGACTATAATAACATTCTATTAATGATAGTTGTTCTATGATAGTTGGAGGTATGGGGGGAACAAAAATACCTGTTTAGATATTTACTGACTCAACTCCCACCTCATTCTGTTTTTGTTTTCTTATCACCCAGGTGGATGGAGTGCAGTGGCATGATCACATCTCATTGCAGACTTGACCTCCCAGGCTCCAGTGATCCTCTCGCCTCAGCCTCCTGAGTAGCTGGAAATACAGGAGCGTACCAGCACGCCTAGCTAATTTTTGTTTTTTTTGTTGGTTTTGTTTTGTTTTGTTTGGTAGAGACAGGGTGTCGCTATGTTGTCCAGGTTGGTCTCGAATTTCCGGGCTCAAGCAATCTGTCCACTTCAGCCTCCCAAAGTGCTGGGATTACAGGTGTAAACCACTGCTCCCAGCCCCACACCTCATTGTTAACAACCTCCTACCAATGGCAATTTCTCCATTTTCTAAAGTTCTATAGCAAAGACTGTCTATGCTACAATCAAAGTAATATGTCCATTACAAAACATTTGAAAATATATAAAGAAGGGAAAAAAATCTGTATCTGACTACTCCATAAAAACCAATATTGTTTACATTTTACTTTATTTCCTTCCAGTCTTTAGAATTTCTAGGTCCTAACCTTATTGTTAATTCCTTGACAACTGGCCCATGCCATGATTCCTTAACACAGTGGATTGTACACAAAAAGCATGAATAAGCATTGTGTATCCATCCACTAGCCTAAGCATTACATTATACAGATCATTATTTTATTTTGGTTGGGTACTCAACCAGCTAGCAAAAACAGGAAGATATCCTTTCTCCCTAGGCTAAAAAATGTTCCCCTTCTCTCAACAATTAACAAGTCTTTCCTTCCATTTTTCCTTCCCTCTCCTCTTTCAGCTTTAAGTATTCGTATGTGCGTGTGCACGTGCGGGCGTGCACACACACACACACACACTCACAGCCACTTGGATACTTCAAGTTTGCCAAAGAACTCAAATTATGAATTCCTTAGTCCGGTGGCATTTAACTTTAACACCCTACAAACCAACATGAGCTCTGAATTTTAAGAAAGCATGTGGGAGAGTCACAATTTGCTGACAAGTGTCACCTTTACAAAGGGCTGCCTATTTTGGTTCACTCCATCCCTCAAAAGAAATTACAGGGAAAAAGGGACAGCCTGCACTCTGATTTAGCAGGGAAAATCTAAAGCAATCATCTCAGCGAGAAGAGTTTCTAGTCTTGATCACTTGATTTCCTGTTACAGCATTCAAAACCAGGAGAGCGGGTGAGTAAACATGAACCCAGAGAACAAAGGCAGGCAAACCAAGACGGAAACACTTCCCTAAATGCAATAAAGGTTCTGAAGGGTTACTGAGTTTTTGTTGTTGTTTTGGCTTTCAAAGTGGGTAAGAGGAAAAATGTCAAATAAATTAGTTCCACATGTTGGAAAGAGTCCGCTGTTAGCCAATATAACTTGACTAAAAGTAATATTCATGACAATGCACATGGCAACCTCTCAGAAATGGAAAGTCGAGTTGCCCAAACTCTTTGCAGATGGTGCCAAATTTCCACTCCCCTATTTTCACTCTCCCAACACCAAACGCCTCCACCCCTACCCCCTAGATCTCCATTAAGGCAATTTTTGTTTCACTTTTAAAGGAAAAAAAAAAGGAGGTATTTAGCGGCCATACATGTATTCTTGGAGGGTGGTGCTTTATATAAGCCTTCAATATTCAGTGTTCTGTGTGTACACGAATGCACACAAATGCTTAGGTCTCTGGGAATCTATCCATTAAGGACAAAGGGAACTGGAAAACCTGAGATGCTTAATCTTCCAGACTTAAGTGACTGATGTTTAATTACTGTCTCACGCAATCAATCAAGTCCTTTCTAAAGGAGTCAGAAGCTATATAAAATATGGTCCCATACCCTTAAGAAACTCACCCTTTAGTTGGAAAGAGAAATTAGGAATAAAAAAATAAAAAGCAACAGTGAACAGTGCAATACAGACTCTGGTATGAACTCAGTATGCTTGGCACAGGCCCAAGGTGCTGTCAGAGTTCAGCAGAGGAGAAACTTGGACTTGCCTTTGAGGTAAGATTTAAATAGGAAAAGAGAAAAAAAGCTTGGGTGAGAGCATTTCAGAGCATTCACTAAGAGGGTCTGGCGCTTAGTATACATTCATAAAGAAAATATTTATTAAGCCCCATTTTGGGCCAGGTACTGTTTAGACCCTAGAGATACAAGAGAGGGTATAACAGGAAAATCCTTGCCCGTTTGGACCCTACATTCTAGCCCCATTGGCCTCAACTTACAAAGGACTCACTACACATTGGCCTGCATATTTGGAAATGGGGTGTTCAAAGATAAAGACGCTGTTTCTTGCCTGAAAAAGTTCACATTCTAGAGAGGCCCTGAAGCCAATAATTATGATACAAAGTCACATGTGGTAACAGAAAGCCAAGCTTCATAAGGGGCACTTTTGGAAACAAAGCTGAACTAAATGGAATACATAGACTGTGCAGGGTTTTCAAGCCAGGGAGAGGAGCTGGCTTTTATGCATGTGGTAGGCACTTAGTAAATATTTTTTTGAATGGGTAAATGAATAAATGTATATTTGCCAAGAAATAAATAGCCGTTAAAAGGATTTTTAACTGGGGAGTGACATGATAAAATAGGTGCTTTAAGAATGTTTATATTCCACATGCTCAGGGCCAGGCACCCACTTTCCTAAACTGTTCCTAAGCCTTTTCGCAAAGAAAAAAATGCAGTCCATTTAGAAATCCATTAGCATCCCAAGGGTCTGTGACAACTCTAAGAACCAAATGAACAGCATCATCTTCTAGTATGATGCTTGAGAGGCTCTGACGTTGAGTTTCCCATGTGTCTTACCTCCCCCAAAAGATTATAAAGTCCTGTGAGGGGCAGTTTTATTCAGTCTTGCAATCCCTATAGCACTTGCATGAAGTAGTGTTGGAGAATGAGACTGAGAAATACTTGTTCAAAAAATAATTTTAAAATAACTTAATGGAAAACAACTGTTGGGGTTTAAAACACAGTTGCAATGTTGCATTCTGAGATGAAGATAAGTTTTCAATACTTCGAAATATGCTACTAACTGTGAGGCTGTTTTGGATGTTTTTCTGAAGAAGTGTTCATTTATATCACGTCCAAAGAGAGAATTTTCATAAATACGATTCTGGTATATTCCTTTATTCAAATAAATACTTTTTCAGTACAATCATCAAGTACAGAAAGTATAAGTCAAAACATCACAAAACCTAAATAACTAATAATATCAAATTGCAGCTCTGTGCGAACTAGCTCTACAGTCTGGTGAAGTCATTTAGCCTCCTCCCTAGGCTTAGTTTCCCTCACATAAAAAACAGGAAATTGGGTTAGATTCTATAAAATACTGTGAACCTAAAATTTCTACTCTACCATTGTGCTAGAATTTTACTGACATGCCAATTGCTAGACTTTTGAAAAGCTACTAATGCTAAGAGTCTTTCTGTCATATGATGTCTCAAGAAAATTATATTTGCTGACTTAAATTGTTTAAAAATAATTATAAATATATCTCTGAAACTGCTGCAGGGGGGAGTACCCAAATACTGATGCGCTGAATTTTTTAAGATGAAAATTTAAATAGAATCAATCTTGAAAATGATGAGTTTAAATGTGGAAATTGAAGCCATGAGTCAAAGTAGTGAGCCTTTATGGAATAAATGTGATGCTAATATGATTACATAAATGACTCCCAGGTCCTCCTGACTATATCGTTTTTCAGGCTGTCACAGCCAGGGTGCCTGTCACGCATATCGAATGCCATGGTAACAACCCTTGCCTGTAAAGGCTGCAGCACCACATGCCATGACTCTCAACAATAATTATTAACTAACATCTTGACTGAATGATGGATTTCTGGACTCAGATGCACAATATAATCTTAATAAATAAATGCTGGGTAGAAATTTTCTTAAGTTTTTAGGGTTAAAAATAAAGGAAACATAAAATGGGGAGTTAAAAAAAAAATCTTTGCCACTTACCAGCAGGGTGGCCTTGGAGAGGTTGGATTTGCCTCCATTTGCTTATTCATAAAATGTAGGTGATAATAGCTACTTCACTGGTTTTTGTGAGGCTCAATGAAAGTATAGCACTTATTTCTTGCATATAGTAAGAGCTCAATAAATAGTAACTTTTTAAAAATCCTTCAAAAAGAACATGTATTCATAGAAATAATGTCATTTGGGACTACCTGGGTCCCATTCCTAATGATAGGAACTCCTCCAAATCAGCATTTCTGAAGCCTTCGGAAGTGACAAGACTTTTGCAAAGCTATACATTTTCAGGAAATGGCTGTGGTATTAAAGATCCAGCTATGACACTGGTAGCTCCCGGTGCCTTTATAAGCTCCGCTCCCAGTCTCAACAAACTGGCCTCTTCAAGTTCAAGTTGGGTCCTTGAGAAAGTGATTTTTTCCCCCTTGTTTATAAGACCTGATGGGAACACCTGTCTGAGAACAAGCCAAATCTCCAGTTTACTTTAGCCCAAGGTTTTGGACGCACACGCCAAGGAGGCCAAAGGAGTAAACTGAAGTTAAGAAATATGTTGCAGAGGTGCTGGTCCCTCCCAATCTAGCACCGCTCAACAAACAATTTTTTTTTTTTCTGGGCAGGGCAGCATAAGTACTGGGTGAGGGGAAAACGCAATCATCGGCTAACCTTTAAAGAGAATAGGAGGGCTGGTCTGAGACACCTTCCCAGACCTAAGCAAGCAGAGTCAAAAAAGATTAAAGCCCTTTTGGTGCTGTCACTGAATATTTACTTTCACATCATGCTGCAAATACGGTGACCCTCACAGAGGGCAACAGGACTCCTGCTCACCTAGAGAGGCAGTCTAGTGTGGGGACAAAGGTCTGGGCTTTGGATTTTCCAGACTTCAGGTATGTCAGATGTGTGTAACCCAGAACAAATTATCCAAACCGTCTGAGCCTGTTTCCTCACGGGAATTTCAGCAACATGCCTCCAACCCCACAGAGACAGAATAGATTTATCATAGCCACCTATTAGGTTTGCTCTTCAAATTAAATGGCATGACCAGCTAAGACAGCATCTGGTATACTGTTTTTGCCCAATTAAATGTAGCTGGTATTAAAACTGTTGTGGTTTTCTCCGAACATCCAACATCCAGTGTTAATCACCCATACATGTTCAGTAAATGTTTAATGACTAAATAAAAGATTTGGTACAACTACTCATTTGACAGAAGAGGAAATCAAGCGTGCAGGAGGTACGTGATAAGTGACCAACCAGAGGCAGGACCGAATACTTCTCCTAACTCTCAGCCTCCCACTATTAAATTTTTTACCATGCTAATTCGTCATGTAATTTTCAAAATCTGGCTGTACTGCACACCGAACTAGAAACTAAACGATATTTATTTACCCCTCAATGCCAGTTGGAACGGAAAGGGAAAATTTATTATCCCAAACTACTGAACAAGGACAAAACCAGAACATCAAATTATTCTCCCCACCAAGTAAATATTTAATTTGGCTTGAGTTCCTGGATGGGAAGCATTGTGTAGTGGAAAGAGCATGGGTTCTGGAAGCAAGGAAGTTGGACTCTGGCTGCTGGCTCCACATTTACTCTAGAGTTGAAGGCATATTGTTTAAATGCCTGGAGACTCCATTTTCCTATCTCCAAAAATGGGTATAATAAATCTATGTTTGGGGAGGGACTACTAAGGGAGGAATACAACATTTCTTTATGGAATGATGAAAAATGTTCTAAAATTAGATCATGTGATCATTGCATAACTAGAAACTTACTAAAAACCACTGAATTGTACACTTTATATAGGAGACTTTATGGAATGTAAACCATCTCAATAACATCAACCTTATGGTCACAGCTTTGAGGACTTAATTAGTTATTACCTACGTGAGGAATACGATGGGGAGCACAATGTAGGGGCTCAATAACAGTTGCATAAATTGGATTTCTGACGCAAAGGTGGTGGTTATCAAACTTAAGGGTACAAAACACATCTTGGATTGCTTGTTATAAAAGGCAGATTCCTAGGCCCCCCACCACCACAGATGAGTCCAGAGGCCCAGAGGAAGCCAGGGGAGGTCAGCATGTGTAAGACTCATGGAGGTGGCCCTGAGGGAGGTGGCCTACTAAACATTGCTTTAAAAGTCCTTTACTAGGGGACGTTTCAAATGGAGACATTTCTACTGTCAATTTCTTGAAATGTCAGTAATGGTCTCCCTATATTGAATTTCTGTACAAATCCAAATTCCCAGAGCTGGCTGTGGTGGCTCATGCCTGTAATCCCAACACTTTGGGAGGCTGAGGTGGGTGGATCACCTGAGGTCAGGAGTACGAGACCACCCTGGCCAACATGGTGAAACTCTGCCTCTACTAAAAATACAAAATTAACCAGGTGTGGTGGCACATGCATGTAATCTCAGCTACTTGGGAAGCTGAGGCAGGAGAATCACTTGAACCCAGGAGGCAGAGGTTGCAGTGAGCCAAGATCATGCCATTGCACTCCAGCCCGGGCAACAAGAGCAAAACTCTATCTCAAAAAAAAAAAAAAACCCTCCAAATTCCCATCAAGTATACTTAAAAGTAAGCTCTGGCTAAAAGAAATTTCTTAACAAAGAGGTGGAGAAAGACGGAGGGAGAGGGAAGAAAGAAAAGCAATATCTACTACTGCTAAACCACTTAGAGGGGGCAAAAGGGACATATTCCCAATCTTTAGATATTAACCACTTTCTACTTGTGTCCACCAAGTTCAGAATTAGAGATGAAATAAGCTTTAGTGGGCTTCCTGAGAGGACAGGAGAAAGAGAAGAAGGAACGGGCACTTTGATTTGTAATGTCTCTGCCTTAACCAACCTGAAAAGTATCTACTGGTATCCCTGTTCTACAAATGAGGAAACTAAGGCTTGGCAGAATGCATGACAAAGCAACTTCCACCAAAGTCTCACATCCAATATGCAGCAGAGTGAAACTGCAATCCCACAACTCTAGGCTTCCCAAGGGCAAGGCCAGGGGGCTGGAATCTGGGATCTAGATCTCTTGGTCCTTCCAGGAGCTGAAGAAGGTGATCAGCTTCCATTGTCCTAGCTTCAGCCTTCCTTAGGTGAATGTCCTAGAAATGCTCACTTGCCAGTCATGGCCCAACTCTGTTTCCTGTTACTGAGCACAGGCTATGGGCCAGCCCCAAGCTAGGCTCTGGAAGATGCAGCACTAAGACAGTCCTGCCCTTGAATTGCTCAGAGTGCAAGGGAGAAGAGGCAAGTGCAAGCAGATACTGCAGGATACGTAGTGGCAAGTGTGAGGAAGGGACATTCCATCCAAATATTATGCAAAGTCATCAAGAGCCTCAGGCTCAGCATTCAACAGGGAATATTATTAAGGCCTGATGTGCAGAGTTGGGGATATAACAGGAAGGCTTTTTGTTTGTTTACCTGCCCTTCATATTTATCAAGAGCCCCAAATCTATACTTTTGATCTTCTCTCCTAATGAGATTTTACACACAGTCAGAGATAAAATAACACAACAGAAAGAAAAAGATGGCCGGGCGCGGTGGCTCACACCTGTAATCCCAGCACTTTGGGAGGCCGAGGTGGGTGGATCACCTGAGGTCAGGAGTTCAAGACCAGCCTGGCCAACATGGTGAAACTCTGTTTCTACTAAAAGTACAAAAATTAGCTGGGCATGATGGTGCACACCTGTAATCCCAGCTACTCCAGAGGCTGAGGCAGAAGAATTTCTGCAACCCAGGAGGCAGGGGTTGCAGTGAGCCAAGAACATGCCACTACACTCCAGCCTGGGTAACAGAGTGAGACTCTGTCTCAAAAAAAAAAAAAAAAATGCTGGGCTCACGACTGTAATCTCAGCACTTTTGGAGGCCAAGGCAGGTGGATAACGAGGTCAGGAGGTTGAGACCATCCTGGCTAACACTGTGAAACCCCATCTCTAGTAAAAATACAAAAAAATTAGCCGGATGTGGTGGCTGGTGCCTGTAGTCCCAGCTACTCAGGAGGCTGAGGCAGAAGAATGGCGTGAACCCAGGAGGCGGAGCTTGCAGTGAGCCGAGATCATGCCACTGCACTCCAGCCTGGACAACAGAGCAAGATTCCGTCTTCACAAAAAAAAAAAAAAAAAAAGAGAGAGAAGAAAAAGATATCTATTATTCAATTTTGAGCTTGCATTCCACTAATAGAACACATCATGTATAGTATTCTCTGAATTAATGCTTTAAAAACAAATGCTGAAATTAGTTCATAAATGGCACAATTGTACTGCATGTTTACATTGAGTTAATTTGGTAAACAGATACGTTTAAAACATTAGTGTTGGTAACTCTGTTTGGCATTTCTTCACTTATTAATATACCAACAGGTTCAAAAACTAGAGGTGGGCTGGGCCACTCTCAGCCTCTGAAAAGCCCAGCTGCTATAAATACATATGGATGAATCCTAGTTACCCAAGTATTTGCAATATTCCCCATCTATAGCCACAACAGCTCGGTGTCTGAAGGGCCTCTCTCTCTTGTTTTTGAGACAGGGTCTCACTCTGTCACCCAGGCTGGAGTGTGATGGCACAATCTCATCTCACTGCAAACTCTGCTGCCTGGGTTCAAGTGATTCTTGTATCTCAGCCTCCCATGTAGCTGGGGCTATAGGCCTGCACCACCACGCCCGGCTAATTTCTGTATTTTTAGTAGAGACGGGGTTTCACCATGTTGACCAGGTTGGTCTCAAACCCTTGGCCTCAAGCAATTCACCCGCCTCGGACTCCCAAAATGCTGGGATTACAGGTATGAGCCACCATGCCTGGCCCTGCAAGGCCCCTCTTTGGGGCTCTGTTGGGAACTCCAGCCTCACATATTCAAGTAATTGTCCTAATCCTACAGAATTCACTCATTCATGTCCTGCCTCTCGTTATAAAAAATACCAATAAACAGTAACAAATCCTCCTGAGCTGTTACCTTCTACCACTACTGCTGCTGCTGCTACTACTACTAGTACCACTACTTTACTCCTCCTCCTCCTCGTTACAAGCTTTCAAGTAAGAACAACAAGCCCTATTTTATAGATGATGAGTCAGACATAGACAGTAGATTTGAACTCAGATATGTCTGACTCCAAGACTCTAAGTCTCTTGCCACTTCCAGGCCCAAAACTCTCCAATGGCTTACCAATGAATTCACAGTAAAACCCCAAGTCCTATCTTGGTTCCAAAGTCTTTACCTATCATGCACACCCTTTGAGCTTCTCCCCAGTCCTTGGCCCTTCTTTTCTTTCCCCACCCCTCAACATACCGGCCTCCAGTTTGCCACTCAAACTTGATGAGTGTTCTCCAGCTGCAGGGCCTTGGTACTCCCCATTCCACTTTCTGAAACACATCTCCTTGGGATGGGCTTGCTCCCAGCCTACCTCCAGGCCTCTGCTCAAATGCCATTTTATGCAAAATAGCAACTCCAGTAGCTCATCACATCCATCACACCTGATGCTCTACTCGTGTCTGCAGTCTCCACAATACGTATGCTGCATGAGCACGAGGGCTTTTTGTTGTTGTTGTTGTTCCCAGTGTCCTCAGTGCCTAGAACCAGCCTATAGTAGGCATTCAATTAATTAATTCACAAGAAGGGCCCAAGTTGTACATCTGCTATGAGTCAGCCATACCCCACTGGAAATTCAAAACACAGAGAACCACTCGAAGAGTCTCTCTCTGCTACTTAGAATGTAATTTGCCTCTAATTTCCCTGATAAGTTTTATCATTAAGACTCCCTTAATTTTCACCTCCTTGGAAAGTATTCTGATCTTTATGCATTGGGGGCCTCACGCTATTCTAACACTTTACAAAAGGCATTGCAATCATTTGTTTACATATCTAGTCCTCCCCACCCTTATCCCTATCCTGTGAGTTTCTAGAACACAGGGACTCATTCTTTCTCATCTTTCAATTCACAGTATATAGTGGCTTGCCATATTTTAATATACGGTGTAGTGATACCTTCTAATACGTCCTACAGAAGCTTCCAGTATTCAGGTAACGGAATGAGTCTGGCATTAAACTGTAACATGGAAGATTTTCCCACCACAAAGAGCAGTATCACCAACCAAACCCGTCAGTGTATAAACACACACAGCCTGTGCTGGTATAGCAAACGCTTCTCCATGTTTGAGCAACAAAGAGACACCAGGGGGTAATGTGCAAGTTAATAAGCTGAGAATCAGTCTAAACACATCTGTAGGTAGATATTGGTTCTTTCAGAGTTTATGGTCTTGTTGACCTTGTTTACTTTCCCAGAATAAGTTCTTCAAGACAGTCTTTTTTGTCATTGTTCTGGTTCTCCTTCTCCTCCCACCCCTACACAGACACACACACACACACACACACACACACACACACAACCACATTCATTCTAAATCATTAACTAATGAAAAGCAAAGGTACAGAAAGCAGAGTTATTCATCCTCAGATTAAACTCTTGACTTAAATTAGATGTTTGCTGGGATTTCTCCCTTCTCAATCTCTTCAAGCCTAATTAATAATCAAGAAACCTGGAAGAATCCACAAACACTATGCAAATACAGGCAGGTGAAATCAGTTTGCTCATTGTCAGCACTGGAGAGGAGGACTGCATCCAAACACAATGAATTGGACTCCCTGAAACTGTCCAACTTACAGACTCTAGAGTGTTTCCTTTAAAGGGTTTTGGGCAGGCAGGAAATAAGAATGCTTTTCATTCTATCCACAATACATTAATTTCAAGTTTAAGGAATGAAGCCAGCAGAGAAGCATTCCATGTAATGAACAGACTTGTGCTGTATTATAGAACTGGCTGAATCTGATATACAGTTCATTGCCAATAAGGTTTTCCTTGGATTTTTAAAAACAAATTCCTAGAGAGATTGAGGCTTAGGAAATAAGTACTTGTGAGAATTCATTCTTCCTTCTAAAAAAAAAAAAAACAAAAAAAAACACGATGGAATGTTGATACACATCTGAGCTCATTCTTTTTCTTTTTTTTTTTTTAGACAGAGTCTTGCTCTGTTGCCCAGGCTGGAGTGCAGTGGTGCCATCTCGGCTCACTGCAACCTCCACCTCCTGGGTTCAAGTGATTCTCCTGCCTCAGCCTCCCAAGTAGCTGGGATTACAGGTGTGCACCACCATGTCTGGCTAATTTTTGTATTTTTAGTAGAGACGGGGTTTCACCATGTTGGCCAGGCTGGTCTTGAACTCCTGACCTCAGGTGATCCGCCCACCTCGGCCTCCCAAAGTGCTGGGATTACAGGCGTGAGCCACCGCACCTGGCGCTCATTCCTTTTAAGTAACCATTCCAGGGAAGAGTCAGCTCGTTAATAATGGCCAAAAAACAAAAGAAAAAAAAAACTCTTCACCATGACCAGGTAAATAAGGCTAAAGGTATGTTTCCCTTTATATCTGTACTGCTTTTGAACTTGATCCTCCAACTTTTTTTTCCAGATGTGTACACAAAGATTTCTAAGATCTTGTCAACGACCTTAGTTTCCATCTCAACTATTATTTCTTAAAGCTATGTTTTCACTGACTATTTAAGAAGTTGCTATTCTTAAGTCTCTAGGGAGAAGATGGGAATAAGGCGATAGAACCAACCTCTATTGTTGAGGTTGGGATTTGCAAAAGTTAAATGGCCCCGGGTAATGCTAAACTGTTCAAGCATCAGGAATCAGCACTGAAGCAGGTGCCCAGTGTTCTTCCAATTAAACTATAGGGCAAAACGCTAAACATAATTTTCAGTTTCAAAGGAAGGGTTCTGTGTTATTAAATCCTGACCATGAAGGATGCCTTCCTCTTTTATTGCCAGGCACTGTGCTACTTCAGTAAACACTAAATGATCTTCACTATAGAATCATCAGTGTTAGCTATGAAGGCATCTTTTGTTTTGTTCTAGCCAGTAAATCTTTACCAATCGTAAACAACTAGAAGGACGAAAAAGTAGATTTGGCCAAAATCATAGAAGACCTAGAGGCAAGACTTAAGATTTGGAAATTATAAAAACCCTCTAAAGTAACATTATAGAGCAGGGGAATGAATTGATCTGATCTGGGCCTGTAGAATAGTTCTTGGCAGCAAGACCTATGCAAAAATGAAAACATAACATAGGGTCAAATATGGATACAAGGACCAAAGGCAGTTGTGGATTCAAATCCCAGCTCTGCTGAATACTAGCTGAGTGGCCAAGGGCACATTACCTAAGCCCTAAGTTCCTTCCCTTCCACTTCATAGGACTGTTGTGTTAATAAGATAATTCATTTATCACTGTAACACAGTAGCCAGCATATGGTAAGTGTTCAATAAGTAATAACTTTTATTGTTGCTAATGTAATAAACCAAAAAAGAGAACTGGAAGACTAGAAGAAGATGATGATTCTAGTAGCAAAAGAAGGAAAATGGATACAAGGGGCATTTTTGAGCTCTCCGTTGTAGATTGGTTGCGAAGTATTGAGAATAAATGGAGTATTGAGAATAAACATGCCAAAGAGGTTTGAAAGCTGGTTAATTACAGGACCAGCAATGATAGGTTCCATTTTGAGTGTGTTAGTTTTTACCTAGTCAAAATGAAAGACGCAAGAAAGAGAAATAAGCAATATTTTTCTATGGTTACTGCAAAGGTAGAAAAAATTAAAAGCATAGTTACTGAAAGTTATCCCATCTTTTTTCAAACAGGGTACAGACATCAAGCCACTTCTCTTAGAAAAGGAGTTTCAAGAAAAACTAATGGAATTTAATTAAAAACATTTTTTGAAACATGTAATTTACACTCTTTCATAAAAACAAACACCAGACTATAGATTCATGAATTCAAATCCCATTTCTCCAAATTATAACAGATACTTAAAACAGTTTGCAACTAGAACAGAATATAACCCAATGAAAGGTAGGAAGTATAATAATATAGGTATAAATTTTTAAAATGTCAGATGTCAGCACTGTAAAACAAATTCAAGAGTCTTGCATTTAATTCCAATGCCATTAAATTGGGGGACTACCATCAGGTATTAGGATATTTTTTAAATGGAAAAAAAAATGTGATTACAAATATCAACATCAACCAGGTTATTCTTAAATAATAATACACTAATTCTTCTTTTCAGAGATCCCACAAAAAAAAATGTTTATAATACTCTAAATCTCATGAGTATATAAAAGTAACCCACTACTTTTAGCAAAGCAACAAACCTAGGAAAATTTCTTTCAAACAAAAGCACTTTATCTGGTCATTTGATTTTACTCTTAACATTAAATAAAAAATAAAGAGGGTAGAGTGATTAACCTCCAAAGACAAAACTAATAATTTATTCAAAGTAAATCTCTGCTGTGATATTATTCAGAAGGATTTTATTTATATTAATTTTGTTATTTAGGATGGCCCATGCTGATCAAATATATAATGTCATCTTCATTAAAAATAATTAAGATTCCCTAGGCAGACACTCACACTTGAAATGGGGTTGTGGGGATCTCAATTTTTTATGCCACTGCAAGGTTTTCTAAAACTCATTCATATTTAATTTTTAAGGATGCTTTGCAGCACATTAAATATTTAACAGTCAGAGGGTTTTCAAACCAGAATGCTAAATGTCAACCTATTCCTCCAAAATACTTCTTATTTCATTTGCAGTAAATTAGCTGGACCTCCTTTCAGAAACAGTAAAGAAAAAGGTCTTCAAACTTAACTCATATGAGGATGTTGAGATAATAATATCCATCTCCATAATTAGACCATGCAAGAGATTTGATTCTAAATACCAGGCTTATTAAGAATGGTAAAATTCTCAAGTAGTGCTGCTCACATTATAAATGGAGATAATCTTTCAGAAACTCATCCCCCCACTCCTTTCCAGAATTTATTCTGCATTGTGCAACATACATTAACATGAAGAATGGATGTGAGAAGTCAACATTAGCAGCAGCAGAAACAGTGAGATTCCACAAGCACTGGGCCAGTTAGCAACACAAAATGACAACTGAGAAACATACTCACTGTTGGACCCTAATTTACAAGAGGCCTTAGAAAACACATTTTGATTTTTGTACAAAGCAAGTACTCTAAGATCACAGTACTGGCAATCAGATCAACATCAGTACTTGCTGACCCCTACTACAAAAAATAAAATATAATCTTTTTATAGATTTGTATATTAAGTGCAATATTATCCATGTTAGTAATATCTGCTTTACTTTTAAACAGAGAGAAAGGAAATTGGTTTTAAACTATAATCGTTAGGAAAACAGATGAAGTTATAAACAAAAGGAAGAATATAAAATTTTCAGGAATTTGTGAGACACCAGCCTGCCTCAGGTCAAAATTCACTTCCTCCAGACCCTAAAAACGCAGCAAATGCCATCACACAAAATGATTTCACAACAGGACCGCGTGAGAGCGTGTCCACACTGTTACCGCACAAAATACATATCACAAGACTCCCCGAAGAAACGCCTACTGTCTCACCTAAGGTTGGGAGGATGAAATACAGATGTGCTGTGAGAGCTCACATCAAAGAGAATGTGGTGGCTTCACAATGTTTCAGGACTGAAATGTAAACAGCACTCTTTAGAAATGCCAGCAAGAAGTCACATGGGCCGCACTGAATGATCTGGGGTGTCCTTGATGGATCCCAGCTTCAAGGCAATCAGCACCCCATTTCTTGAAAGCAAGGGGATCTGCAACTGTCCCTGTGCCGCTCCGTGGTCCTGCACTTGCACTCATCCATTTTACGCCATAGTAAGAATCAAGTTATTTTTCTGGACAATTTTACCAGATGCCCTTAAAAAGCAATGCTGTCTTTAACTCCCTATATTCTCTCTCTACTCAAGAGAAGAAATCAGGTAGGATCTACTGACTCCGAACTGCTCGCTACAGATCAAACGTATACTAAGCGTCTGGAACCATTACACCAAGGAAATCTTTCATGACCCTCTGGCTAGATGGCTCACATGGTTTTCCTTTCCCTAGAGGAATAAATGGTTTTGCGAAAGAATCGCAGTAATAAATTGAGGCCTATACTCTACCACTCAGTGACAAAAACCAAACCAGAGGTGGGTGGAGAAGAGGAAAGAAGGAAAGGAAGATGGAAGAAATGACCCCAGCAAGAGCTGAGACTCTCATACGGCAGGGCGCCAGACGCCTAGAAGGAAAAGTACAGGTTTCTGACTTACAGGGAAAAAAATAAATAAATCTGCAGAGTTTTCTGCGTTAGCAGGAATGGGAAATTGCTTCATTTCATCAATTTTGAAATTTTAACTTAATTGCTTCTTTCCCTGACATGCTCTCCTCACCCCCCTCCTCAAGTCTTTTTAAACCTGAGAGTCTAAAAGAAACCCTGTTATGGAGCAATCAGCCCTCTCAGGACTTTTCACAGATTCCAAAACAAGTCATAGCAGGCTGGAACCTTTTCTTCCGGGAATAACGTTGTTATTCTTATTACCCATTTTTGTTTGTCTCTTTCTCAAATGGCTTTAAAAAAAAAGGCACTTGCAGTCCTAATGGCCCCACAGATTTGGGTAGACATGAATCATTTTTTAGACAGTTTTCACTGTTAAAAGATGAATGAAAAAGAAAGGGCCACAGAGAAGAGAAACCATCCATAACTTAGAATCTTGCTTGCACCTTAACTGTGGCTCAGGAATCCATATCTCATAGAAAACCTTTAAAAAAGACAGCTTACACAGTCATATTTGATAGGTGGACACCATTGCAATTACACCTACTTTACCAACCAACACACGGGCTCTGAGGGGCTGTGGCTTGTCCAAAAGGGGTTGAGCTCAAACTCACCATCATCTGACCCTAAATCCCAGGAAGCTGACACGGTTCACAAATCAAATAAAGCAATGCTGGCATAGATTTTTATTTGGCCCTAATAGTAGCACTTAATATGGATTCAATTCTTTCCAGGTCCTGGATCATCTGTCCATTTAAAAGCAATAATAATTTTTAAAGTAAGCACACACCCAGAACAAAAACAGAAAAATTGTTGCTTACATTCCTAAGAATTTCATAACCACATGAAAATTGTGTAGGCAGTGTGTTCTTCCTCACCTACAGTTTTCTGGGAGAGCAATAAAGTTAGCAATCCTTCATAGGCAGGCTGAAGAATGCAATGTTGCCATTACCTAAAGAAAATGTTGCCCTTACCTGAAGTGTCTATAGAGAAATCTAACCAGTTAAGGCCATTGCACCTGTGGAATCAATTAGGTGGAGATGACCTTTATATTTACGAAAATACTGAAATGCCACCCAGTCCCCTTAATGTCTGACCTACATCTAAAACTGAACATGAGAAATAATTCTAAAGATGTAAGTACTGCAGGTTACTGTATTTGATCATCAGTAATACAGTGTGGGAGGAAAGAAGCCAGGATAAGAAGTGGGCTGCCTTGAGAACCAGCATGTCAAAACTGGATAAGATTTTTCAGAGCATCTAATATGAACTGCTCATCTTACCGGGGAGGAAAAGAATGTCTGATAGGTTATTTTTCAAATCGGGTAAATATCAAGTTGACATTTTTTGAGTATGTATTAATCATTGAGAAATTCTTTTGCAACTTCTGTCATTTTAAACCCTTGGAGGATCACATTTTTATTTCCTGTCTCTGATCTTGAGTACTAATTTCTCAATGTCATTCTTGGCAAGATACCTAATACCAAACTTTTCTTGTCCAGATTTCTAGGAGCTTCAGAAGAATTATAATATAAAGCAGAATACAAACAATATTATAATATTTTAATATGCTAATAAATATTAGAAGCAAAGAGAAATGAGTGGGAAAATATTCACAGAGATGGTCCACTGGTGGTATTATGGAAGTACTGGATATGGAGGTACAAAGAAATAGTTAAGGCTCTTCAAACACACCAAGTTCAAAGCTCGGCTCTCTACTCACTAGCAATGCAACCTTGGGCTAGTGACTTGGCCACTCTTACTCAGTTTCCTCATCTGAAAATGGAAATGAGTCTCTCATACATGGGAGTGCTATATTAAGGGAGGAAAAAAAGCAATATTCGGAAAGCAGTAAGGAAAGGGCCAGAAATATAGTGAGCACACTAAAGCTATCATCATCTTCATCATCATCATCATGTGTCTTTGCTTCCAGAGTTATTTTTGTAACTTAAAAACATTTCAAGGATACATTTGCTTTTTCTAATTCTGCCACTCAATTATTCTTGCAATCAAAAAGTCATCTCTGGAACCATCCTTTTCTAGAACTTCTCTTTGGATTTTGGTAATGAAATACTTTTGTCATTACCCTCGCAAATTCAGTGAGGTAGATAGGCAAATATAGTGTACCTGAAAGTATTTTTATACAGTTAAGTGCTACATATTACATTATTCCTATATCCCTGGTTAGGAAAACTGAGGCACAGAACAGGCCACTAATGTGGGTAATGTCACACAGTCAAGAGTTAAAAACCCAGTAAGTGGTGCTATTTGATCCTGAACTGTGTTTCACAAAAGCAGACATGGAGCCAACACACTACAATGGGCTCACTTCTGGAAAAAGATGAAAAATTGTCCTATATACAAATTATTCATACAGTAATCAATATTCATTCACATACTTGCTTGTCATTATTTAAAATATTAAAATAATCCAGAGGTACTCAAAGCTGCTCCTCCTTTTATCTAAAGCAGCACAAATAGTTTCATTGAAAGCACATAAAAACAAAAACAAAAGAGTCAGCAAAACCTTTACAAGCCTATTCAGAGCCTGGCACCATTTACATCACAAAGTTTAACCATTACGGGAAGTTGGAATGCTCACGTTTCATTACTAGTAGAACCAAGAATAAAGCATAGAATAATTTCCAGATGGTGTCTCTTTTTTTTTTGTACAGATTTTTCAATTTAACATTGTTCTGAAAGCTTTAGTCACCTGAATACAGAGCTATAACAATTCTATGCAAGAATCTTGTTCTTGGATAAATAAAGACTCATCTACTCCATTTACTGAGGTCCATAGCCATTAGAAAAAGGAAGCAAGAAAGAATAAAGCATGTGAAAGTCTCTTCTACAAACAGCACAATCATTGGAAAAGAATATCGTTCGACCCCAAGTGAGCAGATTCTCCACAGACTATTTCTGACTTTTTCTAGTTATCAGCTTTATACATTTTATATGTCAACTTACATTTTAAAAAGTACAAAGATTTACAGAATCACAGGCTTAAAAAGCTTCAGAAAAAGACTCACATAACCCTGCAACCAAGGGCATGGCTGATTAACATCAATAACACATGAAGGAAAAACGGCACTGTGAGCCACAGGTTTATTCTGTCAGGGCTCTAGCAAGCCTCAGATGGATCCAGCCTCCTAAAAGTGTTTGTTCCAGGAACTGTTTGTTCACAGGTCTGTCAAAATGCTCCTCCAGACCTAGATAGCACAAGCATCCAAACTCAGAAAGACTCACTTTTATGTAAAGCAAAGCCAGCTCCAAATGGAGATGCCACTCAAATGCCTCAATGCTATATTAAAAACAACCCCCTAGAAAACTTATTTTTTAACTATGGAAAACCTATAAAAGAAGACAAAACAGTATAATAAACCCCCACATACCCATTACCTAGTTTCAGTAATTTCCAACTCATAGTCAATCTTGTTCATCTATATGCTCACTTTCCCCAACCTAGATTATTTCTGAATAAAATGAAAGATACCATATTGTGTCATCTACAATTAGTCTGCATAAAACTCTGAAAGATAAGGACTCTTTGTAAAATAAAAGTAACAATACCATTGTCACACTAATAGCAATTCCAGAATTTCACCAAATACCCAGTCAGGTTCAAATTCTGCTCTACTGGGGAAGATGGAGGCAGCAGTAAACAGAAGGGAAGGCCATCATGGCTACTTATGCTTTTGTTTTAAAACTGTGCCAGCACTTATGACACAGTATGGTCTACTTCCCTGGACTCAAATCATTCCAAACATTACTGAGGATCTTTTCTTTCTCTTGCAGCCAAGATGCAATGTTCTTTCACCTGGAAGGGATACCACACCAGAATAAAATACAGGAAGCCATTTTTCTCACTGGGATTTTCATCATTAGGATTTTCCTAAATTCATGATTAGGAGGAAACTATTAAATGAATCCAAATCTACTAAATTTTGCCTATGCCTCAAGGACTTTTTTTTTAAGTTTCTTTTGAAAAAATTTCAGACTTACAAGTTGCAAAAATAATAAAGTGAGTTTCCCTGTATCCTTCAACCACCTTCCCCCATTGATAACATCTTACATAACAGAACTTTAGGAACTTGCTCCGACCAGGGCTCATGCCTGTAATCCCAACACTTTGGGAGGCTGAAGCGGGCAGGCGGATCACTTGAGGTCAGGAGTTGAAGCCTGGCTAACATGGTAAAATCCCATCTCTACTAAAAATACAAAATTTAGCCGGTCGTGGTTGCATGTGCCTGTAATCCCAGCTACTCGGGAGGCTGAGGCAGGAGAATTGCTTGAACCCAGGAGGCAGAGGTTGCAGTGAGCCGAGATCATGCCACTGCACTCTAGTCTGGGAGACACAGCGAGCTTCATCTCAAAAAAACAAAAAAAAAATGTGGGGGTTGAGAGGAAAAGAAAAGAACTTGTTTCAACCCATACATCTATGGCCATCTATGGTCTTGAAGGGTGCCAAAACCATTCAGTGGGGAAAGAAGAGTCTTCTCAAAAGATAGTGCTGGGACAATTGGATATCCACATGTAAAAGAATAAAGTTGGACCCTTACAACATATGTAAAAATTAACTCAAAATGGATCAAATATCTCAATGTAAGAACTAAATCTATAAAAGTTTTAGAAGAAATCACAGGGACAATCTTCATGGCCTTGGATTTGGCCAATGATTCTTAAACATGGCACAAATAACATGAGAAACAAAGGAAAAATAAACTTTGTCGAAATTAAAAACTTTTGTGCATCAAAGGATGCCATCAAGAAATTAAAAAGATGACCCATAGAATGGGAGAAAATATTTGCAAATCATATATCTGATGAGACTTGTATCTAGACTATATAAAGCATCTTTACAACTCAATAAAAAGATAATTTAAAAATAGGCAAAGAATCTGAATAGACATTTTTCCAGGGAAGATACACAAATGATTAAACTGTTACCATATGAACCAGCAATACCACTCAAAAACATATACCCAAGAGAAATGAAAATGTATATCTATATCAAAACTTCTACACAAACACTTACAGCAGCATTATTCATAATAGCCAAAAGGTGGAAACAATCCAATGTCCATTAGCTGAAGAATAAACAAAATACAGTATATCTATACAATAGAATAGTATTGTCATGAATAAGAATCAAGTAATGATATGTGTCACAGCCTGTAAAAAGCTTGAAGATATTAAACTAAGTGAAAGAAGTCAGTCACAAAAGACCACATATTATATATGTTACATGGCACAGCAACTTTCAGAAAGTTAATTCAGATAATTCAGAGATTATCCAATGGGCCTAAACTAATTACATGAACCTTTTAAAAGCAGAGTTTTCTTTGGCCAGGGCCAGAGGGGATCAAAGACATACTCTAGCTGGCCCACAAGCAAACACCACACATGTTGTGAGCCGTCTATGGTAGCCACAGGGCAAGACACAAAATAGCCTCCATGAGCTTAGTGCAACCCCCAGATGACAGCTAGGAGGGAAACTGAGACCTCTGCCCTACGACAGCAAGGACATGAATCTTATCTACAACCAGTGAGCCTGGAAGAAGACTCCAAGCCCACAAGGGAACTGAAGTACCAGCTGCCATCTTGATTTCAGTCCAGTGAGACCCTGAGCAGAGAACCTAGCCCAGAGTTCTACCCTAAAGAAACTGGGATAGAATAAATTTGTGGTGTTTTAAGCCACTGAGTTTGTGGTAAGTTGTTATGCAGCAATAGGACTAATAGGAAAGCCTTACCTGCAGAGATAAACCTACCTGTAGAGATAAACCTAGGTTTAGATAAAGATTCCCACTGCATGTCTCAGTTTTCTCATCTATGAAATGGAGCCAAGTCTCTATTTCACACAGTTGATTAGAGGGGGAGTAGAGACAATGTACAGAAAGGACTGCACACATGCTACGTGCTCAGTAAATGGTAACTAATATGTTTTCCCACCCAGTGACAAGACATGGTTCCGAGTATGTGGAAGTTAATCAGTGCTTTTTAAGCAAAAGAATCCTTACAAATCATTTCAAAGTCTACTCCTACAGCGTGACATTAGTAACAGTGGTTTCCACAGTGGGGTTCCAAAGGCAATGTTAGGATGCCTAATTAACTTAACAATAATTCAGTATAGGTAATGAGATATTGCATGTGAGTTAATTAGTTTAAACTACAACTCAAATGTGGTTGGCATTATATTCAGGAATGCACTCTAGGGGTAGGCAGGTCGTGTTCTAAGCATGAAGCCCATACTCCAGAAAGACACACTGCAAATATTTCCACCATCCATGTTCATTAACACCAGGCCCTTTGCCAATTAGCAAAGTGAATGTCAGAGGTGGATTTGTGTGGGTGTGTGAGACGAATGGCTTCTTTGCTAGCAATATAAATGTGAGAAATGGGCCATCCCTGGTAAACTTAAACATATATTCAAATTATGAGAATTGGCCAAAATATTCTAGAAATACCTCTACCCTTGTATGAATAAGAGTGTAGCCTTGATAGGCTTGTCCCCTAAGTGGACATGAGTCCGGCACAGTTGGAGGACTTCCAGTTGCTTGATGCTGACTATTAAAGATAACAGAACTCTCCTCTGGAATGTTGTAATGTCTACAAGTACAGCTTTCATGCAAAGTGGTGAGCAGAACAACTAAAAGAAGACAGCTGGGACTTTATCAAGCATAGAGAGTAATGTTGCAGAAATATTTTGTGCCTACTGGCTGATATACGGCTGTTAATCAACGTCTGTATGTGCAGCAGAATGTCTCAGACTTGCACTAGCTATAAGTAGGTGGCAAGGTTGTGGGATAGTAGCAAAACCTCTCACCTCAAATAATCTGGCAGCTATCAAAATTCACCAGAAAAAAGCACCTAGGAGTTGTGTATAACCGAACTGGCTTAGATCAGCTTACAACAGGTGGTAATGACCGAGAGCTGTTTGCAATATTTTATTTTTTAAAAGAAAAAAACTCAAAATGTGCTCGTCATAAGACTAACTAAAACATCAAGTTTTTTGGCTTGAGCCAGGAATTACACCAGCTTAGTAACTCTGGTTAACTCTGGTGAACTAGAACTGCTCAGAGGATCTGATTGATAGTTAATGGGCAGTCACTGGTAATGCTTTTCTTTTTATTTTTTTTGCTGGAAGGAAAAAAGTTAATTCAGACTTACCAGATAGTTTGGTAGGTATTTTTTACATTATTAGAATAAAATCAGTTCCCTATTACTAAGTCAGTCAATCTTTTCACTTTAGAGACAAGGAAACTGAGGCCTGGGACAGATCAATAATTTTTCTATGGTACTCCTTTCAGAAATCAGACCTCCTTATGGTATCTGTTGTGCCTCTCCCTTGCAGCAGTCCTGGGCTGTGCCTCAATCGAAAGGCTCCACTACCTCAACCTGCTGGGTCCAAGCCAGATCATTTAGCATCTGGAATTTTCCCACATTTCCATTGCTGGAGGCAAAAAGTTTATCAGTCAGGCCCAAGAAGCTATTACTGTCTCCCAGAGATTTTTGAGCAAATTCTTCCTTGAAGTCTTTGTTATCAAATGGGTAACAAGGGGTTAATGAGATTAAAAACAAAACCCAGGTCCTGCTAATGAGTAACCCCTCAATTGTAAAGCTTTCACTCAGTTAAATGGTACCTATCTCTAAAATTACCTCAAATAATTAACATAATGAGGAAGGGAAATTCAAGGTATTGTGAGGGACACAAAGATATTGATAGAACCACTAAGGTTGGAAGGCACAAGCTAAGGAGTCACTAAGCCCTTATCTATGGGGTTCTAGAACACAATAGGTTGTAAATAGCCTGACAGAAAGACAAAGGCTCCAACTCCCAGGGAATAAGGCAGCAGGAAAATACCCACACTAGGCATGCTGATGTTATCCAGAAAAGGCTAAACAAGGACTGTCCCATCCTCTTTCCCTTCTCAAGCAATAACTTCACCAGAAAAGTGATTCCCATCATTTGGAGTCACAAAACTAGCCATCTATATACCTTACTTTCTTCCTATCCCATGAGGCACAAAGAAACTCCAGCTTAGACATGGCACAATCACACAACTACTTTGACAGAGCTGGGCATGGACCTTGATCCTCTGACTCCACCAATCCATGTGATTCTGTGTTAAATTTTGCATCTTAGACCTGCTTCCATTTTCTCTACCATTCCCTGATATTGCCATATTCCTGTACATGCACTAAAAAAACAGATTTCCAATTAACTTGATTGAGAATAATAGGACATAAATGAGATAATGGAAGACCATCTTGAATGTTGAAAGCCAGGGCTTAAAATCTAGATGATGGGTTGATAGGTGCAGCAAACCACCATGGCACATGTATACCTATGTAATGAACCTGTACATTCTGCACATGTATCCCGGAACTTAAAGTGAAAAAAAAAAAAGTCATTGATTTTCACTGGAGAAGTAGCACAGAAATGTTTTCCATCCCCATGTGTGCTGAGAGTATGTCCGCTGCTATTATCTTAGAGGAAAGAAGTTAAGCACAGGTCATGAGCTGACAAATTACTACACTTAAGCTCTTCCCCCTGCTCCATAATGGATCCCTCTCACCGTAAGGAGATACAAACATTTAGAAAACACTAAACCAAACCAACACCTCCCAGGATCCTCTACAAAGGTTTCCTGGTTCAGTAAGGGAAGCCTGGAAGAGATCAAGTCATGTTCAAAGAGGATCACAAGCTGTGCTACCACAGGATTCTACTTTCTTTCCCTCTTAAGATCTAATCATTTCCTTTGTTTCCCAAGGAATACAACCATTACAGCCACAGGACTGCCAAGTTCAATCAATGACATAGAGTAGGCAGGGCAGCTACCCTGGGGTGGTGGAATATACTTTTCAAGTGTAAAAGGTTAAGCTAATAGGAGAAAGAAGAGTAATCGGGTAAAGGTGCTACACTGTCCAGGTCCCTCCTCCTGAGGAGAAGCTCATGGTGATAATGATCACAATTTTAATCTAAAGTCAATCACGTCATTCCTCAGCTCAAGATTCCCCACAGGTTCCCCTTACCCTTACAATGGCCTTTAAAGCCCTAGTGATGCTCTTACTGTCTTCCTGCCCCATCAGCCTCCTTGCTCTTCATCCCACTGGGCCAAGCTCTGCCCAGAGAATCCACATGGCATACTCCTTTGTCTCCCCTTGAGTTCTTGCTCAATTATCATTTTCTCAATGAGGCCTCCAGTGACTACTTTATTTCATTGCAACCCCACAGCTCCCTGCCAACTCTCCCCTGTCCCACACTCACTTAATTCTCCTTTATTTCTTTTTTATTGAATAGTACTAGCCATTCTCCAACATATGATATCATTTATTTCCCAGTATTCATGATGTCTATTGTCTAGCTCTCCCCAATGGAATGCAATTGGAATGTAACCTCCATGCAGAAATGGATTTTTGTCTGTTTTGATCACTGATGAATTAGTAGAACTAAAAGCACATAGTATACACTGAAAAAATATTTGCAGATCACTTCTTGGCCTTTTGGCTAGGATCAAATGTAATGAATAATATTTGTTGAATAAACGAGATGTCACTTATTCACTAACAATAACAGCAGCTAGCATTCAGTACCTACTATGTCTCACACATATAACAAGTGCTTTCCCCGCTTCATGTCATCACAAGCCCATGAAATAGGTACTAACAGCATCCCCAATTTACATGACAAAACTGAGGCTTAAATGACTTGCACAAGATCACATTGCTAGTAAGTGGAGAAGTCAGAATGAAAACCCAAGTCTGTCTGACTCCAGTTAATTGCAATGCTGAATTTCCCACTCCAGCTCTGCTAGACAAGTTTTGCAATTTTGTTTACTAGGAGGAACAGTTTAAAATACAAGAAAGAATTGCTCCAGCAAATTCAGAGACAAGTCTCCAGAAAAAAATTTCCCTAGAAATGTTTCTATATTATAGAATATGCTTTATGGTATAGTAGAAAGAACAATAATAAGAAGATAAAAACCTGGGTTCAGATTCAGACTCTTCCCCCTAACCAGCTCTGAGGTCAATGTGTGAGTAATAAGCTAAACCAAGAGATAATGATGCCTATCGTGCAAGACTGTTTTAAGGATTAAATGAGATAATATTCATGAAAATGCATAATCGAGTCTGGCTCATCATTTGGTCATTCCTTTTTTCCAACGTGACAGCCTCACTGACAGAATCTCATAAATGAGTAAACATTTACTAAGTACCTAGCGTGTGCCAGGCATTATGCCGGGTGTTTTGTTTATGAACACCGTAAGCTGGTCTGTTAGGCAGTACGACAGGTTCCAAGTCTAGAGATGAGGCAGATCAGCAAAACAGCTGTTCTAGAACCACATGAGAAATGCTACTGCAAGTTATGTACTGAACATCATAGGATGCAATGCTAACATTAAATGCTGAAATTGCTTGCTTTGGCTAAAATGAGAATGGAGAGATAGCGATAATTGATTGCAGAATCACCAGGAGAAAAAAGAAAATGTTAAACGGACAGGTATATTTAGAATTAGGACTGCATTGCTGAAGAAGAACCCATGTTACTTTGTCCTTAACTTAAAACTAATTTGAAAATGTTGCATGTTGGTCTAGTTTATGTGCTACTTATCAAGAAAAAGACTACTTGAATATACAAATATTTTTTTCAGATATTTGCAACCTATATATGAAAATCCTATTAACAATCTCTTCTACCACTTCCTTTCCAAACTATGAAACATGCCCTGAATTCCAAAAAATGAAAGTATCTGATAATCTCAAGTTTTATACATGCTTCAAGTTTAGGAAGTAGAGCTAGGCAAAAGAAGGAGTCAAGTCAATGCCCTTCCCAATTTTTAAAATTAATACCAAGAGTTGAAACCATGAATCCCAGCCACCTTTCTATAATCGTAGAAAGATTAGCATGTTAGTTTAATTTCTGCACACCACTTCAGACCACCTGCATCCCCAAATAGTGTCAGATAACAGGCCTTTCTTCATACATTAATTTTACATTACCCTCTCTCCCAGGCAGCTAGGGAGCTAACAAGCAGTCCCTGTGGCTCAATCTGAACAGAACTGGCATGCATTCAGGCAGCACAACTACAGCTGTTGCATAATAGCATTTCTCATGTGAGGAAGCCATATCAACACAAATACTAATAGTCAAAATGATTTAAGAAGGGAAAAAATGCTTTGAGATACTTTGAATTTGCAAGGATAGGAATTCATTTTCATTATTAATTGCATATGCTTATATTCTAAAGAACCTGAACAAATGTCACACCAATCATACTGGAAACATCTGAGTTGAGGAGGCTCTTAGGGTAATTTAAATTCAGTCTCTTGCACAAAGTAGTAGGGTTTGTATTATTTCTTGTCTGTTTTTGTCATAACCTGAACATAACTTCCATAGCTCCCCAATTGTGTTTTCCAAAGGACACTCCAAAGCAATTATTTTTTGTAAGTATCTGGTTCAATTAAAATTAGTAGAAATTGTTAAATAGTTAGTATTAATGGGGATTCGGGATTTGCTGGAAGGAAAATCTAAGAATTAATACCATTTGGATTAATCTAGATCCAAAATTTTCACTTTTCTATGCCATAAGCATATACATTTATTTCTCTGTATTTTCCTCCTAAATAATCCAATACTGTATGCAGTATGACCAAAATCACATGGATGGCAGCATACCAATGAAGAGATTTAGAGATTACACATAGTCAAGATGTCTCCATTATGACCAAGGGGGCAAATATGAGCTCCGGAACCTAGGAACCAGTCAACTTTGCTTCTTTCTCAGCATATTATAGAATAGGTTATTTAATTGTAATTACTAAAAACAAATTTGGATTCTGTAAGAACAAATCAGGCCAAATTATGCCACTTAATTTAATATACAGGTAGAAATTATAAGAATTAATACATATCTTATTTTCACCAAGGCATTTGACAAAGTACTGCATGTTCCATTCTTGAGAACAAGAAGGCACACTGAGTTAGACTGTCAGACTTGGAACTTTGACACCATCATAAAAAGCTAAACTACTGCTGGAGACTAAAAAGAATATAAATAGGAGTTATCACATAGCTTTGCTGCTGTGGTAAATACCAATGATCCTATGGTCAACTATGCATCTAGCTCAGCTGCCTACAACTGCATTCCTCCCCCACTGCCCAGTTCAGTTTTTCAAAACCTAGAAGTGAAACCTAGGAATTCCTTTGTTACAATGTTAAAGCTAGAAGACTTTTATATCGAGCTACAAAAAAGAAAACTCACAGTCAAGCTGGCAAGAGTCCTTTTTAACTAGATAGCCATATGGACACCTCTTGAAAAGAGCCATATGGTTAGACTTGTTATTTTTGGCCTCTTTAACTCCCTTCTTGTATATAGAGGCCTCCAGTTATTACCAACAAGTGATAAATCACTCTGAATTTCCAAGGCCACAAAAAGCATTCACTGGCAATCATTCCAGGTTTCACTTTTAGCTGAAGACCCTGGAGAATTCTTAACTGGGGGATGTTCACAGTTTCCAAAACGTTATTTTACTTAGAGCAACACTTCAGATCTAAACTTTATCTTGATAGCTAAGGTTCAAACAGAGAAAGTAAAACACGGATGGAAATGAATTGTATAAAGTATGAAGGAACATACCAATTTAACTTTTCCTCCAATTGTTTTTTAAGAGACAGGATGAGAGAAGTGTCCCTCCTAAAAAGATTATCTGGAACAGAAACCGCAAACTGGCAACCTAATTTAACCTGCATAGGTGTTTTGTTTGACTCACACATGTTGTTGTTTTAAATTGAGCTAATGTTTAAAATTCAGGAAATTTTACATCTTATAAAAATCTGGATTTCCAACATCTTTAGAAAAACTAGCAGATCTGGCATCCCCAGACTAACATTCCTGCTGCCAACAAGTGGCTTCCATTGAACAGCAACTGTTTCTTTTAGGTGGCTCCTACCATCTCCAGCTGTGTCACAGGCATTCAAGGCCTACTTTACTCATTTCCATTTTCTGACTGCCAGCCCATTAAAAAACTAGAAAGTAAGCACTCTTTCCTTTGAGTCCTTTTCATGGCTACCATTCCTGGCAAGATGCAACTCAAATGTCAAATGCCTTGTGTTTGAAATATCTCCTGAATCTTACAGATTTATCAAATTCTACCTGTATCACTTCCACCCACCATAGCTGCTGGGAAGCAAGGATGCCCTTATACATGATTACTTCCTCCTTTTCTCCATGGCATTCGCACAGTGCTTTACATAAAGCAGATATTTAATAAAATATCTAGTAGTTATCTTATAGCTCTATGGCTTACAGCAGCCTTTCAACATAAAACAGTGTTTCACCTTAGAACAGTATTTCTCAATTGGGGAAGATTTAGCCCCCCAGGGGACACTTGACATTTTTGATTGTCACAGCTTGGAGGAAGTTACTGCTGGTGTCTAATGGGTAGAGGCCAGAGAGGTTGTTAAACATCCTAAAATGCACAGGACAGCCCCCTCCCCTGCCATCGTCACATGTCATTTGTGTTAAGGTTGGGAAAACCTGACTTAGAATGACCCAGATGAACACAGAAATATTGCTGTAAATTTGCAGATGGATAATCTTGGGCTAGAAATTAATGTGGTTTACTCAAGGTAACCCAGCTTGCAACAGAATAAAGATTTGGACTCTGGTGGCAGGCTGTCAGAATGTGACAATAGAAATGGAGAATGGAAAAACAGAACAAGGATGGAAATTTGTGCCTCTGTTTGGCATGAACTTGTGTGAAAATATCCAGAGGTCAGAGATTAACATCCACTAATATAAAGTATATCTTACCTGATAATGAAAGAGTCCAGAAGTCACTTAAATGGTGGCAGAAAAAACTTAACCACATATCAAACTTACATGCATATACTGAAAAACCAAGTTCTACCCCGCCAAAAGATTTTTTGTATCAGCTATTCAAAACAACTACATGAAGTTACAACTAATCCATGTGCTGATGAGCAGAGAATACAAATGACTGAAATAACAGTTTCAAATGAAAATTCCTCTTTAGGAGAAAGAAAAGAGGAAGGTACAGCAACTTGAAGAGTGGAAATGTTGAATTTAGCCCGAAATTGGCAGGGGTGTGTGTGTCTGTCCCTAGCCACACCTGCAGACTGTTATTTTGTCTTAGTTACTCCAGTTGGCCTGCAGTAGCCTCTCTCCATTCAAAGTAAAGGAGGAACAGCAGGAAGTGTTAAAAGGGGAAGAGCAGAAGTTGAATCATTTGCCCTTGAACTCCAGAGGGCTTCTGCTTTTTTTTTTTTTTTTTTTTTTTTTTGAGACACAGTCTCACTGTGTCACCGAGGCTGGAGTGCAGTGGTGCAATCTCAGCTCACTGCAACCTCTGCCTCCTGGGTTCAAGCCATTCTTGTGACTCAGCCTCCCAAGTAGCTGGAATTACAGGTGTGCACCACCATGACCAGCTAATTTTTCTATTTTTTGTAGAGACAGGGTTTCACCATGTTGGCTAGGCTAGTATCAAACTCCTGACCTCAGGTGATCCACCCGCCTTGGCCTTCCAAAGTGCTGGGATTACGGGCTTGAGCCACCATGCCCAGCCCTGCTTGCTTTTTCTGTGACCATCAGGCAGGTGCCTCAGTTTCTAAGATCTAGAAAGTGTGAATAATAATTTCTACCTCATAGAGTTATGGAAAATAATAACAATCAGTAACTTTATATATAAAACCTTATTAAAAAGTCTTACTATACATGCCAGTGACTATGCCAAATGCTTTATCTCATCTGACTCTCAAATCAACACTGTGAGATGGCCACCATGTTCAGATGAGAAAAGGACACAGCTGATAAGCTGAGAAAGCCCATTTCAAGTTCAAAGGAAGGCAACTGTAGTTCAAAGGAAGGCAATTGTATTCTAGAGCTGGGGTTCATAACCACTTTGCTGTCTAGCTTTCCCAACTCAAAGTGCTAATTATTGCTTTGTAAACTTGGAGCCAAAGGAAATCCTGGGGTTCATAGGGAATAATTTCCTCGTGGCCAGAGCTAAATACAGATGGAACAGATTGTCTTCTGCAGTAAGACACTCCCCATCATTGTAGCGGGAAGCGGCTGGGTGACCACTTGGAGATGTTGGAGAGAGAGATGAGCTGGAGAGGGTGGTGAGCTCTACTTCTCTAAGGTCCATTCTAATCTTGCAATTTTATGATTCTTTGTCTGAACTCTAGATTTCTAATAACCTCTCTCTGGAACCTGATGGTTGTTTATTTTCCTAGGCAATTCCTACTCCTTTCTCTGGTCTTTCTTCCACTTCTTTATTTTCTCATGATCCTAGCATGCTATAATGGAAAGAACCAGGGATTTGAAATATAAAAGCCCTGGATGTGAATGTTCAATCACCCTTATAACAGTTAATTGATACTTGACAAGGTACTAAGACTTCCTCTCGTGAGGATTTCCTCATCTATAAAATAAGAGGAAGTAACATCAAATAAGGAAAAAAACAGATTAAAGTACAGTGCCTGCTCTACAGCAGAAGTACGATTAGTCTCCTTCATTTGCAAACCTACTACATACCGTACTCCATCTGCTTTAATGTCCTATACCTGTAGAGATCTTAGGTACACTAAAAATAAGCACAGTCCAAAATATCTATGATCTAAAAGGCGTTTTACCTGCCACATAGATATCAGCAAAAGGAAAATGGATTCTCCACTACAAGGACCAGAACCATTACCAAATCCAGTGGCCTTTGACACTCTAAATTCCAATGTACCCACAGCCATATTAATCCCATAGATATTCCCCTCATTACAACCTCCAGGAATAACAATTATACATGCATTGAACTTTCAAGGACCCACAGCACTCCAATATGCAACATCTTATTTAAATCATACCACAATCTTGCAAGAGATTTACAGGAGCACTTGGCATTGTCTGCATGTATCTGAATCTTTGTCCCAGTGACCCAATCTCTCTGGCAATTTCTGGTTTTGGCAATTTAAAAATTGTGCAAAACTGAATAATGACCACCAGAACAACAAAATAAAAGACAGAAATGAACTTAATCAGAAAAAAGAAAGAGTTATTAGAAAGACACTAGAAACACAACAAGAGGCAGAAACTTAGTGGTTAGGTAGTTGAGAACATTGCCCAGGAGATTAAGCTACCTAAACAACCTTGCTGAAAGGCGACTGTGAATACCTGGCTGTTCCGTCGTCACTGGACCCTCTTTTTTTCTCCATAACCTTAAAATTATTGACTGTCCCATTTCTATTGCTGCCTAATGCTCAAAGTCCCAGGTAACAGTCCTTAATGGCCTAGTGTATGTAACACACATACTGCCCCAGCTGCCACGGCAGGAGAGAGGATCACTTGCCTTCCCCTGTAGCTCCCATTGGCTCCTAGAGCTGAAAGGGTGCAAAGATGCAAGTCAGCTGAAACAGCAATAAATGTCCAAAACTTCACTGAATCTTCATCTTAATGCTGTTGGAGCAACTCTACTTTACCTCCGCATCCCTTTTTTGTGACAAGAGAAGATACTGATTTGCTCAGGTTCACGCAGCTGGTCACGTACCAGCACTGAGAATTCACCTGAGGCTCCTGGCTCTTGACTCCCATTAAAATTTTCCTTAAAAAGCAGTTTTAACTAGCACTCTAAGTCATCCTAAATGTAGGTTTTATATGAATGTTGTAATATCTCTTCACTATTCTATCATAAATGTGAAATGTATGTATGTGGGGCATGTTCTATCTGGGTTGCCAGTTTTTCAGCATTTAAAAAATATGTTTTTCTGAAAGGTATTATTTCTTCCAAATCCTAAACTGAAAAATCTTAACAGTAATCGTGCAAGACAAAATACATCTAGGAGTATTCGTTTGAGAATCATTGTCTCTGCTATGTCTTAAATAAATCTCTCCTATTGTTAATAAACTGAGAAGGGATGCAAATGTCACAATATTAAAATAGGTATCTAGATTAGGTTTTGAAAAAATATCATAAAATCTACTTCACAGTCTTAATTTTGCATTTATATATAATGTTGTAGTGTTTTCCTTCTATCCTTGGAGATTTAACAAAACTTCCCTACTTTAAAAAGCACCCTAGGGCTGATTTCATGGTCAAAGAAAAATAAAGACTTATAAAATTACTGAATAACTTGAGTGTTTTACCCTGAGATCCTTTTCCTTCCTACCATTTTTTTAAGCCAAGAAAGACAAATGAACTAAAGCTGTTCATCTTTAGTTGATTCAAATACACCTTTTTAATAACAAGTGGCTGAAGCCAAAGAAAGGATTAAAGATGGTGCTCTTTCATCAATTCCTTATTATGGCCTGGGATTTACTTTGCAATTAGTCCCTCCTGGGCAGAGCTGAGGCCCAGTGAACTTGTTATTAACAAGTCTGGAGATCTCTAAAAAATGAAAACTCCACACTTGCTACAAGGGGCGGGTAACACAGGCATGAAAGATGCCAAGGTAGAGGGAGTTATAGAGCCTTTTGCTAATGACAGTTCAAAGAGATGAGCAGCCCCAACCCTCACAAATAAAAGCAGAGAGCATTTTTCATCCATACTCATAGTTAGGAACAAGCTAACAGAGAAAAAAAGAGAGTATGAACTTCATTAAATTTTCAGTCCTGTGGCCCTATTGCTTTTTCTCTTATAATTAGCAATAAAAGCCTTAAAAGGAAAAAAAGACCTTTTTCCTTTGTGCTTGCCATCTGGGCAGCAAAGATGAGGGGAGTAGCAGCCAATCATAGAAAGAGAAGAACCCTGGGGGTGGGGAATGGCAGGAGACACCAAAGAAAAGAAAATGCCTGGGAGCCCTGGGCCTTTTTCAAGGATAAAAAGATGAACTAGGGAGGCAACTTATCCAGACTGCAGAAGTTGTCTTGGGCTTAAGAGTAATAAACAGCCTGCGGCAGTAAGCCAGTGTCAGACCTGGTAGTGTCTTAACAGAAGACTGAGTATGGTTCTCTAAATGCACTACGTCTCTATCTTACTTAGCCCTCTCACTCTCAGGCTTAGTGAGAGAACAACTTAGGGACTTGAGAGGAATATATCTAAATAAGGGCAGCAGGTGTTTAATGTCAATCACTGAAACAAGTTTTCCAGGACAGACCCAACTCATATGTGCTTTGCCTGGCAGGTCCATTTCATTTAAGGTAGGCATGATTATCCCCATTTTACGCATGCGGAAATTGAGGTTTAGACAGATAAATTTGCTAATCCAAGGTCACACACACAAAAAAGATCATATGCTCTCATAGCCCCTGCTAAATCCAGTGCTATTTCTTCCACCAGAAGCTCTCACCCACCTTCACACCAGCATTTGTGTAGTGCGTTACACTTAATACAAGAATACCTCTCCAGGCATTCTCATGTAATTCCTATAAAAACACATCAAGAAGGTGATATGGTTTGGATTTGTGTCCCTGCCCAAATCTCATGCAGAACTGTAAACCCCAATGTTGGAAGACGGAGGGGCCTGGTGGGAAGTGATTGGATCATGTGGGTGGATTTCCCCCTTGCTCTTCTCATGATAATGACTGAGTTCTCACAAAATCTGGTTGTTTCAAAGTGTGTAGCACCTCCCCCTTCTCTCTCTTGTCCTCCTGCTCTGGCCATGTGAAGATTTGCCTGCTTTGCCCCCTCACCTTCCACCACGGTTTTAAGTTTCCTGAGGCCTCCTCAGCCACGTTTTCTGTACAGCCTATGAAACCCTGAGCCAATTAAACCACTTTTCTTTATAAATTCCCCAGTCTCAGATATTTCTTTACAGCAGTGTGAGAATGGACTAATACAGAAGGAGATGAGACACATTCATTTTTCTACTTTAAGATTTAAAGATGAGGACATGGAGGCCCCAACTTTAAATGATTTGCCCAGGCAACATACTGGTGGTTTGAACTCAAGTCTTCTGACTCCTAAAGGTGTATTTTTTCCACTAAATATAACATTTTTGACAAATCAAAAAGAAGCTATTTTCTGTCTGAGCTGAATTTCCATTCTCACTCTCAGCTCCTGAAAACTTATTCTTACTTCTTCCTGGCTCGTGTTCCTAATACAACCTGAGTTTCCACATTCTCTATCTCCTGGGCTGTCTGCGGATTCCTACTCCAGTTCTCCCATTTTCCTGCCCCTGCTTCTTCCCTGGAGGCTTTAGAGCCCATGCTCCACCTCTACCTATGCAAGATGTTCTTTTTACACCCCAGAAAGTAAAATAACAACAACATCAACACAAGTAAAAAACATCACCTTTCATCTCAACATTAACCAGGCAGCCCACTAGTTCAACTCAATTGGCATATGCTGTGGTCTCAACTGTGGCCTCCAACTCAAGGACAAAGCAAAGATGGGTAGGGCAGTCCCTGGCCCCAAGGAATGTATAACATAGTGGGGCAGGCAGATTGGATACAACCAACTATAAGGCAAGACTCCAGTAAGGAGTACAACAGAGGCACGAAAGTAGGGTAAAAGGAACCCTTTCTAGCTGGGAGAAATGAGGAGAGGTTCCGGGGAGGTAGCTGTGATCCTAAAGTCAGTCTCCTGGTCCTATCCTAACACATCAAGAACAACCTTCAAAGCATGATGTGTGAAACACATACTAATTTACGAGTCATGAACTTCCAAGGCCTTTTTCCTTGGGACCTCAAAATATTCACATCTCACAAGAGATGGTAGAGTTTATCATTAATCTCGTTTTACAGATAAGTTGAAATCCCTACCTAACAACAGTCACAAAAACAACTGAAAAGCAAATTCAGCTCCTATCTACCAAAGGTTTTCAATCACTTTACAACTATAGGTTCCTAACTGTTCCAAAAAACATGCTCTAATGGGGGAGCTACTTGAACGAAGAACAGGCAATTTGATGTATTACACAGAAAAACGCAAGTGAAAATACCGAACAGCTTTAACTGTATTTAAAACAATTTTCTAGGTACTCTTTGAACATCTTCTCTAAACACAGTAAGTAACGGGCAAGAACAAAACCGTGACACAAGATACACCAGATACTTAGCATAAGAATCACGTCCTCTGAATCTTTCTTGACACATCCACTTAATTCCAGCTAGGAAAAAAAACACGTATTTTCTCTCAGTATACCCACTACAACCTGCCTGGTTTTGACTCCTGGCTCTGCTGTCATGAGCATGTGGCTCTGAGTCATTTAATCTCTGTCCCTCCATAATCCTCCTCTGCATTAAAATAACAGTACTTACCTCATTGGTGGTTGGGAAGATCAAACAAAGTAATACACATAAACTGTTTGGAACACTGCCAGACACCTAGAGAGCATTCAATAGGCCGTCGTTGAGTGTGGTTGTGAGGATTACACAAGATAACGCAGGTAAGAGTATTTAGCACTTAGCAAGTGCTCAATAAATGATGGTTCTATCACCTGTCTGCATCCCTGAAGAACTTTGGCCTCTCTGAATTTTTTATTTCTGGAGCCCAGCAAAACGCCAAGCACAGCGGCAGTGCTTATTAAAAGTTCAATGAATGTGTGGCAGGTGGCAGTCCAGTCTGACAGGTGAAGCCCATCGGCAGTTCCTGGTCGGCCTTGCTCGCACCTGGCACTTAAGAAGGCGTGCAGACTGCAATGACTGGGCAGTTCCTCCACACACCATCGGATTTTGCGTGGGGCTACCATTTCAACCTTGGTTGAAAATAAAATGCAGGCCAAGGCAGGCAGGTAGAAGTGGAAGGGATGTGGAGGTGGCGACCCGGGGTTTGCAGGGCAAGAGGAGTTGAAGGGGCAGGCGTGGAAGACAAAGGGGCAGAACAGCGAGGGGAGAGACAAGCGGGCGGCCGGGGACGAAGCGGGGGACCCGGCGGGGCGGGGCGGGGCGGGGCGGGGCGAGGCCGGGGAACAAAGAGCTGCCTCGCGGGCCGCGGGGTCCTGGCGACCGGGAGGAGGGTCAGGGAGAAGGCAGACCGGGGAAGGAGGGCGCCCGGAAGGCGGGGCGGGGCGCAGCCAAGAGGGGGAGGGGCGGCGGGGTCCAGGGGGATGGTCGGGCGTGGATGGGGTGCGCCCAGGGAGGGGGAAGAGGTGGAGGTGTTGGGGTTCGCCCAGGGAGGGGGAGGAACGGCGGCATAGGGTGTGCCCAGGGAGGGGGAGGGGCGGCGGGGCGGGGTGTGCCCCAGAGGAGGGGGCGGGGCGGGGCGCGGCCCGGGGGCGGGGAGGTCCCTTCTGGCTACAGCGATTTTATGCACCTAATCAGGCTCCTGAGCTGAGGGCCTTCGCTGAGCCGCTCTCCGAGGCCCAGGAAAGCCCGCAGCCTCCAAGGGTGCAGCAGGAGGAATGTCCCCTCCCCTCCCCTCCCCTCCAGACCTCGCAGCATAGTGACAGTTGCAAGACGAGCAATAAGGAGACAGCCACCCTGACAGTAATGCCTGTGGCTCCCGGGGCTGAGCAGGTACCAGTACAGGGGCTCCCCAGAGGCTCTTGACTGCCCTCCTGTATCTTGTTCCTTTCCATCTGCACTGGGGATGGTGGCCTTGGGAAAACAAAAGCAGTTCCTGCACGGTCATCCGGAGCTTAAAATTGGGTGGTGGTATAATAAAAAGTTACCTCTATACCTCTAGTTTCACACCAAGTGAGATAAAGTTTAGAAGAAATCTGAACTACATCCAGAAAATAAATGTTCTTCTGGGTGAGGAAGAAAAAAATTATTTCCAGAAAAAAGTTTGGAAGTCTTGGTCTCAAAGACTGCTGTTATCAATATCAAAATATCAATTCATGGAAATGAAAATATAAACAAAAACTATCACCATTTCTTGAACAGCCACTGTGTGCTCCTGGTGTACATCCTCGCACCGTCTTCACAATCCATTCAAACATCTGATCAGTGTCTCAATCAGATAGGCATAGATAGCACTACACTGCCGGCTTTGTAAAAGGGTTGCAGGGAGGTCCCAGGCCTCATAGAACTTGCAGTCCACCTCAAAGTAGGTACAATTTGCAAAGGAGGGGATTTAC
Organism: Homo sapiens; assembly: GCF_000001405.40. NCBI lineage: Eukaryota > Metazoa > Chordata > Mammalia > Primates > Hominidae > Homo > Homo sapiens. The sequence continues at coordinate 64,504,727 of NC_000001.11, read as the reverse complement.
AACAGGTACGTTGCCCATGAGTATGCCCAGGTCAGTATATCTTTCCATTATACCATAGTGGAAGATATATTTATTTATTCTTCCTAAATATAGTAGAATTTCAGTCTTAACATCTGTTTCTACTCCCTTGCTTAGGAAAGCAAAATGAAACCAAGCAGAGGTACCTATATACAAAATGAAAGAATTAAACCCAACAGGTAAATCCAACTAATGGAAAACTGACGAGAGAATTCTGGTACACCCAAAAGAGAAAGGTTGAGACTTGCTAGAAAATTCATTAAGTCAGAGACTGTGTTCCTCAAGAAACAGTTCTAATGCATACCATTAAGTTCCAGTGATTAAATGTTGTGTCACATTTAAGTAAAATAGGTGTCTTCTCCTTTTAAGACATTTTCAGCAGCTGGGTGCAGTGGCTCATGCCTGTAATCCCAGCACTTTGGGAAGACAAGGCAGGTGGGATGGTTTGAGCTTAGGAGTTTGAGATCATCTTGGGCAACATGGCAAAACCCCATGTCTGCAAAAAATACAAAAATTAGCCAGGCATGGTAGCACACGCCAGTAGTCCTAGCTACTTGGGAGCCTGAGGTGGGAGGATCGCTAGAGCCCAGGAGGTGGGGGTTACAGTGAGCCATAATTGCACCACTGCACTCCAGCCTTGGTGACAGAGTGAGACCCTGTCTCAAAAAAATAAAAATATTTTCACCTTTTCATGTGCATCTCCATTGTGTCCACCAGGATTACCTTTATATTAGAAGAGGTCAGTGCTTGTCCTACATTTCCAAAGTAGGCAGAATGACAAGAGCTATTATATAAGGACTATCCCCAACCTCTTCATTTACAAAAGGAAGGGAAACAGCGTCACAGGTCACTATGCTGATGGCTAGCAAGGCCTAGAATTAGAGCCCAAAACAATGATCTCCCCATTAGTATACAGGAAGTTTTACCCATTAGTCTAACAAATCCCTGGCTTATTCACATTTAATTCTCTAAAGAAGCTCTACAAAATATAAACAATTGGAACCTACATTTATGTATGTATGGGGGGGATCATCAGTAAAAACACTTCTAACTGTATGCCTCAAATTGTTTAACATGAGTTAAACAAAACTTTTTCATCCTTCTAACAAAACTCTTCAGGTCTACCCACCATGCTACACAGCATTTGAAAATGTTGACCGAAAAAGTAGTCTAGCAAGTACTCTCTTTATTCACATGTAAGAATTCATCTTAAAAATATGAAATCATACTTTGTATGAACAAAGATGATTCCTAAAAGGCATGACTTAGTATCTTGGCTCTGTAAATTTTTGGAGTTTTGTTTTGTTTTGTTTTGGGTTTTCCATGTAAATATATTCTGTATTTTCTCTAAAGTAAACCAGTGCTTTGACAGATTTTAGATTTTTCCCCTTAACTAAAGGCATTATTCAATTTCAATGTCCTTGGAGTGTTTTATCTGGGGATTAGACAACTGTACCAAAACACAGCTGTTCCAGTTTTTTCTCCTTTATTTTTCACATTAAAAAACTCCCACTATCAGCCAGTCCAATTAGTTACTCACTATCAAAAGCCGGCTTTGGTCTTTCATCTTCTGGAAAACTGGATCCAAGTGACAGGGTGTCATGGAAACTGTATCTTGGGTCATTTCCTGTTTCAATTGTTTAACCACAAAAAAAAGTTCGGCTCTATCAGATGGAAATTAATGAATACTTGCTGTTGCCTTTTGAAGAGCATGCAACTAAATAAAAAAAGTAATTATCCTTTTTGACCAAGTTTTTCCAGCAACCCCAGGGAATACAGGGAGATCAATGCACCCAAAATGGGAAAAGAAAAATACTTCGATGCAATGAAACAAAGCCTTTTTCCGTTCAGTTTCCATAATTCAGTGGTCAGTTTTAAGGCTGCCACTTGGGTTTGGGAAATGTAACTACAGGTTAAGTGGTTTTAATTGCAGTTAACTTTATTCATACTCTTCTACTTACCACAAATTTTCAACCTCTCCTCACCTACTTCACCTAAATTTTGACATTAATTAGACAGAGTTGGTATTTTCCTTTTTAACCTGAAATTCCCCCACCATAAGAGAATGTGCAATAGAAACAAAAATTATAATCTAAAAAGATTTTATGCTGTACCTATTATCTGAAAACAACACACATGCACACACACACACATAGATGCATGCACATACACATACACACACAGAGAGAGGGAAAAGTAGAGCTTAAAGCTTACAAGCAATACCAAGCAGGCACATGTGTTTTTTAGGAATGAAGTCGTGGCTGGAATTCAGTAATAATGAGCCCCTCAGTGATCTAATGTACACCAGTGTACATTATGGATGGAAACAGAGTGCCAGACAGGACAATGGGGAACTCAACCAGTGTTTAATATGTTCAGCTCTGTCTAAATAACTGTTGGCAAAAAATGTGGAAGCAATACAACAAATCAATTTTAGGGCTCAGGAGGATTTGCTCAAATAAGACAGCTATGAAGTGTACATTACAGGATAAGTTCACAGCTCCATTGTGGGAAAGGCATCTACTTGCAATGTTTTCTGTCCTGTTTAAGTTGTTATATGTCTTCTCTATTCAAAACAAGGAAAAATCTCTGTTGCTTCTTTTCCTTAGCCTTTAAAAACAACAACAACTGGGAAAACATCCAAAAACAATTAACCTTAAATATTATGTAAAGTAAAGCTAAGTCTTCTATCATATCCAACTTGCTGTTGGGGAATTTCTATGGAGAAGAAAGTGAAGGGGAAAAAGAGAACACTTTTCAGTAATGACACCTGAGTTCTAGACCTTTTACCTATCATTTAATTACTCTGTTTATTTAATAGGTGCCAGCAAAGAGGCATCTAGGCCAGGCTCAAATCTACACGTAAGCCCCTAAAAGATCAACTGTGTTTTATTCAAAGTGAGATGGAGCTGATGATTTTCAAGTGGAAGTCACTTCCATTTCTTTTTCATCAGCCTTGGAAGAAAGTGGAATAGCCATCCTTCTACACCTTGCAGAGAGAAAGGTACTGATAGGTAGTATTTCAAGGTGTTTGTATTACACTTACTATGGTTGGGTATTTTTGTGCACAAAAACACCAGAAGTAGAAGTAATTTCACCAGAAGCAGTTTTTGCCAGAAGAAGATGTAATTTCTAGAAACTGTTCAGATAGTATTTTCTTATAGAAAAAGTAGTTAAACTATGAAATTAACTGCTGAAGGCATCAACACAAAAAGGCATAAATCAGTTCAAAGAGGGGAACCTAGACTAAAATAAATCCAAGAATACAGCTGCCAATCTGACTGGAAGGCCTCTGGTCATGATGAGTGAAGTTGGTTTTATCCCGAGAGAAATGATACATAAAATAAAGATAGAGCTGGTAGAGGGAGAGGTTGTGAACTCCAAGAGAGGCAAGAAATAGTCAGTGTATCAAAACCACTTTATTATTCTGGCTATAACTATTTTTCTTTTCACTTATTTCCTAGAAAATATAATGGTAGTAAGTTCATTGCACTTTCCTCTTAATTTCTTCTGTATTAAAATGCAGGAGGAGGGAATAGAGAATCTTCACATTTGCAAGAAGTAGCTTAATTATATAATAATTATAATAAACTGTTACTATCTGCATAGCAATAGGTTAAAATAGGTTAATTTTCTCTCTGTCTCTCCTTTTTTTTTTTTTTGAGACAGAATCTCACTCTGTCACCCAGCTGGAGTGCAATGGTGCAATCCTGGCTCACTGCGACCTCTGCCTCATGGATTCAAGCAATTCTCCTGCCTCAGCCTCCCAAGTACCTGGGATTATAGGCACTTGCCACCACGCCCAGCTAATTTTTTGTATTTTTAGTAGAGACGGGGTTTCACCATGTTGGCCAAGCAGGTCTCGAACTCCTGAGCTCAGGTGATCCACCCGCTTTGGCCTCTCAAAGTGCTGGGATTACAGGCATGAGCCACCGCGTCCGGACTCTCTCTCTCTCTCTCTCTCTCTCTCTCTCTTTTTTTTTTTTTTTTTTAAGAGACAAGGTCTTGCTACGTTGCCCAAGCTGGTCTGGGTCTTGCTGTGTTGCTCAAACTGGTCTCAAACTCTTGGCTTTAAGGGATCCTCCCGCCTCGACTTCTTCAAGTGCTGGGATTACAAACATGAGCCACTGAGCCCGGCCGCAGTAGGTTAATTCTTATAATTTGTGTATGAACTTAAATACTGGATTTTATGAAAGTTCTATTCTGGGTTTCATTTGTTTTGTTTGCATGCCCAATCAAGGATACTATTTAGAACATAGATATTTATTAGGCATGTGAGAAATGGGAAAGTTCTTCGAAGATTATAAAAAGGCATTCTTTTTTTGCAACACCAAAAACTTCATTCCCAACAGGCACATATGTTGAAGACACAAGGCCAAACACTACTGGCAAATGAAAAACATACCATTGTGAAACAGGTATGTGTATGCTGCCTACTGGAATTCTCAAGTGCTCTCCCATAGACTCCAGCTCCCTTGCAGGTAGGTGGAGTCATGTGACCAGTCATGGCCAATGGGCTGATCAGAAGTAACCTGTGTCATTACCCAGCCAAAGCCTACATGAATGAGGGTGAGCTCTCCATGCCTCTCTTGCCCTCTTGAGGCAAATCTTAACGTCACAGTTTGAGATGGTAACATCTCAAGATAGAAGAAGGCCACATCAATCCTTAGAAGACATATTAAACCAGAAAGATGTGTAGAATCACTGAAATAATAAGGATTCATTTGTTACCACAGCCTATCCTCAGCCAGGTGTTCTTAGCTTCTTCTGTGTTACACAGCTCAGGGACAGGGCAGTGAAGTATGAGAATCTCCCAGAATCATATGTTTAAATGCATAAAACACACAAGATTGTAAAGAACACCCACTATAATTTTTTAAAGCTGTAACATAGTAATATGTGCTTCTTTATTATTAATCAACAACATCTCTAATGATGGGTCTAACAACTACTGTAATTTCAAAGTACTGAAGATTATGCCATTTCAAGTTATCTGTAGAAATCTACAATTATATATGAAATATTTGTTTCTGTGATAAAGTTCTCCATGGGCTGCTAATACTGTTAGGCTCTGTTGTCTGCAATGTAATGGAAAGAAATGATAGATTTTAGTTAGAGGTTTGTGTTGTAATTTTTTTCCTCATCAAGTTCACGGACTCCTTGAATTCTGCGGAGCCCAGAATAAGAAGCTCTGAGTTTCACCATCTCCTAATACAATCATACTCTTAACTTCTCAGGCAAAAGTTCTACTGAGCTCCCTAGGGTTGCATGTTTTGCAAAGTGTGTGGCAGACTCCTTTCTGGCCTGTCTTCTGCCATTGAGTTTCAGTCACTGATTTTGTGTACTGGCAAACAGTTTTGAACATGAATGCAGTGAACTAAGGAAGCGTATTGTTCCAGTTGCTAGAATCCAATTTTATGGAGGCTTAGGTGCCTTTAACGCAATGGTGAAGAAAACTGATAAGAATCAGCCCATAAGGGGCTGGTCAAGTCCTCTAACATGATAAACATCATCCAGTCTGGGAAAAACAACCAACAGTTGTACAAAATGCTGCTGGTAAAACACCGTGTCCAGAGGCTTGTCATGACTTCAAGAAACATCAAGACACCTGGAGATTGCTGATACGAGATGCTGGAGCCGCTGTATCAGAATGCTGTCCAGTTCGCAGCTGGTCAGCACTACTTCAAGAATGTATACTACCCCAAACTAACTGGGAAATCAGTTCTATTTAATAAATCTAGGAAGACTGGCTACAGCAAGGCTGAAATAATTAATACTGTTTTAGATGGTTCTCCATTCTGCAAGTTGCAAAGAGAGAAATGACCAATGTACTTTAAGCACACGATTATTGCACTTTCTTTCTGGTCATTTTCCCAGGGGAAACCACCAAGTCAGCCCAGCAAGGTAGTCAACACCTTACTCAAGAATAGGAGACAGAGTAGACAACTGAGTTGTAGATGTCAGTCCTGATAGAGAGACAAGAGATCAGAATATCAAGAAGTATTTGAAATTAAGACTCTGCATGCAAGACTTGAAAACCAAGAAGCTGGGGCTTGAGACTCAATCTTTTTTCACATTTCAAATACTGAGAGATGCTGTAGTGTGGTAGAAGTGCCACTGGATCAAAAGTCATGAAACTGAGCTTTTCATCTAGGCCCCATCACGAGTTATTTCAGCAAACATGGGCAAGAAGCCACATTGCGCTGAGCTTCAGATTCCTTCTATAAGGAAGGCGCCTCCCTGCACAAAAGTAAAGATGCAGTAAACTTTAAAAATCTCAGAAATATGATGATACAAGGAATATAATCAAATACAGTTTTAAACTAAATGTTTTAGAAAACACAGTATTTCAGTTTCGAATAGTGAAAAAATAAAGAGAATAAGTAGTTCTAATATGCTGGAGCACGCACTGTATTTGGTACTGTACATGAGTGATTTTACAAGTTGCATGAGTTAGCATCTATATGCTGTTGTGAGTCCCCTATGCCTTCTCTCTGGTAGCTCTCTCCGAGCTTTGGTGAACCTCTTGTTTAATTGTCTGTTAGCTCCATGAGGATATGCCACACTCTTTTGTTTTGTTTTAGGAACAGAGTCTTGCTCTGTCACCCAGACTGGAGTACAGTGGCACGATCTCAGCTCACTGCAACCTCCGCCTCCTGGGTTCAAGCAATTCTCCTGACTCAACCTCCTGAGTAGCTGGGATTACAGGCACGCACCACCACGCCCAGCTAATTTTTGGTATTTTCAGTAGAGACAGGGTTTCACCATGTTGGCCAGGCTGGTCTTGAACTCCTGACCTCAGGTGTTCTGCCCACCTTGGCCTCCCAAAGTGCTGGGATTACAGGCATGAGCCACCACACCCAGCGTGCCACAGTTTTGTTTAAGGGTATATTGCCCCACTGTTGGAAGACTCTGGAAAGGTTTTCTGGAGAAAGGAGGAATGCCCAAATGCCTGTCAAAGGGCTTGGGATCTAGTCTGTGCTCACTCTTGGCCCCTGATAAACTCCCTCTGCCCCTTTTTGATATGCTGATGTGTCCTGTTGTTATTTTGATTATATTCCCGCCAGAGGCTGACTCATTTACCAGGAGAACAAGCCAGGGTTTAATGCCTGCTGATTCCTGGCTCTCTCTGGGGTATTTTTTTTCCTGAACTATATGACTCCAAATAGCTGCAGTTCTCATAACCATCACATTAATTTCAACAGGCCTTGAAATCTCCTAATTCTTTCTGGTTAAGGGGCTCTTCCATCTTTCCCTACTTTCCTTGCCAACCATTGCTGGCTATAATTAATTGAAAGTGAAATTTCAAAACTAGGAAGGACTGTCTTTATTTCCCCCAGCCCACAAGCACAATAAGCAGATGCAAGGCCTGTGTCCTTTTCTTTATCTACCCTAAAGCCTCCCAAGGCACGATGGAAGCACAGAGTAGGGACTGAAAAAATGTTAGCCGAGTGACTGGATAATCAAAGGATGACCACTGCAAATCAAAGCCCTGTAGCATCCTTGGCAGAAAGAAAAAAGCTCTGCCTTCATTTTAGTGTTGGAGGCACTATAAAATTACAGACTATGTCTCTTTCTCACTCTTTTTTTACTGCAAAGCTAATAATCAGTAGCCAATGGGCTAATTCCTCGGCATTTTTTTGAAGAAAAAGTAAACATGATTTTTTTTTTTTAAGGACCAAATTCCCACCCTGCTTTGAAACATAAATCTGAAGACCCCTCGGGTTAAAAATGACAGCTAGACTCCTTTAATCTTGAAAATGTTCTCTCCATGGAAACCTTAAGGACAGGAAACCACTTAGGCAAAGCTTTCTTTTTTCTTTTTCTTTCTTTTTTTTTTTTTTTTGAGACAACTTCTAAGGAAAATCTAGGTTTTGAGGAAATTGGGCTTCCATGCACGAGTGTCCTGTAGGAAGGCAGTCCATGTCATGTGACTTCATTGACCCATAAATTGACCCATAAATAAAGCTTTCCGAGGTTGGCTCAGCTGGAAGAGACTTTGACTCACTTCACCTCTCTAACAGATTCTTATTCTCAATTCCCAGTGCACCGTCTCCACTATTAAGTTTCATGTTAGGTAGAACACACTCTAGTTTCACCCAAAGGCTGTGAAGTTTGTAAGCTATAAGTTTCAAGTAGGATAAGAACCTCAAGTGGGATGCCATTGGCTACAAGACTGGAAAAATTTGAGTCAGCAAATAATCCTAGAAAATTAGACTGGGAAGGTTGTTTACTAGATTATAGGAGGAAACTAGCACAGAGAAGCTAAGTTATTAGCTCAAGCCTTCATCATATATATGGCCAGATGTAGAATAATTTTTCCTACCTCAAAGATGACTAGATTTTTCTTGACACTCCAGCACATCTCCTCTTAAATATTCTAGGTTGGCTGAACTTAAATACTACAACTATTACTACTACTAATAATAAGCTAAAAAGCAATCAAAATATTTTCAGTAAGACTGAGGTGGGGCAATTTTGCACAATTTGACATCCTTTATAGAACCTTGAGCCTACTACCAGAAGTGAAATACACCACAAATTTCAAAGGATAGGCCTGAATGTAGTTCAAATAAGCACTAAACATACATCAAGTCACTTTCACTACCACTCATGTTCTAGGATGCATTGTCTGGGACATGGGCCAGGTTGGCAAACAAATCATTATAAAATGCAAAGGTATTAAGTGCCCTCTTGCCTTTGGCAGCACATTCAAAGCTAATCAAATATATTATAATAAAACGAAAATATAGCTACCAAGGTCCCAGCCAACAAAGGAGAAAAGTCCATACATGTTCTTTTTTCTTTTAATGGATTAGATATTCCAACTTTTGTTGTATTTCTTTGTGAAAGACACGCCTGGGAAGAAATGGGAAAAGCAGGAGACACAGCCATAACTTGAAGAAAAAGAAGAAAAAAAAGTAGGCTTAGATGAAGAAATTTGAGGACTTTGGTGCTAGGGCTCTTTGAAAACTCATTACAGCAACTCAGGTTCAAAAAGGGTCAAAAAAAAAAAAAGTAATTCTCTTAGCTTGGAGTCAAATAAAAAGCACTGTATTGCTCTCTTTCTGCCCATGTTTATCTATCATTTCATCTCTCTCCCTATCAAGAACTGAGGGCAAAGTTTATCTGCCAACTTCAATCCAGGCAGACAGACCAAGTACATTGGGGACATACCCTTTTGTGTGGTCATTCACACTTGGAAGATAAGGGAGAACTTAGTTTTTCAAGTACATAAGAAGAGATGGTAGCCATTTATTTCAACAGAGAAGGTCAAAAAGAAATAAATTAAGATTATATAGGAGAGCTTTTCCTAATACATGAGAAAAGAATTCCAGAATATAGCATAGACACTGTATACTGTAATAAACTTACCTAAGGCTGGAATTTAGCATTCTATCCTCAGGTTTTCTTTCCTTTTCTCTTTTTCTTCCTCTAATAATGATGACAATAATACTTTGCATTTTCATTCATTTCCAGTTTTCAAATTAATTCTATATATATTCATACATTCCATTCTCCCTAAGCAGGGGAGGGGAGGTTGGTTTCCAATACATGCTTACTTGGAACAGAGGAATGATCTAAACAAATGTGTTTTCAACCACTGGATCTGTAAAGTATTTCCTGTTGACCGAACTGTAACTAATACCAGTTCCTCTCATAACCCATGCCCATATTCTCCAGAGCCCCCCACACAAAGAGACCACTACACAAAGAAACAAGATTTATGCCAACAGCAAATATTATGGGGCTCACTAAATGCTGAATCAATTAATGTAATAATCCTAAGTGCTCAAGCAGAAGCTGACATGGGTTTCAACCCCACATCTACCACTTCGTGGCTTTCACATCTTAGATAAGTCATTTCTCTTTCTGAAACTAGTAGCTATCTGCATTAGAAATAGAACTCTAACCCTTAGCATAATGCCTGGCACATAAAAAACACTAAAAAAAGTGAGCACTATTTTAAGTTCTACTTACCAATAAAACGTGGTTCTTAGGAGATTTTCCCCCCTTTCCTAGCAATTTAAGCAACCATATCCTGTCAATTTAAGCAATAAAGAATTCCACTAGCCTTGTGGTTTCACTGGTAGGTAACAGGTAGCAAATAAAAGCAGCTACTACATGGTTAAATTCTAGATTGGAGCTTCCAAATCAGACTAAAGAAAGAGAAATGTAAATTCTTTGTCGTTAGAACCATCCCAAAGCTTTGGGATGTTGTTGGGGAGCTCGAGAATTGCTATCCTATATAAATAAATCTCGTCCGTGACAACTGCTGGAGATATGTCACTAACACAGCTTGATTTGTCCACATTTACCAATGCAGAGATTTCTTTCAAATTAAGAGAAAACAGGGGAGGGAAGATAGTTAGAAAAGATGAGAAAATTTCATGTGTCTTACCAGGCAAGGCCAGAGCCACAGTCCCACTTTACAAGCCCCTACCTGGTCTAAAAGAAAAGTTATCTAAAGCATTAACTAAGAGGATAAGAAGCCACCATTGTTGTGGGCTTAAAGTGATCCACTTTCACTAGGGCTCAGAGAAGTGGGGCCCTCATTGCAAATGCAAAGTCCCCAGCTGGGGGTAAGAAGAGAAAATGTTAAGATGCTCAGCTCTGAAGTGCCAATACCCTGGTCTCCACATTCCAACGCTGGCCGCCTCCTCCCTCCCTTGTCCCACCGCTCCCTCCCATTATTCTGGAGCAGGTCCTTCCCAGCTCTGCCATTCGGTGACAGAGAGACTTGGGAAGCGCCCCAGGAACTGCTGAGATGGAGAAATACACAAAGGCTCCCTTCCACAAAGCATTCTTTCACAGAGGCAGCCGTGTCTATTAAATAGGTCCCCTTAATGTGCATACACTTCTATAAGGAGATTATGAGAACCACGAGCTCGCTAAATCAGCCCCACAAAATGTGTGTAAATCCACTGCAGGGAGGAGAAAAGGTGTGTGTGGCAGGGAGGAGGGAGGATTTAAAATTAGTGGCAGGGGGCCTCCACTCTTCTTGGTAATTCCCTGGGGAAAAGAAGGTATAGACAAAACTGTCCAATGAGGCTGCCACAACCCCTGGGTTGAGCCGTTTGGTATCTGCACAATTCCTTTCCTCCACTTGCATTGTTATATTGTCCAGCTATGGGCCATAACTCTTGCAAAAATATTCCTTCCTCTAAGTTGTAAGAAGAGAGGCATAATAGTTCCCTATGTGGTAATATGCACTTTCCACAGTCTCCCAAATCTTTAGAAATAGGAAGCACAAAATGTAACAAGTAATTTTCCAATAAAATGTGTGATGCATTTTCTCAAAATAGGTAAGTGAAGTGCTCGACTATATATTTATTAAGCCCCTCATGGGTCATCACACTGGCTTCATGAAGGATTCAGCTTTTCACCTCATTATTTCTTCATGATCACCTCCTCCTGGAGAAGAATTAAAGTTACACAAAAAGCAAGTTTACCCATAGTAATAAGTGGAATGTCCTTTTATTTACCTAGCTATACATAAGATAAAATAAAAAATCTTTCACTCAAAAAGCATTTCCAAACATTTATAAGATATGCAAATGATTTCCCAGTTCACAAACGGATTTTAGAGACATTTCGTTTGATGTGACAACAGCTCTGTGACACAGATATTAACAACTCCCGTGTTACAAAGTCCAGAGAGATTAAGTGGAGCCCCAAGTCTTTCCTTCCAAATTCATTCATTCATTCCTTCAGCACTTACTGAGGGCCTAGTTTTGGCCTGGGCACTATTGAAGGTAGGGATTCAGGGAAAGCAGATGTAGTCTCTACTGCTAAGTATCTCACAAGGGCAACCCAAGCTTAGGTGTAAGAAAACAGGCATCTTTCTAGAGAAGGCTATGTCAGAGCTGAATTTTCAAGGATAAATTTCCTGTTCTTTTCACATCAACATGTCCTCCATGAATCACCAGTATTAAACTAGGCTAAGAAAAAATGAACCTGATAATCACCTTTGTGCCAGAAGACAAAAATAACTGGACAGGAAGCCCAGGCAGTCCCAGTGGCGGTGCTGTCTTTTACACTGACGTTAACTCTAACGATCAGCGGAGTAACCGCACAGCGCTGCTGGGCACCTGGAGCTTATTGTTTCCGTGTGGCATATGATGAAGTATCAGAACGGGGAGGAGTATATCTCCAAGAAGGAATGTGATGAGCAGAAAAACTCATCCTGTGAGATTGGCCTAGAGAGATCTGAAGCCAGGAGCCATTTGGTCTTGTCCAATGGCATTAATGTACCCACAGACAAAGGCCAAAGGGGACATGGAGGCCAGAGCTGCTGGTCAACGGCTTGTTTTAAGAAAACAATAGGGGGACCCAACTCCATGCTATCAGAATAAAGGCCATCCTTCCCCGTATTTTTCTCAAGTTATACAAGTGCCGTTATTCTTCAAGCAACAAAGAATTCCACTAGCCTTTTGCTAAGGATAAAACATTTCCAAAATATAAGTTGTTTAAACTGCAGGTATAGAATAATTTCTTCAACTGTCTTCTTTTTCCCAAATGAATAATGCTACCTAGATGAAAACAATTTTTTTCTTCACCTTTTATTCCAAATTTCTTTTTTTAAAAAAAGCTTCCATCTTTTAAAATTCAAACAGAAATACTGAGGGAAGTTCCAGTTTCAAACCATCTTTTGTCAAGAAAAAAAACTAGTGAAAGGTACTTTCAGGAAATCAAGTACAGTATATGATTTCAACACAGCAAAGCTAGTGTCTCACTGTTAATTTTTATTAATAAAAAAAAAACAAAAAACAAACAAACAAAAAAAACCGCTGGGTGCAGTGGCTCACACTTGTAATCCCAGTACTTTGGGAGGCTGAGGTAGGAGGACTGCTTGAGTCCAGGAGTCTGAGACTAGCCTGGGCAAGACAGTAAGACCCTGGCTCTACAAAAAACAAAATTTTTAATTAGCTGGACATGGTGGTGCATGCCTGTAGTCCCAGCTACTCAGGAGGCTGAGGCAGGAGGATCACTTATGCATGAGAGGTCAAGGCTGCAGTGAGCCAAGCTGGGCAACAGAGGGTGATATGGTTTGAGTCTGTGTCCCCACCCAAGTCTCACATCAAATTGTAATTCTCATGTGTCAGGGGAGGGTCCTGGAGGGAGGTGACTGAATCATGGGGGTGGATTTCCCCCCTGCTTTTCTTGTGATAGTGAGTTCTTGAGTTCTCATGAGATCTGATGGTATAAAAGTGTGGCACTTCCCCCCTTGCTCTTCTTTCTCTCTCCTGCCACCATGTATAAGGCATGCCTTGCTTCCCCTTTGCCTTCCACCATGATTGTAAGTTTCCTGAGGCCTCCCCAGCCATGCAGAACTGTGAGTCAATTAAACTTGTTTTCTTTATAAATTATCCAGTCTCAGATAATTATTTATAGCAGTGTGAAAACAGAGTAAAACAGAGGGAGATCATTTCTTTAAAAAAAAAAAAAGAGAGAGAGAGAGAGGAAGCAGTCCTTGAAGAAAGGTACTGCTTTTCCCAGTGCTTTGGGTTAGTTACTATATACAGGGACCCTGGCATTCATGGACTGCATGTTTATAGTTTGGACCATTTGAGAGCAACCCCTGACCAAATTTAAGCAGGGTAACAAATTCTAGACATTATTAATATTAGTCATATCATACTGGTCTCTCGATTTTAGACAGGTTCAATTATTTATTTACTTTTTCAAAATTATTTAAGCAAAGATTTTTCTAGATTTTTATCTTTTAATTTTTACATGAGAACCCCACAGGATGGGGGGTTTTCTGAAAATTAAAGGGCAAGAGTTTTCAGTCCATGTTTGGAGAGAGAAAATGTTGCTCTGCATCTATGTTCCCACCAGCATTTGCTGACTTCCCTGAGAATAAAAGGTTATAACTGAAAAAGCATGATACAAAGTACTTTTATATAAATTCTTGCTTTTGGTCTTCACTACAACCTTTGAGGTAGGGTAAAATCCCTATTTTACAGATCAAGAAATTGAGGCTTGCTGAAGCCAAGTCACTCTGCCTTTGCACGACTCCTTTGTAATTGTTCTTAAAAGGCAAGCTATTTTTGAAACTCACTGAAGGGAGAACATGACATTAGCAAGGCATTGCACCACCCACAAAGTACATTCTCTCCCCTCAGATGTCTGAAGGGTACACACATCTTCTGAGAAGACAGAAACTCATCAGCTTGAGGAGAAAATGCCAAGTTTAAAGTGAGGCTTGTTAGAGAAGAAGCTATCACAGTTTATTAAATTAGCTTTCTCTCCCAGTGAGTGTTTGATGTAAATGGCAAGGGTTCGAAGGTCAAACAGGAAGAAGTATGTGCTTTAATTTCTCCCCCCTAGAGGTGCATGAATGTTTTCTATTAACGAAAACCCTGTAGCCAACAAATCCTAGGCTTGGATCAAACAGCCCTCCATCTTTTAAGTTATAACATCACAAGGAGACATTTCAAGAGGAAACCATGCCCAGTCAGACCTGCAGTACCAGAGAGAGGGCTGCTTCTGCCCTTTGGGAATTTGAAAAATATCTTCCTTTTTGCTGAAAATGCTTAGTGACAGACAAAAATATCCCCAAATAGTTATTCCTGATCGGTGGACAGGGGCGACATTGAAAGTGGGCAGGGGCTGAGATGGAGCTATTTGTACCTCTGGCCAAGGGAATTAGGTAACTTTGTACAACTCCCTTTGGCTAAGGCAATTAGGAATGGACATTCTGTCATCCAGCTTGGTCCACTGGGGTATGTATAAGTTAGGTAATAATAGCCAGTACTTAACTTGTGCTTAGCATGGTATGCAGTGCATAGTAAATGCTCAATAAATAGGAACTAATAATATTATAACACTTCCCCTTTTCCTCATCCTTAATAACAGGAGATTCATCCTCCTCATCTATCATCCCCACACACCCAGGACTCTTCCTGGCTGCTCAAATCTAGAAGTGAGGAGTAGAGTATAAAATTCTGAAGACTTAGCATTATGTATCCTCACATGAAGAAAAAGCAAACACTTCCTGAGACCTCTGGCATCAGGCATTGTGCTAGATATTCTTACAAACCTCATCTCATTTAACTCTACAACGACGGTGGAAACAGCCCTGATTTTTACAGTAAGAAACCTGAGGTTCAGAAGGATAGCAAAAGAGCTTGGATTAAAATCCCATTTCTCCTAAACAGGCTTTTGTGAGTTGGCCTGAGAGCGGGGTCTGCTTTTATAACCCCTCTATGTGAATGTTGTTCCAGACAACAGACTCTGAAACGAGCTTTGAAATCCAGACTCTTTGTAAACTGGGGATTCCTGGAATCATCCATATCTCTCGCCTCCTTTGGGGAAGGTCTCTGCACTACTTAAAAATGGCTTTTAGTTTGGAGGACTCACTCCTTCTTCAAAATCACATCCACAAAGCCCACAAAGGTAAGCATTCCTGGGAGATTGGAAAATGGAAAAAGTCTCAGGGCAACTGGCAGCTCAGTTATAAGACGGAAATAAAAAACCAAGTTGAAGGTTTATAGAAAACACACAGAGGAAGAATGAAGCATAGTAATTGTTTACAGGCCACTCGTGGGCTGTCTAAAAATGCCATAAATAAGAAATACAGCTTGGGACAGACTAGCTTAAAAAGAGTTAATCCCTGAAACACAATCCTCCAGGGAACATGACCCATGGGCATCCATCAAGCAAAAATCTCCACCATTGCTTATGAACAATCTCCCATGATTTCCCAGAGCTGACCCTCATCCCCTGCTGTTCCCAGCTTGCTTACTAACTAATCCCCCAGTAGAATGTTCACTCCAGGAAAGCAGGGCTGTATTTGGTTGACTTTTCTATCCTAGGTATCTACCAGAGTACCTGGCTAGTAACAGACTTTAAATATATGTTAAATAATTATTTAGTTTCTTATTTATTTAATTTTCCTGGTTAAATTGTTTCAACATGAGAATCATTTCTAATGTTTTAAAGGTGTTCTACAGTGATGTGAATGCTTTGAGGAAAAAGACATTTATAGAATTCTAATGTGATGATAAAAGTAAGAATAGCTCAATGTTTATCTACACAATTTTGATCTCAGTCTTGTAACTAAGAGAACCAGTGTATGAAAGTCAAATTCTAACGAAATGGAAGATACTTGAATTCACTGGATAAGACACACAGCTTGGCAGGCTGTATGCACAATGTGTATTGAAAGAAAGAATAATGGAGGAACATACTGTTATGTTAGTAGACCTCCCACCTCTTCATTCAATGTCAGACATTTTGGAAAATAGTACCACAATACTCTCACTTCAATAATTTATGAGCAAAAAACACTAAATGAAAATTCAACAAGAAATTTACCAGGTTACATGCAAGTCCTATATAATCTTGATTTGCATCAAATAGAAGACAAATTTTTATGAGGAAGATAAACTCAAAAAGGATGTTTTCATACTTCACCTCAATAATATTTTACTATGTCATAATGAGATTCTCTGTACAATGAATTCTCTATAACTGTCCCGAATAGATTTTAATTTTTTGGGAACTAGAAACCTCTCAAAAATCATTTATAAAAATCATGTATTTTAGTTTCACTAATTAGATGAAACAATTGCAGGCTGTTTAAAAACCACATCCAAAAGTACCAATTCTCTTTGTAACTTTTCTCAGTATCATCATAGAACAGACACAGCCAACCAGAAATTAGAGATGGACAAACAGAGATTGGTCAAAGAATTGAAACTTACAAAACATAAATCATAAAAGCATCTACCACCAGCTACTTAAAAACCCAGTTCTATCTATAAAACATATTATATTTTGAAGCTGTATCTGTAGTAATATGTTTGTAAAATGTAAACCCCACCAGCATGGACAATTCCAAACCACAATCACATCACCTCACAAAAAGTTGAAATTATATTCAAATACATAAAGTATTAGAATTGCCTTCTAAACTAATTGATTTGAATTCTTCTACTAACCAAATGAATTAAGCAGTTCCTGGCACTATGGTTGACGTAACACCACCATGCATTTCCTTTGTTTCATGTCTGTCTTGAAATTAGGTATGGCAGGTGCTAAGTAGATAATCAGTTACATTTTTTTTTTAAAAAAGGAGGTCCAGCATAACCAAGACACTAGCCAAAATGATCAAAATCATTCCCTGTAGTCTACTGCCAGTGGAATGGTAACAGTGATAATTGTAGTAAATATTGGTGTCACCTCTCTGCTATCCAAATCACTGGATTGTGTAGGTCATAAAATGTGAGTAGAATCAACCCAGCTCTAGGAGCTTTGGGCTCTAGGAGTAGGTCCTGATTGGCATAAACTAATGTAATCCCATTCTCTTGTATTCCACTAAGGTCCAATCAGAGTGAGCCCAAGGCATCCTTCAAAGCCTGGGGGGAGAAAGGTGCCCTCTTCTACTGAATGTACTCATTTTACTACAGGCAAAACCAGCCTGAGGATAAACTGACAGCCAGGGGGTGACAGAGCCAAGAGAGTAAGAGAAAAAAATGGAACCAGCCAGAGGGATCCTTCTAAGCAAAAGCCAACTCCCTTGCTCTTGTGCCTAAAACCCTCCAGTGGCTTCCCATTTCAGCCAGAACAAAATCCAAACTTGTTCTCCACAGTGATCCTATCCTCGCTCATCTTCCTTTATTCCCACCTTTCTTCAGTGCCTTCTTTCAGCCCTTCACACACACTGATCTCCTTCCCTCCACAGGTCTCTGTATGCTTTATTCCTTACTCCAGGTCCTCCTAGGCTGCTACCAATCATCATTCATGCCTCCACTCAAATATCAGCACCCCCAAGAAGCCTTCTTTGAACTCCATGTTAACCTACTTTATGTCCTTCACAGAACTGGTCAGGGTCCAACATTACATGTACTTAGCATTTACATGTTTAAATATTTATCTCCCTCTTATAAGAATGTAAGCTCCTTAAAGGCAGGGACTCTGTTCTATCCATCAGTGTGCTCCCAGCTCCCAAAGCTGTGCTTGTGCATAACAGAAGTTCAATCTACAGTTTCTTGCAGATTGACTAACTAAACCCAAGATTCTACACAGGCCACATTGACCCAAAAATCCTAAATAATGCTTTGTTTTTAGCTGAAAACAAGAACTGCAAAACTCACAGCTCTCTTGAAGATTTCTATACACCCTGGATTACACTTTATTATTTCTAATCCTGGATGTCATTATTATTTAAATAATAAAAGCAAATTTCCTTTGAGAACAATGTCACTCGAAAGAAAATCAATTTGTAGTAGCAGAACTTAGTCCACATCCGGAAGATAAAAAACACATCTGAATACGTGTGTGTGTGTATGTGTGTGTGTGTATGTGTATGTGTGTGTGTGTGTGTGTGTGTATGTGTGTGTGTGTGTGTGCGCGCGCTCTCAAAACTTGACAATAAATGAATATGTGAAAACTTTTTTGGTTATGGAAATGTTATAAAACCAGATAGTGGTGCTCATTGCATAATGCTACAAATTTAATAAAAATCATTAAATTATTTAAAAATCGATAATAAACAGCCCAATTTAAAATTAGCAAAGGTTTTGATATTTCACCAAAAAAGATATACTAATGGCAAATAGGCACATGAAAAAATGCTCAGCATCATTGTTCATTAGAGAAATATTCACTAAAACAACAATGAGATACCATTTCACACATTTTACAATGACTTATATTAAAATGACAGATTCTACCAAGTTGTGGTGAGGCTGTGGAGCAACCAGGACTTTCATACATTGCTGGTGGGAATACAAACTAATATAGCCCCTTTGGAAAATAGACTGGCAGTTTCTTATAAAGTTTAACATACACTTAACATATGGCACAGTAATCCCACCCCTAGAAATATGAAAACTTACATTCAACCCAAAACTACTATTAAACCCTGAATGTTTAATAGTAGATTTGAAACATCAAAAAACTCCCAGCCTAGGCAACATGGTGAAACCCTATCTCTACAAAAAATACAAAAATTAGCCAGGCATGATGGTGCATGTCTGTGGTCACAGCCACTCAAGAGGCTGAGATGGGAGGATCACTTGAGTCCAGGAGGTGGAGGCTACAGTGAGCTGTGATCATGCTACTGCACTCCAGCCTGGGTGACAGAGCAAGACCCTGTCTCAAAACAAAACAAAACAAAAAACTACAAAAACTCAAATGTTCTTTAATTAGTGAATGGGTAAGCAAACTGTGGCATATCTGTACAACAGAATGGTACTCAGCAATAAATAGGAATTAACTACTGATACATACAACATGGATGAATCTCAAATGCACTGTGTTAAATGAAAGATGCCAGACTCAAAATGCACACCATAATGTTTCCATTTATCCTCTTCTGGAAAAGGCAAAACTATAGATATGGAGAATATATCGATGGTTTCCAGGAGTTTCAGGTGGGGAAAGGACTGACTATAAAGGAGCAGCATCAGATAATTTTGGGGGGTGATGATACTGTTGTATATCTTGACTGTGGTGTTGGTTACATGACTGCATTTTCAAAATTCATGAAACTTCAACAAAAAGTGTATATTTTCACTCCCATTAGGATAGCTACTGTAAAACAAATAAACCAAACAAACAAAAAACAAGTATTGGTAAGGAGGGGAAGAAATTAGAACCCTTGTGCATTGCTGGTGGGAAAGTAAAATGGTACACCCACTATGGAAAACAGTACGGCAGTTTCTCGGACAAACAGAATTACCATATGATCTAGCAATTTCATTTCTGGGCACATGCTCAAAAGAACTGAAAGCAGACCCAAACAGATATTTGTACACTCATGTTTGTAGTAGCATTATTCACAGTAGCCAAAAGGTGGAAGCAAGCCAAGTGTCCATTGATGGATGAATGGATAAACAAAATGTGGCACATATACACAATGGAATATTATTCAGCCTTAGAAAGAAAGGAAATTCTGACACATGCTACGCATGGATGAACCTTGAAGACATTATGCCAAGTGAAGTCAGTCACAGAAGGACAAATGTTGTTTAATTCCACTTTTATGAGGTACCTAGAGTAGCCAAATTCAGAGAGATAGAAAGTAGAACAGTGATTGCCAGGAACTGGCGAGAGGGAGGAATGGGGCATTATTGTTCAATGGTACAGAGTTTGGGAAGATGAAAAAGTTCTAGAGATGGATGGTGATGATGGTTACACGACAATATGAAAAGTATTTAATGCCACAGAACTGTACACTTTTGGCCACGCCTAAAAGAGCTACTGGGAAATATACCTGAATTGAAGAGGAATAAGAACCCAAATTCCTCCCTTCACATCACCCTTCTGCTTGTATGCTGTCAGCCGCCTGGCTTTCTTTCAGTTCTTAAACTACACCAAGGTCCTGTCTCTCAAGACCTCTACAAAGCCTCTTCCTTCTGTTGGAATGCTAGACCCCCTAAACCGCTCCCCTGGTTGGCTCCTCCTCCTTCTGCCAAGTCCCCTCCCAACCTCTCCGTTGATTGGTTCCTCCTTCTACTAGGCCCCCAGCCCCTCCCCTGATTGGCTCCTCCTTTCCATCACTGCTTCAGATTCCCTTTTAGAGTTGTCGCTCCCGCTAACCCTTGTCCAATAATGATTTATGGGGTACTTCTAAGTGCCAAGCACCATTCTACAGGAATATAGCATTGAACAATACAGTGCTTACCTGTGAGAGGTTAGGGGGCATGACGAACACTAAAAGAAACAGGGTAGGAAACAATGAGGAAGGGCAAGGGACGGTGCTGTTTCAAAGAGGGTTGGCAAGGATACTTCTTGCTGTTCCCAAGCAAGAGGAGCAGCAAGTTCAAAGGTTCTGGGTCAGGAATGTGCTTGGAGTGCTGAAAGAACAGAGTTATATGCAAGGGGGGGGGGGAAGGTAAAAGATAAGGTCACAAAGGTGGCAGGGGCCAGATCACATACAGCTGTGAAGGCCACCAGTAATTCAGGATTTTACTGAGTCAGATGAGAACCTTTAGGGAGTTTTAAGCAGAGGTATGACATCTGACTTGCATTTCTAAAAGATCTCCTTGGCACTTTTTTTTTTTTTTTTTTTTTTGGTAGAGACAGGGTCTCACCATGTTGCCTACACTGGTCTTGAACTCCTGGCCTCAAGGGGTCCTGCCACCTCGGCCTCCCAAAGTGCTGGGATTACCAAAGTGAGCCACCACACCCAGCCCAGCCTGCCCTTGGTACTCTTTCTAAAGGCCCCATGTTTCCTTCAAAACATTACTCAAAATTTACAATGTATATTTATAAGATTATTTGTTTAATGTCTATTTCCCCTAGCAGGCTGCATATTTCATAAGAGTAGGAACCAAGTCTCTTTGTGACAACATAAACTCAAATCCAAGCATAATACCTGGCACATAGTCTGTGTTCAATAAAGATTTGTGAAATGAATTAACTAATGAAGTCTAACCTCTAGGATAAAGCAGCTTCAAGTATATAGTTTGCAAGTACACAATCATTTTTGTATGTTTTACATTCCTAAATGTAGCCCAACTTTCTCTAGGTGAATATATTAAACATTAGAACCAACTAATACTTAGAGTCTACTTAGAGTCCTAATGTGCTTGATACTGTAGCAGATACTTCTACTCACCTGAAACATTCTTAATCTTTAGTAGCAGATAAAGACCCTAGACATTTCCTGGTAATTCTAAAGTAATGAAATGGACACATTAAACACAGTAGTAAAAGCTAAATTTGTAACAGTAACTACTAAAAAGTTACAAAGTCTACCATTTAAGGGCTGCTGGGCAATGTCTGTGGTCTAGACATTTTTTGAGTCCTCATGATGTGACACAGACAGGGGTAACCATACCAGGACTACGCAGATGAGTAAGTCTGTGTTCTTTCCTGCAAGAGCTCATGCTCTAATAAGTAATCTCCAGGATGTTTTACTGCTTGTAACTCTTGCCTACATTTGTTATCTGAATATGTGCAAATAATGTATTTGCCTCTTTTATGGTCATCTGAAATTATACTATCTCAAGTTTAAAACACTCCTAACAAATGTGTTTGGTTCATAATTAGCACACAGGCTAACCCCCCTGAAGACTACAGAAGTGGCAAATTTCCCCTTTTCATAAATGGTTCAGTGAAGCCAATTCTGGATCAAATAGCCAAGACTGCAACAGAAAACAAACAAACAAACCCAATCTATGTTCTCCAGGTTTTCCCCCAAAACCACTCAGGGCAGCAACAACAGCAGCAACAACTCTGTGACTAACAGTCCCCTAGAAAGGGAGCAGAAAAAGCGGCAAAAAGCACTGGCTGTCTCCTGCAGTGGCCAAGGGCAACTCTTGTTCAGGCACCACCAAGCAAAGTTATGGAAACCAACCCATTTCAGCACATCCTGTCTTTGGGCTGTCATGAGAAATATAGGCTTTAGAGAGAGCCAATCAATTAAAGCGGATTGTGTTAGAACAAAGAAGGCCAGTATTCTGGCAGAGGCACACGGAGTAATCCAAGTGGGGAAAAAAAAAATCCCATGAAGTTTCATGTGAGTTAGCAAATGATAGAGGATGGACAAGAAACCCAACAGGTCTTTCTACACCTCTAGTCCCTTAGAAATGAATGCAATGATCACAGAAAAACTCTTAAAATATTTAAATACACAGACATATGCTACCAGTAATACAGACATGAAAATATCCTGAAACCATTTATAAATATTATACATTTATATCAGAGATGATATACTTCCAATTTTCTTCTTCAAATATCTTTTAATGGTAATATACAGCACAGTAATTGCCATGGGTTCACGGCTTCTCTGTAATATATTTTTTCCTATATAGAATCCTTACCTTATTTTCAAGTGACATGGAAATAAAACTACTGTAAGCTGGTTAAATTTTTATATATAGAGTCAAGCAGACTGATGAATCTATATTTCAGCATATTTATAGATCATTAATTTCCAGCAATTTGTTTTTTGAATTAAGATTTTATTTAAAAGAAAGCAAGAAAAGTTGGCCACCATATACTAGACTCAGTTTCTGTTTTTCCTTAACATAAGCCTTATCAGCTCTGCCACAGCTGAAGTGATTCCAAATTGCTTTATGACACACTTGGATTTTCTCCTGCTAATAATTCCTCCTTCCTGCCCATGACTGGCAGGCTTCTTCCACACTGCAGTAATGTGGGACAGCTAATTATCTACCAATCCACCTTGCTATTCCATACTTGGCGACTTTTATCTGCACAGGACAGCTGCACTCTCTGCGTTTGAAGTAAAATGTCAGTCTCTGCTAATGCAACAAGACTTACATCCCTAATGATGTGTCCACACTTTGAAGAAACAACTCAAAGCCTAATTAAAAATTCAGATTCATTTTCACTGGTTTGCCAATTTTCACCGTCCTTCCACCAGGGCCTTGAATATCTTTAAAAATACTCCATGCAAAAATAAAATAAAATGAAAATCCAAGGGGAAGCAAGAAAAAAAAATGCTGCCGTCTTGGGCTTTGACTGCATCTTTATAATAACTGTTATGGTTGGAAGAGAACCAAGACATTATCATGTACAAGATAAGAATTTACTCCCCTGGCTTCCACTCTACAATTACAATAAAGCATACTATATCCAGAGAAATATGGACCATAAGCTACTTTTTACATTCCCCACTCTGGTGTTTAGGTGTTGGAACTTTTCAAACTGTAATTAACTCTGAAATCATTTGACTGTGCAAATCTGAAGTAGAGAAAGCTACCTTTGAACTCAGAAAAAAAGAGGGCAAGGTAAAGAAACATTTAAATGACATTTAGTTTGTTCCATCATCAAATTAAATGAATGATTCCTCCAAAGTAGTAATCCTACTGCAATTTTCACCCAAAAAAAAAAAAAGGGAGAGAGAGAGAAAGAAACAACTTCATATCCCCTTAATGACTAGGGAGAGAGATGTAGGTCATAAAATCCAATTTCAAAATAGAACTTTACCTGAAAATTACAGGTGGAATTTTCTTCTGTGGCTTTTACATAAACAAACACAAAACAAAGTCATTCCTCCTCTAAAGTATTTTTAAATAACTTACCTTTTCAGTAAAAAAAAAAATAAAAAAATAAAAATTGTTTGGATGGTACTGGTTCGCAATGATAGTTATTGACCACTTACCTTTGCACTTAAAAAAAAAATCTAACAACATTCTAGTAAGTCTAAGAATTTTTTAACTTTCTTCACTGGCTCACTGACTTCTAGGTATTTAACAACTTAAAAATCTAGTCAGCTGTCAAATGAGACCATCAGCTTTAAGTTTACAGCCATTAAATCATTAAGCCAAACTTTCTTTTCAAAAGAGGAATGTATACTACTATGTCAAGTTTTCTTTTTCATTCTAAGAGAAAAATGCGGAAAAAAAAGGGGCCCCCACAGTATAATATCACGAAAAGGGTCAAAAAACAAGAGTCTAAAACCAAAACATGAGTTCTGAATCTGTCACTTACTACTGGTGTGCTCTCCAGAGAGCCACTTCCTCGCTGGGCCTCAGTTTCTGTAAAATGAACATTTGTAAAACAAGCAGGGCAGATTTGACTGTCTCTCTGGTCCATCCCTGTTCTCATAGCAGCCAGTGATCTGTAGATCTGAGAGGTCAGGGAGAAATGGCAGGCCTGATAAGCCTGGATTTGCACAACTCCACAGGAGGGACCACACTGGGCAGCCAGCCTGTCTTTGGAGCAGAAGCAGGGAGTCCACCTTGCAGGCTCCAACTGGACTTGGGGAGGCAGAATCCAGAAATGTAGCAGGCCTTGGCAACTGGTGACTGCTGAAGTGTCTGAGTCTGAAGTCACTTTGGCTGAGTTTTCTAGGTTCTAAGCTTTCTCCAGATTTTTGTTTCTTCTCCTCAGAGCACACCACCTCCAAATACAAGGAACTTGGGCACAAGCAGCAGCTAGTTCCCAACTCAAACACTGATAAGCTACTGCCAGCCATATTGAAATAGAGGGGAGAACCTATTTAAGAAGTAGGCAAGCAAAGGGAGAAAAACAGCATACTGGCCACATGCTTTGAGCCCCAATCCAGTCCTGCCCAAAGATCTACCCCAGACACTTCAACCGCATAGGGTGGTAGCTTCCTTTCTTGCCAGTGTGAGTTGAGTGTTCTGCTGCCCGCAGAACAAGTCTTTACTGACATGAAGGATCCAAGAAACAGCCCCCAGCTTGACCTCTGCCTATTTCTCCCACCTCTATTTATGCCCTTTCTTCCCACTAGTTCTCTAAACTCCAAAACCATAATGCCATCTTTCCACTCATCAAAGGTGCTATGCTTTTCCTCAAAAAGGAGCCTTCTGGGAGGTCCACTCTTTCACTAACCAACTCCTAATTCATTCCACTTTCTTAGGGAGGCCTGCCAGAATCCCTCTGTGCCCTTAAATAGGTTAACATCCCTGACACTTTCTCCAAGCATCCTGAACCTCCTCTCATAACATTCATTACATCAGAAATTAACTGATGGGTAGGTATCTCAAACCTAACATAGTGCCTGGCACCAAGTAAACATTCATCTGTGTTGAAGTCATTATGATGACAAGCTCATATCTCAAAGCAATCCATTCTAGAACTCTTCTATCAGAAAGTTCTCCTTTGTATCACAAAGAAATTGGCTTCCCCATAACCTGCACACAAGCACTGCATTTTCTTTTTGTAACCCGCTGAATAATTCTAACCCAGACACTGCAAATTGGTGGCCTTTGGCCCTATCCAGCCTGCAGACATGTTTGGTTTGGCCCACATAGTGTGTTTTTCTTTTTTTTTTTTTTTAAACTGAATTAGTTGCCAAAAATTTAAAGATATTTTATGGAAAAAACAGACACCCAGCTTCTCATAAAAAACAAAGTCATGTGACAACATTGGACCCACATGGCTACTGGGCAACAGAGTAACTGAGTGGTCCTGCCCCCCTTCACCCTTGGCACATGTCCTCCAGCTTGCAACATCCAGCACCACTCCCTGCTTACCTACACCTGGTCCACTTCATTCATTGTGTTGAACTGACCTCTAGAAACATGAATTCGATATAGCAACCCTGGGTGTACTCTAGATCCCATATTTTAGCGTTTATTTCTATATTGTCTTGAGCCATCCAAGTTGGTTTAGCCTCTCTGGATAGGACAGAGCTCTGGGGTCTTAGGGGGAGGCACTGGATGTCCTGTATCACTCTCAGCCTCCCTGCAATAAGGAATCCAGTGAATATTTGCTGACAGACTGATCAGAAGACATTATATATTAGTCCAGCTCTTCCTCTTCAATCTGCCTCTCTTCTCTCCCAGTTACAGCTATCTCGCTTAGTCCTTTTCTGACTCTTGTCTCTTCTGGAAGGGGGAGAGAACAGGGACAAGCAGTAGATGCAGTTCATATTGCAGTAGTCCAATGTGTGTGCCTAGACTATATGCCAGCCTTTAAGAAAAACAAGGACCCTCCCAGTCTTGTGGAGAAAGCCAGGCATGAAATCAAGGGCCAGACAGCACAATTAGGGACAGACCCAGAGGAGCTTCCCCAAAGAAGCTTGGCATTACAACTGGAAGGCTGGGGAATTTGCTGGGCAAAGGTATTAACTAATTTGTAAAAATCTAGGAGAGTCACCAATGGTTTTATTCAGGCACATCATTGTTAAAAAATGTAGCCTAAACAACCTCCAAAATATTTATATTTATTTGTGAATTGTAAATTTTATATACTAGTGTACCAATATATTATACATATTATAAAACATTACAAATATAGAAATTAAATAAGGATACAATAAACATGTCATAGATGAAATTATGTGATATTTGGAATTTGCTTCAAAATAATCTGGGGGGGCCGGGCGCGGTGGCTCACGCCTGTAATCCCAGCACTTTGGGAGGCCGAGGCGGGTGGATCACGAGGTCAGGAGATCGAGACCATCCTGGCTAACAAGGTGAAACCCCGTCTCTACTAAAAATACAAAAAATTAGCCGGGCGCGGTGGCAGGCGCCTGTAGTCCCAGCTACTCGGGAGGCTGAGGCAGGAGAATGGCATGAACCCGGGAAGCAGAGCTTGCAGTGAGCCGAAATTGTGCCACTGCAGTCCGCAGTCCGGCCTGGGCGACAGAGCGAGACTCCGTCTCAAAAAAAAAAATAAAATAAAATAATAATAATAATAATAATAATAATAATAATAATAATAATCTGGGGGGAAGAGCAAGTGGAGGCAGAGGTAGAGATGAAACCAGCCTGACCATCAATTAATAACTGTCTAAGCTGGGTGAGAGGTATGTGGATATTCATATGCTATTTTATTTACTTTTGTATATGTTTTTAAATCTTTGTAGTTTAAAACTAAAGAAATAACTATGACTAGCCAGGTCTAGCATTTTCTTCAGAAAGCCCCAAGCATGGCTTTGCACCACATCCAAAGGTCCGTGAACCATATCTTAAAAACCTGGGGGCAGAGGATTGACCATATTGAAATCTGCAGGTCTACAAATTAGATTTCAGTTTCATTCAGGCTTAGGAGCTACATGTTTACCACCTTCCCGGTTCTGTGCCCTGGCACTAAATGAACTGCTCTCATATTTACATTTCTGTTTATTGACTGCTCCTACCTTAGGCCCTGAGCTAGACACTTGGTTATCCTTTAAAATATATTTACTCCCATTAGCTACATGAAATACAAAGACACTAAAGTTCAGAGTGATTTAATAACATGACAGAAGTTACACAGTTAATAACTAACTGGCTGAGTCAAAATTCTTGTCCCTGTTGTCCCTTCATATTTTGACTTTCAATAAATTCTTACTCCAAGGTCCAAGCATATCTAAAATAAATCCCACTCCATCTAATACCAAAATTCCAGAGTTCTGCAAGGTTCCTGCCTGCTCATCCACTTAAGCTCAAGGAAGGAACTCCTCAAGCAGCAACCAGAAATAGCAGCAACATGTTACTAAGTGTAAAACCATCTCCTCTCCCTCCCCCAAGCCCTTCCAGACTCAAGTACTATTGGCAGGAAAAACATAATAAGCACAAGGAATAAGGCCAGCAAAGATAGGCATTAGTGAGAAGGAAGTCCAGGAAGTGCTAAGCACAACAGAGACAGTTTATCAGAAGTCATTCAACATGCTTTTTCTTGGGCTCATTCCTGACAAGTTCAACTCAGAGTCATCCGTCAATGGACAGTTTTCTTCTATTCTAAATATCCATTTTCAAAAGAAAGCAACACAGCAGTTTTTCCACTAAGGCTTATATGGTACACAAGGCGTAGAATCAAATCACATTATTTGCATATACAGGTGATTTTTCCTTCGAAAATATTCTATATTGCGTAATTACACATTCAAATCATTCTAAACCAGCCCTGTCCTGTTATGATGCATGTGATTTAGAGGAAATTACACATCTTACCAAACATGACTGCAAATCAGCTTGCAGTTATAATAGAGCCAGCAAGATATTTATGTCCAATAACCACAGAAGCTCTAGGATAATGGCCAAAGAAATGAGACATGGGAGCCATATGAAGGGGCACAGGAGTCAGAGTCCTGTTCAGGTGTTCAAGATACACGAGCTACCTTGTCCAGTGCCACCAAAGGAATCAGAAACATCTAATGAACTACTGATTTGGCTACCCTTCATGTGTGAAGCTGCTGCTGCTGCTGCTGCTGCTGCTGCTTCCTTCAGGACTGGCCTGTGTGTGTGGACATTTCACTGAAAAGGACAATGGAGAAGTAGCTAACTTCCTTGACTTCACCAGAGGGGCTTGGGCAAGGCTCCTCTATGCTCCCATAATATCCTGTTTCTCTCTCTACCACTGCACTAACCTACTGCAGTGTAATGCCTCTATGTCTCTCGCTAACCACCTGTATCATAATGCCTCTTTTTGTGTCTATTTCCATCATTAGTTGACAGATTAAGGGCATGGACTAGGCTTTAGTCACCTGTGATTGCCAGTTTAATCTAACCCCACTTTGGGAGGCCGAGGCGGGTGGATCACGAGGTCAGGAAATCGAGACCATCCTGGCTAACATGGTGAAACCCCGTCTCTACTAAAAATACAAAAAAAATTAGCCGGGTGTCGTGGCAGGCGTCTGTAGACCCAGCTACTCAGGAGGCTGAGGCAGGAGAATGGCGTGAACCCGGTAGGCAGAGGTTGCAGTGAGCAGAGATCACGCCACTGCACTCCAGCCTGGGTGACTGAGCAAGACTCCATCTCAAAATATAAAAAATAAATAAATAAAATCTAACCCAAGACCCTTCATAGAGCAGAAGCTCCCCAAAATTTTGTTGGATATATGCGAAAATGAATAATGCAGGACAGGCACAGTAGCTCACATCTGTAATTCCAGAACTTTGGGAAGCCAAGGTGGGAGGATCACTTGAGGCCAGGAGTTCAAGACCAGCCTGGCCAACAGAGTGAGACTCCATCCCTACAAAAAATTACAAAATTAGCAGGGTGTGATGGTATGTGTGTGTAGTCTCAGCTACTCAAGAGGACTGCTTGAGCCCAGGAGTTTGAGGTTACAGTGAACTATGATCACATCACTGCACTCCAGCCTAGGTGACAGAGCAAAGATCCTGTCTCTTAAGAAAAAAAAAAAAAAAAAAAGGAAGGAATTTAGTGCATTGTTGTTTTACTGCATACAAAGAAGCGTTGCTCTTTAATTCCAGCTGTAGTCAGTATTTACAACATTGCTTTATATCTTTGACACTTCTGCCCCAGCTGAGTCCTTCAGTTCCTGAACATGCCTCTGTTCTAGCTGCTGCTTTTTCTTCAATTGGAGTTGAAGCTCCAGTTCTTGCTTCTGGTATTTCTTCTGCCCTGACTGGAAGAAACCCTGCTCCTCCCTCCCTCCCAGGCCTCATCCAGCAGCTGTCTGACCAACCTGCTGGTCTGTCTGCCAAGTTCATAGTAAGTGTGCCCAGCCCAGCAGAGTTGGGCTAACTTTAAGGCAGGCACACTGGCCTTGTGCCAGGCCCTTGCTGTTAGGAAGCCTGTACTGTCCTATAATGTTAAATGGGCCTTATAAGTGCCTGGCGAAATGGCTCCCAGAGCCAGATATGCCTTCTAACAAGCAGGCATTGTTACTTAGCTGGTTTACCTGTGCAATCTTATCTCCTCCTCGAGAATGTAAACTCCTTAAGGAGTTGTGCTGGAATACGTCCTTGTAAAATCCCCTGAATACCCAGCATAGAGCTCCATGCTCAGTAAGCTTCCAATAATCATTTCTCCATTTGAGAACAACCACATCCATCAATATTTCTCAGCCCTGGCTTAACATTAACAGATGCCTTTACATGCACTATTTCCTTTAAGTCCACAGAGCAAATCTTGAGGAAGAATCACCATCCTCAATTTTACAGATAAAATCACCCAACTTGCAAATGGCAGAGCTGGAATCCAGGTCTCTACCTACCCAATGTGGGGCTCTTTCCACTCCACGATGCTGCTTGATAAAAACTTGTTGCATGAATAAATAGGCAAAAACCCGTCTCCCTGGACACAGCCACTTACTGCTCCCAGACCTCAATGCCACCATGGCTCCTCTGCACCAGACCCATGAGGAGATGATGATTAGGTTTTTGACTTTTATCCATGATGTATGATGTCTGCTGTCAGGGGAACAGTATTCAGTGACAGCTTTCCCAGAGTACTGGCAAAATTGGTTGGCACAACTTATTTAAAGATTTTTTAAAATATATTTTGTCCATTATTAAAAAGGAACAACAAAAATCATGAGTAGGCAGCCCCCACTGGAGAATTTTCCAAGAAAATCTTCAAGGTAGACGCTTTTCAAACTGTCTTCTCTATCAGCAAGTGCGAAAACTACGTCATGGGAAACTATAGTGCTAAAAGAAGCCTAGGTTTTTGTTTTTGTAAAATTACCCCCTTGCAACTCCTTATAAGCAGTAAGTGCTGCCACTTGAAATGCTGCAAAACAACAGGCCTGGTTTGAGGGCTACTTTATAATTTCTCAAACTTTAAAATCGTCTTTCGAGAATTTCAGCAGCAGAAGCAATATAAAAGTCTGAACATTGGCTTTTTACATATAAAGAGGCCTATAGAATGTTTCTCATAAAGTGAGATGGTGTCCTGAAAGGCCTGTACTATGCTCAAAATGCCAAGGTCAAATGAAAGGAGTCAATCCCTTAAGCAAGGGAAGACATTCTTTTCCAAAGAGACACAACTATCCCCCTCTCCACCCCCACCCTGACCATCTTCGTAGGAAGTCACACCTTAAAGCCTATGTGAGGCTTACCTCTGAAAAACAGATTAGCTCCACCTCTATAAAATCCATCATGCTGCAGGGAGGGCTATATAACCTACACTTTAGGTAACTAAACCCACATAATTTCAGACCCACTGAACAAATCCCAAAGGTTTACAGATGAGAATGTGGGGCTCAAAATCTTTGTTCTAAGGCCAAAAATCTAACCTGCATTCGACTTTTTTTTTTCCGACCAGTCTAACTAAATTAAAAAGAGACACTTTCTGCAATTTTCCCAGTTAGAAGCAAGTGGCAGATCAATGTACAGCTCAAGAAGCAGAATTTAAATACAGTATGTGTGTCTCCTTTCAAAAAAGGAGAGAAGCCACTTCACATTTTGCCAGACAAAACCCTGTCCACAGGAGGTCCGTTTCCACAATGAGGTTGCAAAGGTGTTAGAAAGAGGCCAGTTGGGAGGAGATAAAGGACCATTTGGGCACAAACCCCCCACCGATCAGAGCTTTTTTTCGAAGTGTCTTTTTCAACAGGGCAGCCTTTTAAAACTACATTTGCTTAGGATCCCTACCTGAATGACAATGTGTTGGGATCCAATTTCACCTTTTGTCAAGGACTGGGTGAGAAACAGTAAAATGGCTGTCAGCATCTTAGAAAAAGCAAGTCCTTAGCTTACAAGGAAAAGGCGTGGGGGGGCGGGATAGGGGGGAATCCTAAGATTTCTTGTCCAGCCCTAGGGATGGAGTGAAGGTGGCAAGTGCCTACAAATCCTACAAGCAGAGTCCACAACTCCAATATATTAAGTTTCCTTTATTAAAAGAGGTGCCTCAATGCAAAAATACAATTGTGCTCTGAATGGAAATATTCACCACTGTTTTTTTAATCCTAGTTTTCTATCTTTTCTAAAAGTCACTTCACTCCTAAGAACTCAGCAATAATCAGAAATCAGAAAATGCATATGGAAAAAATTGCAACTGAATCTGAACCTGAAAGATCGGCATAGTTGAATGATGCATCTTAAAAGCTTATCTATTATTATGCAAATCAAGAAAACCCAACTCCATTGCACTTCAGGGCTGGGTGTCTGCAAATAAATGCAAAATTACCTTTCAAAATCCATCCACTCCTCAGTCCTCATGTCACCCTTTAAAAAATTCCGGTGGTCTTTCCCCACAGTAGAGAAGGTCTGTGGAACTTTCCTCAAGAAAATTGTAACCTCTTGGGAGGAGATTGGTGTGGGGAAGTGGAAAGAAGAGGAAGGAAGAAGGAAAAAGAAAAGAAAGAGGAGGAGAAGAACGAGAAGGAGGAGGAGGAGGAAGAAGAAGGAAGAAAGAAGAGAAGGAGAAGACGAGGAGGACGACGCGACGAAGAAGAAAGAAGTAAGAAACCTAAATCCCAAAAGTGACTTAAACACCTCTCCCGGTGGGAGGTGGAAGGAGTGGTCACAGTAGGATGGAAATCAGAAACCTATTCCAAGAACGCATTCTTGGAAACTTCAATCTTTCGAAGACCACATTCATCCCCATGATTGTTAGAATGTGTAAGAGAATGGTGTTATTTTATCTAAGAATGTTATAGCAAAGGTTTCAAGCTGGGAATGTCATCTCAACCTCTCCTAATCTAGTGGGCCTTTATGGCCAAGTGGATTAAAATAACAGCGGGGCAGAATCTCCAGGTGGTTGGTGTTCAGCAATTTTTACTACTGTTGGTCGTGAGTAACATCATCAGGATTCCTTACTAGCTGCGGGCAGTTTTTCTGTCAGCCCTCCTTCCTCTCCCGAGGAGGACGGACATGATAAACAATCTGGAGAAATGGGAACCTTATTCACTTTGCTCCCTTTTTCTTCGACCCAAAAAGGCACACACGAAACAAAAATCATACAGCAGACAGCACGCAAACTACAGCAGGATATGCGGAAAGCAACAAAAAGAGTCCCCCAGCAGGATTAGAGTCGGGAGTCTACCCAGAATCTACCAGGCCAGCCCCTCCCCCCATGCTCCCGGGAGGGGAAAGGAGCGCGGAGCCCACTCGGAGGGCCGCTCTCCGCCGGGACCTAGGTGTCCCCGGGGCAGCTGCGTACTCTGCGGCGCCTTCCCTCCCGGCGCCCATTGGTGCGCCTCGGTAGGGAGGACGCGAGGACGCGAGGACGCGGTCAAGGGGGTGGGGTGGGGACTTCGGAAAATCGTCCGAGCCAGACGGGGCTGGCTGCTCTGGGATGGGGACACAAAGGGGGAGTTTGCAGGCGTGGCAGGGTGAAAACAAGCCTACATGGGAAATGTGTGCAAATTAGAGAAGACGTGCGAGGAAACTGGAGAATCCTTGACGAGATGAAGGCGCTGGTACTCAGAAGAGGGGGGCTGTGCAGGGTCAAGTGGGTTCCGTGCAGAGGGCAGGGGATTCTCCAGAGAAGGGCAGGGGTAGACGAATGCATGGAAGAAGAGTTGGTGTATTGTCAGGGGGTCTGTGCAGAGGACAGAGGGGTCCGACGGGAAGCCGGGCTCTATGTATGCAAGGAGCCGATGCACACAGTCCAGGGGACTTGTACCGGGAGTGGGATGGGAGTTTGAGCAAAGGAGAAAGGCGGGATGTCTGGCCAGCTCGGGGGCCACTTACCTGCATGGTGACGACCCCCAGCTCCTCGGCCGCCAGCCTCCGCATCTGGCTCGCCAGCACTTGCGCCTCGTCCAGGATGGAGAAGTCGGCTTCGGCCCCGGCGCCCAGGAGCCAGCACGCGACCAGGCAGAGCAGCCAGAGGGGCGGCCGCCGCGCCCGGGCCACGGCCGTCTCCTCTTCCTCCGGCTGGCGGGCCATGCTGCCTCCCCCCACTCCCCGCCGACGGGCTCCGGGCGCGGGGAAGCGGGCCGCGGGAGGTGCCCCCCGCAAAAGCGCGGCGCACCCCGCAAAAGTTTCTTCCTCTGTTGCAGGCTCTGCTCCGCGCCGCGGTGGCGAAGGCTCCCAAACTTAGGGGGCGCCCGGCTACAGCGCGGGAGCGCGGGCGGCCACCATCGCGGGGCTCCGCGGCGGTGGGGGTAGGAGGCGGCCGCCCGAGCGGTCCCCGGAGCCCGGCGCCCACACGGGCCCCGCGGCGCAGAGGGCGTCTCCGAGAGCAGGGGCGCCCGCAGGCCGGGGTGCGCGGGCCCCGGGGCTGACAGTCGGAATCGGAGTCGGAGTCGGAGCCCGAGCCGAGCCGCGCGGCTCTCGCTTCCTGCGAGTCCCAGCGCAGCGAGCAGGCGGCGGCGAGGACTGACGGCGGCCCCCGGGGAAGAGGAGCGGCGGCCGGGCTGCGAGACTGGGGCAGCCACCCGAGCGAGGAGGGAAAGGGGAGGCTTCACAAACCCACACAACTGAAAGAAAGAAAGCAAGCGGTGGGGAAAGGGAGGCGTCTGGTGCCACCACGCTGCGCTCCGGCTCTGTGCACTTCCCGGCTGGGCCGCCGCGGCGGCTGCGGTGATTTATGGAACCAGCAAGAGAGGCGGGGAAATTCCCCCGGTTGCCCCTCCTCTCTCTCCCTGGCTCCCGCCTCAGAACCTGCCCCCCGGGACGCCGGGGGCCGGGGGACCAGCCTCTCTCTCTGCTCGGGGACCGGCCCAGCCCGGGCAGGGGAGCCCACGGACCTTCCCGTGGCTGGAGACGGAGACCCCCGCCAGCGCTCCCCGCCTCCGTCCGCGCCAGGGAGCCCACCCGGCCCAGGTTCCAGCCATCGAAAAGTCCTTTAAGTTCTAGGACGCTGGCTGTCTGCCTGGCAGCGGTTGGGGAAGAAGGGGACTGCCATGTGTAGGTCCACTCCCTCTCCTTGATGTTATTCATCACAATGGCTAGCTAGCGTTCCACCCACAGATTTCTGTTGCAACCAGCCACCGTGTGCCCGGCACTGGGCTCGGGGGTGTGCACATTATCCTTTAATCTCCGCGACATGCCATAGGAGGTACGTATCTTTATCCCAATTTTTTAGGTAACAAAGACTGAGGCTTAGAGAGGTGGAATAAATTGCCAGAGGTCACCCAGGGGATAAGAAACAAATCCAGAGTTTAAGCACAAGTCTTACTCCAAGGCTATTGCTCCTAAATACGATACAGTTCTCTCTGTCTCTCTTTGGAAATGAACCATCTGATCCCATCAAAAGCAAGAAAAAAGAAAAAGAACGACTGAACCGGAGTCCACCGCGCACACACCTGTTCTCCCAAGCATGGAGAGGCAAGGTTAACCTTCCTGTTTGTCCCTGACTACTGGCTCAGGCTCGCTGAGAAATCACCTGTTGGAAGCACCTGGAACAAGTCAACCTGCTGTGTGTGGAGAACAGCCACTCTCCCTTCCAAGCCCTGTGTGGTTGCTGCTTGCAGGTTCCTGGAGAACAGAGCCAACACTGGAAGGTTAAAGGACTAGTCCAGGGTTACCTAGCAGAGGTGGTAGCAGGATTAGAACCTGGATTTAGGACTCTTTTCATTTTACAGCAAAACCTTCTGTTTTACATCTTTGACTATATTGTATTAAAAAGTCATCTTCTCTTGTAAGCTCTCCCTGGCCCATTTTTACCTCATTGAGATCACTTCTCCATTCTCAACTCCCCTGCTAATTTTTGTATTTTTAGTAGAGACAGGGTTTCGCCATGTTGGCCAGGCTGGTTTCAAACTCCTGACCTCAGGTGATCCACCTGCCTCGGCCTCCCAAAGTGCTGAGATTACAGGCATGAGCCACTGCGCCTAGCCTGTGATGTTTGTTTTACATACTAAGGCAAGCATGTTGAGTGTGGGGACCAATCCCTTCACCTCCACATCATCCACACAAGCACATAGTAGTACTGGAAAAATGATTCTTGAGTTAATAATGAGGTAAAAACCTACCTGTATGTCTTCTATTCCTGGAGTTGAGCTGACATTTGTTAGAAAGATGATCCTTTAACTTCCGTTTTTTAAATTGTTGTACCTTTGACATGACACTCCGCAAGAGAAAGCATATTAGTCCATGTGATTAGTGGAAGAGTAAAGAACAAAAATAATAATGACATATAGCATTATTTTTTTATTTGATTCTTCAAGGTTACCATCACCAAGGTGTCACACATCTCTAAACTCCTTCTGAAATGCCTTCACAATAGGCATTTATTGCCCATCTTTTATATGTTGGTATTTCTTGAGGTCCTATTTCTTGGGATGCTAATCCAATGTCACCTTTTTTTCACTCTAAGGTTCTTCTTTTTGAGGACTCTCGACCACATCTATGCCTTCAATTATTACCAAACACGAGTTTATCATACTTCTAAATAAAGCTCAACCTGGATCTCCATTTTTTCTAGCAAGTTCCTGACTTCTCTAGTAGATATACCTGAATGAAAACTCATTACTGCTTTCCCCCATGTTCCACCTAAATCCATGTCTGGCTGCAAATCTAGGTGGATGTCACCCACTCTGCAAGCTAGGTACGCACTCTCCATCCACCCCAGCTCCCAACATATCTCCCGTGTCCATCCCCCGCTGTCCATCTGCATCCTATGGCCTGACTTCAGTTCCTCATTGCAGCTTGCCTGTATTATGACCAGTCTCCTCATGGGTCTCTGTGCAGTCTCTCTGTTCCCCCTCATTCTGTTCTTCACATGGAAGTCAAAATCAACTTTCTAAAAGTCAAATCTCAACTTGTCATTCACTAATCTAAACATTTCTGATGCCCCATCACAGATAAGTAAACTTAACAAACAAGGCCCTTTGTGCTCTGACCCTGTTTGCTCTTCTGGCCTTTTTGTAGCCACTGTGCCCCTCAGTTGCCTCACCACTCCCAGAAAACACCTATATGGCAGCCTCAAAATTCTTCCCCTTCTCTCCACTTGCTAGGTCCCCTATTCAGCTGAGGTGTCATTTCTGTGACACCTACCCCCACAGAGTTTACGGCTCCTCTTTGGTGCTCCAAAGCTCTTGGTTCTTCTCTCAGCACTTAATGTCCCCTCAGCGCTTAACAAGCAACATTGTGATTTTCCACTTGAAAGCTTTGATTTCTCCACCTTGTTTCTCAAAGTGTGATCCACCAAACACACTAGCCTCAGGACACTTAATAAACTGCAAATCCTGTGCTCTATTCCAGGTCTACTAAAGCAGAATCTTTGGAGGTGGGGGGTGGGTCCTGGAATATGCATTTTATAGACCCCCCTTCCCCGCCCTGACATTAGTCTTATGAACTAATGCTAGACTGCAAGCAAGCTTGCCAGGATGGTAACTCATGCATCCTGGAGCTCTATTTAGCCCAGTGTCTATAGCTAGGAGGGTCTCAGTACCCGGAAAGGAACTTATGGCTATTCCTATGTTGCCAATAGAGAAAAGCCTCAAAGAAATAAAGTTATTTGCCCAAGGTAATACAACTTTTAGATGGTGGTGTCAGTATACAAACCTGGGCCTTCAAACACCAAAGCAAAAGCTCTGAGCTACTAGTCTGACGTCAGAGAGAACATTTACCCACATGTGTACTGGTACATGATAGACCAATAAAAGCTTATTGTGTGATATACTGCCAATCCTTAATGTTCCTCATCCATATAAGTGAAATTGTCCTACCCATCAATCTCTGCTCAGTACTAGTTGATTCTTTCCCAGGGGGGGTCAACTGATGGGACCAGGATAGATATGTGACATCAAGGCAACCAATCTACAGCACCTAAGGCATGGCAGAAATATTAACTGGGACAAGACTTCATTCTAAAAAATTTTAGTTAGGAAATACTGAGGAAAAAGCAGTTAGAAGTAGTAGTTAAAACTATAAGGATATGAGAGGGGGCCATAGGAACCATGAATCTCATAATGTATATAGCAGAAAATATATAGGCATATATATACACACATATATACATACACACACAAACACACAAATATATACACAGATGTATATACATGGCTATATATTCCCTGATATGCACACACATATATGTATGTATACACCTCTGTATACATATATATGTACACAGATATAGATATAGAATAAATATAGCTATTAGATGGCTGTATATAAATACATATACATATATATGCGTGTGTGTATATATACAAATACATATACATATATATGCATGTGTGTATATGTATACGTGTATATATGTATATATACATATGTGTATATATGTGTATATATACATATGTGTATATATACACATATATACATGTGTATGTATATACATACACATATATACACGTGTATGTATGTGTATGTATATACATACACATATATACATGTGCATGTGTATATACACATGTATACATGTGCATGTGTATATACACGTGTATACATGTGCATGTGTATATACACGTGTATACATGTGCATGTGTATATACACGTGTATACATGTGCATGTGTATATATACACGTGTATACATGTGTATGTGTATATATACACGTGTATACATGTGTATGTATACATATATACACACACACACACATAGTCATATAGCAAAGCTGAGAGTGTGAATCTTGGACAAAATCTGGGTTTGGATCCCAAGGACAATACTTCTTAGCTGTCGTCTCTGTAAAACTTAACTTCTCTTAGCCTCAGTTGCTTCATCCGTACAATGTAAATAATGCGACCTAAAGTTTTTGTGAAAAGGCACATAAAACACTTTGCAAAGGACCTGGTACATTGACACACTCATTAAGTAGCAGTGTGACTCTGCAAGCTGAAGCTGTGAAGGAGCAGACCCCATGAATGAGCTAAGAAAGCCAATCACAGACAGGGGAGAGTGGAGTACATAGAACCTATGGCCTGTAACAGAGACTGTCACCAAGAGCCAGAACTGACTTGATTTCAGAACTTTCTCATTCCAAATCCAGTCTATATGTTCTATTAATAATAGACCCTTTTCTTCTGTCTTTTGTCTTGATGTAACTCTATAGATAAGTTCAATCATCCATTCTATACAGAGAGGACACTATTGACTGTGCAGTTGTTTGAACTACAAAATAATGAAAAGACTGGTAAGTGGGTCACAACTGTCCCTAGAAGACCACAGATCACCATGAAACTTGTCTGATGATTTTATATTCTCCACAGAGTAATCCTCTACCCCTTGCTTATGACTGAGTTGGACACTTGTTCATTATCTGCTTCCTTTCCAGAAGCTCCAGCAATTAATATTGCAATTGTCCATTTGCAAGTCTGTTTTCTCCATCTCAATGTTTCTCATGGTGTGTTCTATTAACCACCTACAGAGGAATGACCTATCAGGAACTATGTCTGTTTTATTCACTGCCACAGAGTCTAGCATAGTTCTAGACCCAGAGTAGAAATCCAAGAATTGTTGAACCAAATAATTGGGGGAAAAATTAGAAAAATCCATGAATCAATAACTCTCATGCAAGGAGCTACAGTAACAATTTTGCTCCTTGACTGCTAAAGAATAACCAAGAGTCCTCATCAAACTGGCTGCTCTTCCATATTTTGGGAATTATAAAGCTACTTCAGTGATAGGCCGCCTCATGGTACCCATTGTCCAAGATCTTCATCACAGAAAAACTATATATGAAATTGTTTTGAGGAACTCTTGGCCAGAATTCCAGAAATGTGGTATGGAGTTCCCAAGCTACCGTGATTCCCTTTACATGCTCTGAGGTGGACATAAGACCCAAGTTAGCAACAAATTCTCAGCCTAATGCTACAGGCAGGTCTCCTATTCAAAACAATAACTGGGCCGGGCACAGTAGTTTAAGTTTGTAATCCCAGCACTTTGGGAGGCTGAGGCGGGCGGATCACTTGAGGTCAGGAGTTCAAGACCAGCTTGGCCATCATGGTGAAACTCTGTCTCTACTAAAAGTACAAAAATTATCTGGGCGTGGTGGTGCACCTATAATCCCAGCTACTCGGGAGGCTGAGGCAGGAGAATCGCTTGAACCTGGGGGGTAGAGGTTGCAGTGAGCCAAGATCATGCCACTGCACTCCAGCCTGGGTGACAGAGTGAGACTCCGTATCAAAAAAAAATAAAAAATAAATAAATAAAACAATAACCAGCTGCAAACTATATCGAACCTGTGAACTCAGGGAGCTCAGGAGAATGGAACTGGTAATTCCTAGGGCAGAAATTAACACTCACTTGTTAATTTCTAGCAGACTACAAATCTCAGCCAGTGCCAACTTACGATTTTTTTTTTTTTAATTTTTAAGTTAAAAAAATCTTTTTTTGAGGCATGGTCTCCTTCTGTCACCCAGGCTGGAGTGCAGTGGTGCAATCCTGGCTCACTGCAGCCTCAAACTCCCTGGCTCAAATGATCCTCCCACTTCAGCTTCCCAAAATGCTGGGATCACAGGCATGAGCTGCCATGCCCAGCGACTTGTTGTTAAATAAATGGAAATGGTTAATGGTCTAGACTGAATCTTAGAACACAGACTCTCTCTGTTTTTCACATTCTTCTGCTGATTTAAGAAATCATCAGGTTTCCCATTTCCCTTCAAACTGGGAGACAGTAAAGGTTGAATAACCATGAGAGGTACAAGTTACTAAAACCCTTCTATGGTTAGGTGCTGTATATGACACACAGCATATCATTTCTTTCTTTCTTTCTTTTTTCTTCATTGAGATGGAGTCTCACTCTGTGAGCCAGGCTGGAGTGCAATGGCAGGATCTTGGCTCACTGCAACCACTGCTTCCCAGGTTCAAGAGATTCTCCTGCCTCAGTCTCCTGAATAGCTGGGACTACAGGTGCCTGCCACCATGCCCATATAATATTTTTAGTAGAGACAGGGTTTCACCATGTTGGCCAGGCTGTTCTCGAACTCCTGACTTCAGGTGATCCACCTGCCTCGGCCTTCCAAAGTGTTGGGATTACAGGAGTGAGCCACCATGCCCGGACTCATTTCTTAATCTCTTAGTATGTTTCCTATATTCTATCATTTAAGCATCAAAATAGGGAAGACAAGATCATTGCAATATTATACACAGGGAAAAGGAGGCTCAGAAAGGTAAAGTAACTTGACCAAGGTTACAGGCTAGTAACAGCAGAGGTGGGATGGAAACCCAGGTCTGTTTGACTCCCAGCTCAATTATTTTGCAACTCTATCATGTGCCTCTCTCTGAATGAGAAAAAAGAAAAGAAATTATATTATTTGGCACCCCATGAATCGCTGCCCAAGAAACATCCTTATTTCCAAAGCAGCAATTATTTTTTCCTGTTAATTTCAACAAACATTTATTGAGCATTTGCTATATGCCAATGATTTTGCTGGGTGCTAGGGATATAAAGATGAATATGATTGGCTGTCCTTAAGAACTTTACAGGTATCAGAAAGG
The DNA here is from genome assembly GCF_000001405.40 of Homo sapiens. Classification (NCBI taxonomy): domain Eukaryota; kingdom Metazoa; phylum Chordata; class Mammalia; order Primates; family Hominidae; genus Homo; species Homo sapiens. Next base: position 64,463,302 of record NC_000001.11, on the reverse strand, counting down.
ACAGAGAATCAAGACAGAGAATATTACGTCCAACAAGTGCCTTACGGCCTTTCCTGTTGCTGTTCCGTCTTGAACGCTCTTCCTTCAAATATCTGCTTTCACTCTTAGGAACTGTGAAAGGTTATGCCATTTGCAAGCCAACAAGTCAACCCACCACAGCCTCATGATGCTGGCAGAAGATATGAGACTCCTGAATTAGAGACAAAGGGCTTTATTGCTCAGAACGATAGCAGTAGCCAGAGTGTCAGCGTTTGTGCCAGTCCTCCAAGACCCAGTTTCCACAGGGCAATATGAAGAGAGCCAGGTGACACCTGCATACAACAGGTAGTATTGAAAGAGAGAAACCCCAAGCTTAGATAGCCCAAATCTTTTATGATGAAATGCAAACAAAACTGCCCTTTGCCCCAGAAATATATATGTTTAATATATTGAACAGAAAGCAAATTTTCCCTTTGCTCTAAAGAAAGACACTATCTCTACCTGCCCAGGCTGTTCAGTAAGCAGAAGTCTTTGAAAATATAGTCCAGAACAAAAGAGTGGTTAACATCTTGCTCACAAGGCATGCAAAAATGCAAGAAACCCATAGAGAATTGTGGCACTCACTCACTGGCTAGGGAGGCAAGACATAGAAATATACAAAGTGAATTAGCAATAAGAGATTTAAACCACCTATTGAGGCTGCAATACAAGAGATGGAACAAAACAAATAAAGCAGGCAGGCCAGGTGTGGAGGCTCATGCTTGTAATCCCAGCACTTTGGAAGTCCGAGGCAGGAGGATCCCTGGAGCCCAGGAGTTCGAGACCAGCCTGGGCAACATAGTGAGACCTTATCTCTACAAAAAATAAGCAGAATTAGCCAGGTGTGGTAGTGCATGCCTGTAGTCCCAGTTATTCTGGAGGCTGGGGTGAGAGTATTGCTTGGGTCTAGGAGGTTGAGGCTACAGTGAGCTGAGATTGTACTACTACACTCCAGCTGAGTGACAGAGCAAGACACTGTCTCAAAAAACAAAACAAAACAAAACACAGACAACAATGATTATATATGGAAATAATATTAATAATTATCTATTAATACTAGCTATTTATATTAATATTATAAGGAAGAGTTTCAAGACATAGGGAACAGCAAGTGGAAAGGCCATGAGGCACTTGTAGATAGATAGCTATTAATATTAATAGATAACTATTAATATTAGCTAACACTTTCTGAGTGCTTACTAGGTTCTAGGCATGATGCTGTATTTTGTGTGTGTGTGTGTGTGTGTGCTGAAACATTTTTAATTATTTCATTACAGTAAATATTTAGAAAAGCATATTATGTATTTCTCTTTGAAAATGTCTAAAACAATACATAAGTTCAAGGAAATTAGAAATAGCTAATTACATGGTGAATATTTATTAGCTAATTATTTACACCCCACTTAATTTTGTTAAAAACTAATTTGAGGTGGCAAAACATTTTTTTAATTTATTTTTTATTTTTTTTAATTTTATTATTATTATACTTTAAGTTTTAGGGTACATGTGCACAATGTGCAGGTTAGTTACATATGTATACATGTGTCATGCTGGTGTGCTGCACCCATTAACTCATCATTTAGCATTAGGTATATCTCCTAATGCTATCCCTCCCCCCTCTGCCAATGCCACAACAGTCCCCAGAGTGTGATGTTCCCCTTCCTGTGTCCATGTGTTCTCATTGTTCAATTCCCACCTATGAGTGAGAATATGTGGTGTTTGGTTTTTTGTTCTTGCGATAGTTTACTGAGAATGATGATTTCCAATTTCATCCATGTCCCTACAAAGGACATGAACTCATCATTTTTTATGGCTGCATAGTACTCCATGGTATATATGTGCCACATTTTCTTAATCCAATCTATCATTGTTGGACATTTGGGTTGGTTCCAAGTCTTTGCTATTGTGACTAGTGCCGCAATAAACATACGTGTGCATGTGTCTTTATAGCAGCATGATTTATAGTCCTTTGGGTGATGCTGTATGTTTTAAATGAAATGATCTCATTCAATCCTTAAAACTCTATGAGTCATAATAATAATAGTTAACATTTATTGTGCTTTCACTAGGTCCCAGGCACTACACTAAGTGTTTTAAATGAATTATTTTATTTTATTCTTGCAGAGAACATATTAAGTAGATATAATCATCCCCACTTTATAGACCAGGAAACTGAGGTTTCACAAGATTGAGTTTTTTACCCAAGGTTTCAGAAGTAATATGTGTTAGTGTTATTATTTAAGTCCAGGCTATCATTCTTAATTAAGTGCTATCCTGACTCATAATAACAGCTTAGGTATTATGATCAAATCCATTTTGCAAAGGTGGAAACTATTGTTCAGAAAAATTGGGCTATCTAAACATTTCTGTATGAAAGCCAAAATAGAGGAACTTAACCACAAAATGTTCTGAAGGATCAGAAGCACTAATGGTATAAATGCTATAGTTTATCAATGTCATCCAACTGACTTGACCTTGAATTAGTACATAAATATCTTAGCGGTTAATGGGGCAAACCAGATTCAGATTTTATTTTTATTTTATTTTATTTTGAGATGGAATATCGCTCTGTCACCCAGGCTAGAGTGCAGAGCCGCAACCTCCGCCCCCGGATTCAAGCAATTCTCCTGCCTCAGCCTCCCAAGTAGCTGGGATTATAGGCACCCAGCACCATGCCTGGCTAATTTTTGTATTTTTAGTAGAGATGGGGTTTCACCATATTGGCCAGGCTGATCTTGAACTCCTGACCTCAGGTGATGCACCCGCCTCAGCCTCCCAAAGTGCTAGGATTACAGGTGTGAGCCACCTCACCTGGCCTCAGATTTTAAAATTGTTTATCATTCACTCACACCAGGAACTTGGCTACATACTAGAGAGCAGAGATGTGGCAGGCACATTCCCTTTCCTTCGGCACTTACATCTTGGTGGCAAGGACAGATACTGAACTGGTAATTGCAAGAACAAGTAACTACAAGTGAGGAATTTTATAAGAGGCAGACATTGTGCTAGGCATTTTCAGATCAGTGTTGCTATTGTACTGATGTCCCCACAACAGTGGAGAATTCCAGAATTCCTACGCAATGGGTGTGCGTACTGAGCATTGCAACTTTACCCTACAGTCCCAGGGGTCAAGAACCCTTAAGTACCCAAGCAAGCCTTTTCTAGTGCGGTACTAAAAACATGCAGTGGAAACATCCAAAACAAGTCCAGAAGACCTCTCATTCCACCTGCCATCTCTAGTTTTCCCTGGCCTATTTCAGTTCACTCTTGACCCCAGAGTCTCTCCTTCAGTGCCCTTGGGTTTGATGATCCATGTTGGACCCACTACTTCAGTGTCATCTCTGACACATTTGGATTAGTCACTCTCAGGCATGAGGCTTTTTTTTTTTAATCTTGCTCTATCGCCCAGGCTGGCATGCAATGGCATGATCTCAGCTCACTGCAACACCCACTTCCCGGGTTCAAGTGATTCTCTTGCCTCAGCCTCCTGAGTGGTTTGGATTACAGGTGCGTGCCACCACACCCGGCTAATTTTTTGTATTTTTAATAGAGATGGGGTTTCACCATGTTAGCCAGGATGGTCTCAATCTCCTGACCTCGTGATCCGCCTGTCTTGGCCTTCCAAAGTGCTGGGATTACAGGTGTGAGCCACCATGCCTGGTCAGCGTCTTAACATTAGTATTCTTCCCCTCAGCTCATAGCACTGACTGGCAGACCTACTTCCTGCCTGACCACCCTCAGGGGTGGGGACACACAAGGGCAACTTGAGCGTGTCAAGGTTGAAATAAAAAAGTCATCCTTACAATAGACACTGAGGGCTACTCGAGGAGGTAGAAAAGGGGTGTTGTGAGCTGTAAAACTACCTACTGGGTACTATGCTCACTACCTGGGTAATGGGATCATCCATACTCCAAACCCCAGCATCACACAATATGCCCATCTAACAAACCTGCGAATGTACTCCCCTAAATCTAAAATAAAAGTTGAGATTATTTTTTAAGTCATCCATGAATGGTCTTTTCTTGAGCCTGATCAAGTCATTTCATTTCTCCTGTATTTATTTATCAATGATCCCACATAATCTTTAGAACGAAATGGAAATTCTTAAGCACACAAAGATTTGCATGGTCTGGACCTACAGGCATCTCTCTGTCCCCACCCCTCCCCACACCCTCCTCCAGCATGCATTTACATCCTGTGCACCAGCCAAAATGAGCTACTAGAATCTCTGACTCCCTGGTGCTACACTTCCCTGCCTTCCTTACCTTGCCACCTAGCTAAGGCATTCTAAATTTTGAAGATTCAGTTGGAATCACCTCCCTCTAGGGGACCTTTCTTGACCACTCTGCCCTGTACTCCAGGTGGAGGTAGAAGCCACTTCCTGATGCTCCCATGATGCCCCCTGTGCCAGTCTTTGCCTTTGTCCATCTGCACTGCAATTAGTGGCTCTTGACTGTCTTTCTCAGAGGGCAGACATTCCCTTTAGGGGAAAAGCAATTTGTTTTTAGTCTTTTAATATTTTACTTCTCAGTGGCATAGGGCACATAGTGGGGACTTTATAAACATTTACTGAATTGAGGAATACATGAATGAATAAAAATGAATACATGAATGGATGAATGAATGAGTGAATGAATACATTCTGGAGACTATCAGATGTTTGTAGAAATATCACCTTAAATACTGACTGGGACCAGGCAGGTAAAATAAATGCATTCACTGGCCATGTGGAACACGTGTCCTCCCTAAAGTAACCTCTGGTTTAGGCACATGATATTCCTTGGAGATGAAGAGGGAACCTAGACAAGCCATTTACTTTCTCTGATTGCAAGTAAGTGTGGCTTATCTTTTTCTCATATGTCCAAATAAGGTTGTTTCACAACTTTCCATGAAAACACCATGCCAATATGACTAATATTAAAATATCAAATTCACCTTCATCCTTCCTGTGGAGTTTTCTACCCAGTTTCTCTGCCCATCACCATGAGAGCACAAACATCATTATTCACATATTCTGTTTACCACTTAGCACATGGCGGGTGTTTAATTAGTGTTACAAGAGTAATCATAACATACAGAAGGTGGAAGAAAAAGTTATGTATTTTTAATAAGAGTGCGACAATAATTTTATTTTTGGAAACACACTCAACTTAAATGTGATTTCTTGTTTATATTACCTTTGTCTTTTCCATTTCACATCAGCAACAGGAAAAAAAGTAAGTTTGTGTCATAGTCAAAAGGTATTTTTTCACAATTCTACTTTGGTCATTCATTCAACAGCCAACAAATAATCTAGGGCCCACTATATGCCAGGTACTGCGGTTATTATTACTCCAAACTTAGTTGAACCCTGAAAGATGCACTCATTGCCCCTCAACTTCCTTCCTCAAAAGTTGCAGAGTGTGATGCTATTGTCTACTGTTCCTCGTGGCTGGCTAGCATCTCATTCCTGGCCCAGTTCTTGTGTGCCGCTATGGAGCAGAGGTGATTTGCCATATATTTAACAACGGCTTCAGCATCAGAATGGACATTGGCTGGACACAGCATGCCTTCCCCCTGCCACCCTCCCATATGCCCTGCCTCTGGGCTCCGGTGCTGACATCTACACCCAACATCACTAAGGGCTCACACAGGGACCACGTGTCTGCTCAACTCTCATCCCCATTTAGTCCTTCCAGAAACTTGGAAGACACAATTATTATCCCCATTTTAGAGAAGAGAAAGCTAAAGGACAAAGTGGGATTCACACACAGACTGTGTGGATCCAGGCACCAAACTTGTCATCACTGTGTTAAACTGCCAAGAGTCACCCCCTGAGTGGGATGGCTTTCTGTCAATAATAACCATCAATAGTAACAATAACAACAGGTGGTGATAACAATGCCTGTGGATGTGGCTGAGACTCCTAGTTATCACTGAATATGGAAACTCTCTTTCTTTTATACTAATAAAGTCTTTAATTTTTGGTCAGACAAATGGCTCCCTGTCATAAAGGGTACATTTCCCAGCTCTTCTGACAAGTCTGCACAGTCATGTGACTAAGTTCTGGCCAGTGGGATGAAACAGAAATGTAGTTTCCAGGAACTTTTTGCCTAACAGTGGCCTTGAACTTTTTGGACAGCATTTCAACCATAAGAAATATGTATTATGACCAGGCATGGTGGCTCACGCCTGTAATCCCAGGACTTTGGGAGGCCAAGGCGGGCAGATCACGAGGTCAGGAGTTCAAGACCAGCCTGGCCAACATGGTGAAACCCTGTCTCTACAAAATATACAAAAATTAGCTGGGCGTGGTGGTGTGTGTCTGTAATCCCAGCTACTCAGGAGGCTGAGGCAGGAGAATCACTTGAACCCGGGAGGCAGAGGTTGCAGTGAGCCGAGATCACACCATTGCACTCCAGCCTGAGCAACAGAGCAAGACTCCATCTCAAAAAAAAAAAAGAAAGAAAGAAATATTACATTACATATTTATCACTTACACACTCATCTATTTCTGAAACAAAAGTTTTATGTAGAAATATCTTTACTCGGTGGTACAGTCTGATATCTTCTATTCTATTCCATTTCATTTATTAAAGTTACCCATCATATTGACTTGCCAACACACTGGTAAGTCATGACCCACAGTTTTAAAATCATGGCTTTACCAGACAATGTCTATGTGCTCCTCTCTCTCTTTTTTTCTTTGTCCATTTTACCATCTGCCTCCTGAAACACAGATGCCCCATTTGGGACCATGAGCTCAAGCCACACGCAAAGGAGTATAAAGATGGAAGATGCCTGTGGTTCTGCCAGGATAAAGTCCCATCACAGACCTAACTCGCCTACCTGGGCTTTTACGGGACAGAAACATGAGCTTCTTCCTTATTTAAGCCACAGTTATTTGAATTTTCTGTCCCTCATGGACAAAACTAACTCTAACTGACTGTGTAAATGAATAACTGATTGTGTAAATGAATTGTGCATTTGTTTTGAGATTCATTTCTCTCTATTCTCCTGCTTTACCTTCTGTTGCAAAGCGGCTGAGTCCTGGGTTCAGATAGTGGCTTGTGGTGGTGGGAGACAAGAGGGCAGAGGGAAAAGAAACCCAGGTGTTTCGCCCTTTCCTTTCTGCCTTAGGTGCAGGTGTCTTCCCAGCAATAGCCACGTCTCCTCCATGGTCCCAGTTCCCGCTGGACATGGTTTCACCTTTTCTTGGGTCACCTCAGCTCTTGGTGTCTGTAACACCATTCCCTCCCTTTATCTCTGCAGCTTAGGGACAGCAGTGGCTTCCTGCTGTGGCTGATCTTTGGATTTCCTCACTGTACCTCTTTGCTTTCAGTTCTCCCAGACCCCACTTAACAAATTCCCTGCATTAAATTTCCTCTGGTCTAAATACTTGGAAATAGTTGAAGTTTTCCTGACCAGGCCCTGAGTCTCAATAATATATTACACACAGCACGTTAGGTGAAATTTCTCATTTCTGCCTCACCTGGCAAGGTAGGCACCATTCTCCCTCCCCACTCCCTCCTTAGAAGCTGAGTTCCAGAAAAGTGATATGGCCTGCTGAGGTCATGTGGTAAGTGGAGGAACATCCATCTCCAAAGCCACTGCCTGTATAGCCAACTTTCAAAGAGCTTGACCCTCTTTAGAATTTTTCTAGCTTTAGAAAAGTAATCATTATATCATGTTAGTTTGCAAAGGCCTAGACACAAAAGCTATTCATATGACATCACTCCATGTCACCCAAGTAGGTGGTCTCCATCCTCCAAATACCTTCCCCAAGCAGGCTGATGTCCTTTAACTTCTCTCTGCCTTAGAAAGTTTCCAGCCTTCCTCAAGGTCCCTCCCCAGTCTGGGTTAGGAGAGAGCTTTATGTTCCTTCACATCAAAGTCTTAATTATTATTCAAGGACTTCATTTACTCATTCATAAAATGTTTATTGAGTGCTTAGTATGTGCCTGAGGGTTAAGGTCTGGGGCAAAGCAAACATGAATGAGACCCAGTTCTTATACTCAAAGAGCTCATTGTCTAGGAGAGGAGACAGGAATATACAATAATGGAAGCATACATATAAGAATTTGGTGGTGGGGCATGGTGGCTCACGCCTGTAATCCCAGCACTTTGGGAGGCTGAGGCGGGCAGGTCATGAGGTCAGGAGTTCAAGACCAGCCTGGCCAACATGGTGAAATCCTGTCTCTACTAAAAATACAAAAAATTAGTCAGGCATGGTGGCAAGTGCCTGTAATCCCAGCTACTCAGGAGGCTGAGGCAGGAGAATCACTTGAACCCAGGAGGCAGAGGTTGGAGTGAGCTGAGACCACGCCACTGTACTCCAGCCTGGGCAACAGAGCAAGACTCCATCTCAAAAAATAAAAATAAAAAAAGAAAGAAAGAATTCAGTGAAATCTAGCACAATAACAGCATAATGGGGAAGTGGATCTTGAGCTGGTTCTTGAAGACTAAGGAGTTTGGGAGGTGAAGGGGATTCAAAGAACATTTCAGGCTGAAGGAAGCAACCTATGCAAAGGTGCAAAGACATGAAACATTTTATTTGTATCAAATGGGGATCTGTAGTTTATACCTCAATATGGACTTCAGTACTTTTATATTTACCCAAATGTGTGTATATATATATTTATGTATGTTTTTCTGCCATAGATTCACACATATTTAACTATATACATATACTTTGTGTCAATGTTATGTATGCTATATGTTTGCATGCAGACATGATACATACTATATGCATACTAGGTATGTAAATAGACACATATATCTTTTGTGTTTTTTTCCCCTTTTGCCATTATATTAACCTAACTCACGGAATAAAAGAATAAAGACAAACAGAAGAATTAATGTACATCATCAAAGTAAGAAAATCTAATTGCATGGAATATATCTGTTACTGCATTTACCAGACTAAGAAATATCCAAGGAAGAATGATTGAAATATAAGCCATAGACACATAGCTTTGTAAAAGGACATTCCTTCATAGGGAAAAGCCTAAATTGACCTTGACGGAGCAAGTTCCTTTCTGGAATACTAGTGAAGAATGTGTCCCATACTTGTTAACATTTCAGCTGAAAGTAAGGTGTGAATAATAAGGGATATTTTCCATTAAGGCTAGAGTCAGTTCAAATCTATGAATTTGCAAAATGATAGTCTGTCCAAAATTCTTTTTGCTCAGAGTAGCACAACTCAGGCAGAAAAAAAGAATCAACCCAATATAATGCTGCCCAGAATTCTCTATGGAGGCCTTTTGCTAACTTACTCATTTCCACCCACCCCTCATGTTAGCCTAGCCTTCCATGCTGGTGCTAATTCAGGGAGGCTTCCCTGCTGCCTTCCGTCTAGCTCAGCTCTCCAACCAGTTGAGCTGGCCTCTGGACAGATGATAGCATCTGCAACACGGCAGTAGCTTGTGCATTATCTATTTTTTACATATTGTCTTATCTTTCCAATTAGTTTGCAAGGTTTCGAAAGACAAGCAATCTCTCATATACTCAGTTCTTTTGAAACAATTATGGTGTTTTCTGAAAATACTTCCCAGTGGGTTCCCCTCCTTGGTTTTCTAGTTTTCTTTTCTTTTTTTTTTTTCTTTTCTTTTTAGAAGGAGTTTCACTCTTGTTGCCCAGGCTAGAGAGCAATGGCACTATCTTGGCTCACTGCAACATCTGCCTCCCCGGTTCAAGTGATCTCCTGCCTCGACCTCCTGAGTAGCTGGGATAACAGACACCCACCACCACACCTGGCTAACGTTTTGGATTTTTAGTAGAGATGGGGTTTTACTATGTTGGCCAGGCTGGTCTCAAATTCCTGACCTCAAGTGATCTACCCGCCTTGGCCTCCCAAAGTACTGGGATTACAGGTGTGAGCCAATGCGCCCGGCTAGTTTTCCAGTTGTAGGAGAAAGCCCTTTCAGACAGGAAGAGAAGAAAAAGATAGTTCTTTGACACCAAGAAGTAGGGCTTTGGAGGAGAGAAGGTAAGGAAAGGAAATGAGACATACGTGCCTGGCTGTCTTCTATTGGCCTAAAACCCCAGAGGGCGAGGGTGGAAAGTCACTGGAACATAAGCAGATAGGTTTGAAGAGACATAAAGCTGTGAGACTTGTCCTTGCTTCTCTGGGAAGTAGCTCTGTGTTGATGACAGCACCACCAAGCTGTAAGGCAGAGACGGCAGAGAGGCATAGCAAGGTGGAAGATGAGCGATCTCGCTTGCTTCATAAGAAGCCCTGATTGGCAAGGAGAGAATTCCTAGCCTTCCTGTGGACCCAGAAATGGCTGTGGAAGAGAGCAGGAAGGTGAGCCATGTCCACGATCTCCCCACAATCTTGTTGGATGGACCTGTACCAGGAATCAGAAGCTCCCTGGAGTTCCTAATGCCTAAAGGATGGGGAGGAAAGTCCCAAGAGGGTGGTTGAAAATGGGCCATCTGATAGAGCTGGCAGCAAGATGCCACCAGCATCAGAGACATGAACATATGAAGACACCCATAGCTAGAGCTATCATGGAATAGACCAGATGTTTCTTTAGCTGACAACTGTAGCAGTGGGTGCAGGCCAGATGCCAGGGATGAGAGCAGAACAGTTGTACCATGTCAGAGGCTGTCAAAGACCCAGAGGACAGGATGGGGACCAAGTACCCCTCTATCACCAGGAGGATAGGTGAGTTATCCTTCAACCAGCTAACCCTGGAAGAAGAGGTAAAAAAGAATACCCCGAGTGGTGAGTATTTACCTGAAAGAGAGCAAATTTAAACTAAAGAGACTAATTTAATGGAAAAATATACCGTTCATGTATGCATTTAAGCAAATTTTTCCTTTTGCCTTGTGGGACTAAGGTTGCTGAAGAACTTTAAATTCATCAGAGATAATTTAAAAGTTACAAGTCTCTCATATACTCTGAGTTTTGTGTGACAAAATGATTACCTTGGCCGGGCACGGTGGCTCACGCCTGTAATCCCAGCACTTTGGGAGGCCGAGGCGGGCAGATCACCTGAGGTCAGGAGTTTAAGACCAGCCTGGCCAACATGGTGAAACACCGTCTCTACTAAAAATGCAAAAATTAGTTGGGCATGGTGGTGGTGGGTGCCTGTAATCCCAGCTACTCAGAATGCTGAGGCAGGAGAATTGCTTGAACCCAGTAGACAGAGGTTGCAGTGAGCTGAGATCGCGTCACTGCACTCCAGCCTGGGCAACAGAGTGAGACGCTGTCAAAAAAAAAAAAAAAAGTTTTCCTTGGCTACATTTACTAGTAGGGCATGGCTCAGAAACCTTACATGTAGTAGGCATCCAATAATATTTTAGTAAATGATTTGGACAGATAGATAGGAATCCACAATTCACTTTTCCCTAGCAATTGCTAGCTGGATTATCAAATTTACTATCCACAGCAAATGGAAGTCTCCATGACTTTCTAATTAGCCAAATTGTAATGTCTGAAGATAACAAATTATTGCTTACATGTATACTTGGACCTACAAATGTACAAATTTTACATTCAGTTATGCATGGATTCCATTTTGAAGATCTGCTTTTCTTCTGCTTACTACATTTGTCAACGACTCCCAGCTATCTCCTAAACAGATTTGGAACAGAGGGAGAAAAATTGTTTTTGCACCCTTAATGTGTTCTTAAGACATGACTCTGTCACCATCTGTCATCAGCTGACCATCTTTATCTACCAACCATTCACTTATCTACACCAACAAGTCTTAAGTACTAAGGTTAAGTAATTTTCACCATAATGATCAGTTGTGACAAAATTATCATTGTATGCATGGCATTTTACAGTTCACAGAACTCTTTTAACATTTTATCTCTTCTAATTTTAACAACTCCAGATCTCTTCTTAATCCACTCTTAACCAAGCCTTTGTAGTTACTATGCCACTGATAATGCTCTTGTCCAGGTAATTAGTGACCTCTATCTTGCAATATCCAGTGGTGAATTGAATGTTCAGCCCTTATCTTATGAACCTATTGATACCACTGAGAGCATTTTCTTCACTTTGTTTCAGATCATCTACTGCTTATATTTTCCTAATTTGGTGGCTTCTCCTCTTCTCTTCTTCAGTGTCCTCCACTTTTTCTTCTCTTCTTGACCTTGAAATGTTGAAGGGCCCCAGGTCTCAGTCCTTGGACTTCTCTACTTTCTAGGTTATCTTATTCCATATGATACCTTTACATATTATACCATAGGTCCTAACTTCACTTCTCTAGCTCCAGCCTCTTCAGTGCTGAATATCCAAGTCTACTTGGCATTTCTACTTGGATTTTCAATAGGCATCTCAAACCTCTTAGGTCCACCTTAGCCAGCCCTTCCAAATGTGTGTTTTCCTGACTGCCACCTGTCTTCCTAGGCTTTGGCCTAATGACTATCTTGACTCTGCTGCTTTGATATGCCCTGATGTGGGCTTAACTTCTTGTTCTGACTGTAGCCTTAAACTGACCTTCACTTAGTGGTCTTATCCTTGCTTCACGCTGCTCTGGACCTGCAGTTTTGCTTTGCCTGTTGTTTTCCAGGTTCTGCTCCTTATAGGCTTCTTTTTCCTGGCAAGGCCTGCTTAGCTGCAGCTTTTCTAAACCACCCCAGCTCTTCGCCCTATATCCAAGGCTCTGGTTGCCAATGACCCTGGTGTTACTATCTACTTGGCTACTTAATTTTAATGAAAACCTGGTACCTTTCAACTTTGGTTCTTTATACTTTTCTCTTTAATGAAAATCATTAATCACATGATATACACAGTACACATTATAGGAGCATCATCAGAGAAGGTTTATCAAACGTTTAATCGCATATTGCCTATTCTTGCCTTTGCCTTTAGGTGATTATAATCCAGCATCGGCTAAAAGTTTCAGCTCTATTATCACCTCTGGTTGGTTGGTGTTAGCTGCCTGGAGTTCATTTGGGGAAGGCTTTTGACTCATTAAACTCCCCAGGAAAGAATGCTATGATCAGTTGGTAATGCTCATCACCTATGTTGCATGAGGAAATCTTGTTTTATGTATTTCTTATCCATGTATACTCTAAGGTATCATTCTTTTGCCCAAACTCTTTTTCTGTTCTTGTATCAATAGAAATGATTTAAGATAACAATTCATTAATAATTCTGAACAATATTAATGCTTCTACTAACTAATAATAGTTCATTGATAATTGATTAACTTAGGAGTAGCAACAGTATTTTAAAATAATTTTTCTTAGAAAGTAGAGACAGAATCTTATTATGTTGCCAAGGCTGGAGTGCAGTGGCTATTCACAGGCATGATCATAGCTCACTGCAATCTCAAACTGCTGGCTTCAGGAGAGCTTCCCACCTCAGAGTAGCAGGGGATACAGCATGTGCCACCATGCCAAGCTCTAATAATTGATACAATTTCTACAATACTTCACTGTTTGCCAAATAATATACCAAGAATTTTGCATATAACTCATTTAATCTTTACAGTTACCCCCGAGCATTACTATTATCTCCTTTTACACACAAGGAAACAGAGATAGAGATATGAAGCAATGGACACAAGTTCTTTTAGCTGGTATTTACCATTTGGTAGAATTTGAACCAATAATTATCTGGCTCCAGAGCCATGTTCTTAAAGACTCTGCTAAATTGTCAATGTGACTTTTGTTTTAAAAATTTTAAGAATTTGAAATGCCCAAATCTTAAGTATACAACCCAATGATTTTTTTTTAAGACATAGGACCTTGCTCTGTTGCTCAGGCCAGAGTGCAGTGGCACAATTATGGCTCATTGGAGCCTCGAACTCCTGGGCTCAAGCAATCCTCCCACCTCAGCATCCCAAGTAGCTGGGACTACAGGCATGTGCCACTATGCCTAGCTACTTTTTTTTTTTTTTTTTTTTTTTTTTTTAGAGATGGGGTTTTGCTATATTGCTCAGGCTAGTCTTGAACTCCTGGTCTCAATTACAGGCATGAGCCACTGCACCCAGCCCCAGCTCAATGAATTTTTACAAACACCGACACTCATGCAGCTACCATTCATTTCAAAATCTAGAACATTTCCAACAACCCAGAAGGCTCCTTTATCCCTCTTCCCAGTTGCTATTCATCCTTAGTAATAGCAATTATGACTTTTATCACCATGAATTAATTCTACTTGCTTTTGAACTTTACATAAATGGAATTGTACTGTCTGTAGCCTTTTGATTCTGATTTCAGTTGTTAATCCTTATGTCCATGAGGTTCATCTGACAGACCCTCTGGTAGCTATGATGCCCACCTAGACCCTATGCCAAGGTGATTTCCAAGTGGCAGAGATTATTCTGGGCTGGCACCATCAGAGGAGTGACACAGGAGCTCAGCCTTGAGTGCTGAGAAAGGTTTGGAGGCGCGAAGCGGGGCAGAACAGCTGATTTGGGCAGGGGAGCCCCGCTGGCCAAAGCAGAACGTAGCTACAGTTATGATTGAAGGGTGAAGAGCAGCTGAGGAGTCTGGAGATGCATTCATTCACTTGGCCCAAGAGTCATGACTAATGATACACTGAAGGAGGCAGGTCTACTTAGTATTCCATAAAGAGCCCTTCTCCTCCAGCTATTTCAGTGATTCCGGTTTCTGGCTTTCAGAAACCAGCATTTTTTCATTACTTTTTATTTGCGGGATCGTAGGCTGCTTTTTTTTGGCCAACGTTTTAGTTGTATTTATCTTCTTCCTGTTCTTACACTCCAGAAGACAATGTTTTCTAAGAAACTGCCATTATTCTGGTATCCACTAAGAAATATTCTGGTCACATCCAGCTAAGAGTGAAGCAAATATCCTCACATGCATAATCTCTGCCTGTTTCATTTCCCTTGCACTCTTAGCCTCCTGCCTTCACAAATTTCCTCCCAGATTTATTTCTTTTTGATAGACATGCACAATTGTCAACAAATGTTGTATTAAAAATGGATTTTTGTATTTACCAGGAGTACCTTGGGACTGGGAGAAGCATCAAAGATGTTTTCAACACAATCTGCACGGAGATAACTATGATGCACACCAAGTTTGTTAGAAATCTGAAAACAAAACAAATCAGAACAAAGAAGCTTTCCAATAGTAAGACTGACTTATACTAACAAAAACACATATTTTGAAAAATATTACATTGAGGAATAAAATATCTGAGACACATTCTTGCATGCACTAACAGTTTAATCAATTACAGTCTCATTTATCCTAGTCTTAATATTCACAGAATGCTTAAATCAGGTCAGAGAAAGAACTGGATGGAGGTGGCCAATTCTAAATTTCTGGAGAAGGAACATTTAAGAAAAATAATAAGACTAAGTTAGAAAGAATACAATTAACTTTTCTGGGCTTGGATATGATGTGCCAAACCAAGCTGTCAGCATTTTTGCAGAAGTTTTGGGCCCTGACCTTTCTTCCTTTTTATTTTTTCAAAGCTTAGGTAGAACTTAGCATTGGGGTCTGACCTTGTTCTCAGCAATTTTACAGAGGTTTGGGGCCCTGGCCTTGCTTTTTTTTTCCTTTTTTTTCCAAAGCCTAGGTAGAATTTAGCCCTGGGGCCTGAGCTTCCTGTGGGCTGTGGATATCTGCTACCTCCCTTGTGTACGTTCACCTGAATGGTAGTATGAGGTACACATCAATGCCTCTTCATGCCTATCTCTCCTTCTTGTTCTCTTGCCCTACCCCCTTCATCCCACCTTCCCAGCCTCTGACAATAGGATCTTGGATCTTAAGCTCCTTCCCCTACAGTTTGCCTCACGCTGACTCTCTTTGCTAGTCCCTCTTCCCTCCCCTGCTCTGCTCTGACTTCACTTACCCTATGCCAGCCTCTTAGAATAAATGTGTGTATCTGACGGCCTCAGTGTGCCTTACCAGTCCCTGCTTCAGGCCAGGACTTCTGTAGGTGAGGTACAAGTTTAAGAGCTGTGCAACATGTAGGGGGAGTCTACTTTTGTTCTTGAAATGTGGACAGGCAGCTTGACTTCAAAACTCATTTCCATTAGACATGTTTGATAACTAATTTGAGAAAATAAAGAAGAAAAATGGGCAGAAAAGAAACCTCGTATGACAGCCAGAGCAGGTGGGTGACTTTCATCTTGGGGTGCTATATCTCTAGGACAATTGTCAGCCATCCATTGTCTTGATGTCACCCCATTCCCAGCTTCCCAGCTACCCTAGGATTAGGATCCCGTGAGCAGACTCTCAGGCTCTTCGCCTTACTTTTTAGAATAGGATGAAAAAATAGTCCTTATTTTAGCAACTAGGCACCAGAATTCTTTTAAGAAGGGAAATGTTTTTACAGAAACTCTCTTGACAAATCAGTCAGAGTATAGATTTCAACGACAATGATTTAAGGAAAGGAGTCTCTCAAGGCACAAAATAATAGTGGCCAACCTGTCCTGTATAAGATAAGGTAAGATATTTGGGGCAGTATTGTGTGTGTTTTCCTGAAACAGAAGGAAGGAAAAGGTAAGGAGGTAGACAGAAGGGCCAGAAAGATGGAGAGAGGCTGGAAGTTGGTGAGGTGAAGAATCAGAGAAAATTCCTGACGGTTGGGTTCAAGAATAATTTTTTAAATGGAGAGACTCATTTAAAAAAGTCATTAAACAGTGCTCTGTTTGAAGCCTGTCATAATGCTGCGATAAGACCCCCATTTTCCTGCAAATTACTATTAAAGTCTGCAATGTCCAAAGTTCTTGGTGTGATTGGGGTTTTGGTAGCCATCATAGAAGAAGCAGCATGTGAAGCCTGGGTTGCCATGTTGTGAGATAGATAAAATTGACTGGGAGAAGTAGGAATCTGTGGCCAAGAGTGTTCAAAAGAACATCAGCGGCCGGGCGTGGTGGCTCACGCCTGTAATCCCAGCACTTTGGGAGGCCGAGGCGGGCGGATCACGAGGTCAGGAGATCGAGACCATCCTGGCTAACACGGTGAAACCCCGTCTCTACTAAAAAATAGAAAAAATTAGCCGGACGTGGTGGCAGGCGCCTGTAGTCCCAGCTACTCGGGAGGCTGAGGCAGGAGAATGGCGTGAACCCGGGAGGCGGAGCTTGCAGTGAGCCGAGATCGCGCCACTGCACTCCAGCCTGGGCGACTCCGTCTCAAAAAAAAAAACAAAAAACAAAAAACAAAAAAAAAAACAAGAACATCACCTCCCCTAGGAGTTCAAAGATGACCGGAAGAGGATTTTGGATTTCCTTGATCAGCAGAATGGGTTTGTGAATCATTCTTATCTTGATCTCGAGGGACCAGGAGAACTTAGCTGGCATCAAAGTTACATGTTTCTACCAAAATGATAGGAAATCACTGAAGTACTTTTGAGCCTTTCATTTCTCTTATTCCTGTATTTAATAAGTTTCTAGATCCTCGTCTCTTTATACTCAGTGCTCTCATTACCTGTCTTTTTATCTGCATCTGTGCTTCCCTCACTAGGAATAAAATCTTTTATTTCTTTCTCCTCATTTGGAATATAGTTCCTTAGCTGACTTCCCTGAATCAGATCTCTCAGTCTCTTTCCCTTCTCCTTTCCAATCTGCACATGACAGCCAAGCAGTTTATTACTGTCTGTTTCCAAAGAGTTTGAGGTGATGTGTCTATAGAAAATGAAATCTGAAGTCTTCCAAGGTCTTTATTTAAAACCCTTGAATGTTAACTTTGAAACCCACAGCAGACTATGTACCAGGAGTTCATTTTTAAATTTTTGTACAATAATACTAATATCTAACATTTACTTAGGTTTATCTTGGGTTACACACTGAAGGGATAACTTGTTTAATCCTCACAACTATCTTTTGGGAGGGGGCTGATGGAGGTGGGCAATGGCACTGAGCATCTATTTCTACTCCCTGGTAAGCCTTAACATTGTATTAGGTTGGCGCAAAAGTAATCGCAGTTTTTGCAATTACTTTTAATGGCAAAACAGCAATTACATTTGCACCAACCTAATAGAAAGACAAGAAGTCACCAAACTACATTTCCCAGGTTCTTTTCAGTTAGGGTTCTGATGAGAATTTAGTTTTTTCAATGAGCTACATATGGGAGAGACCTGGAAAGTAGAAGTGAGGTGGAGCATCTAATGCTGCTTTTGGCTCTTTTCTGCTGACCAGTGGGTTTGTAGAGACATGGGGTTTTCCAGGAGCAGAATTCCAGTGTCCAATTTTAAACTTTTGGTGCTGGAGGCAACAGCAATTTTGCTGATCTGTCTCACTAATTCCCTAGATTGTAGCATGGTGATGTATTTTTAATTCAATTGTTCTGGTAGTGGCCAGTTGAGTCCCCACCTTTCTAACTATGACACGTGGGTGGTGATGTTCAAAAGTTGCTTCTGGAGTCCAAGCCTATAGCTTGTTCCTCCATTCCTTCCAACAATATTTATTAGCACCTAACTCCTTGCACTAAATTCCATTCTCCTTAAAATTCATCTAGTGGTTACGATTTCCTGTGGGGGACCCTGAGTGATCTAGGAAGGCACAATCATTATCATTTTACAGATGAAATGGAGGCAGAGAGAGGTTAAGTAACTTTCCCAAGGTCCCAGAGCAAATATAAATCATGGAGCTAAGTTTTAAATCTGGTTCTACAGCTTGTGATTATAATTTCTACCTTACACTTCTTCTTGATACATTTAAATAATATGTGCATAGACAAGGGGAGGGAATAGAGTGTAGTAATTAGGAGTGAAGACTTTGGACTTGAAGAGTACGTGGGTTCAAATGCCTGCTCTGTCCAATTCCTAGGTGTCTAATATTTGGCCAATTAACCTCTCTGTGCCTCAGGACCTTCATCTATAAAATAAGGGTACTGATATTAACTTTAGATAGTAATTGTGATGATTAATTGAGAGAGTACATGTAGAGCACTTAGTATAGTACCTGTACTCAATACACAGCAGCCACATATCCAAAAAGAGAAGCCAAGAATACATTTTCTTTCCTTCTTTTCTTTTTTTTTTCTTTTTTTTTTTTTTTGAGATAGAGTCTCGCTGTGTCACCCAGGTTGGAGTGCAGTGGTGTGATCTCAGCTCACTGAAACCTCTGCCTCCTGGGTTCATGCCGTTCTCCTGCCTCAGTCTCCCAAGTAGCTGGGGCTACAGGTGCGTGTCACCACGCCTGGCTAATTTTTTGTATTTTTAGTAGAGACAGGGTTTCACCATGTTAGCCAGGATAGTCTCGATCTCCTGACTTTGTGATCCGCCCACCTCAGCCTTCCAAAGTGCTGGGATTACAGGCGTGAGCCACTGCACCTGGCCATTTTTTTTTTTAATAGTTTTTGGAGGCAGCCAAGAAGGGGACCATTATGGTTGGGGCCGAGGACTGGTGAGCATGTCCAGGACTAAGGGAGTGTCTTAGGAGGCAGCTGGTAGGGTAGGGGCTAGGGAGATGGCCAAGGAGACAGCTGGTGTTATAGAGAGATTGGTTCTCTACAGTGGGATTGAGCCAATAAGTATATTGAAGATAATGGAAGCCATGTGTCTCGTTGGTGAAGAGGTGAGACTATGAAGAGCGGGAAGGCTAGAATAATTCTTGTAGCAGTGGATTAGAATTGCAATGTTGGTAAGAACTCGTAAATGATAATGGGTATAGATATTGTGTGTGTGTGTGTCGGGTGGCGGGCATTCACATGTATATACAGTGGTCCCCCTCATCCAAGGTTTTGCTGTCTGTGATTTCAGCTACCCACAGTCAACAAAGGGTCACAAATTTTTTTTCTATTTTTAAAATCTTTTAAATTTTTTGAGAGAGGGTCTTGTTCTGTTACCGAAACTGGAGTGCAATGGCGCAATCTGGGCTCACTGCAACCTCCACATCCCAGGCTCAAATGATCCTCCTGCCTCAGCCTCCCAAGTAGCTGGGACTACAGGCATGTGCCACCATGTGTGGCTAATTTTAGTACTTTTTGTAGAGACAAGTTTTCGCCATGTTGCCCAGGCCGGTTTCAACCTCCTGGACTCAAGCAATCCACCTACCTTGGCCTCCCAAAGTGCTGGAATTATAGACATGAGCCACCATGCCTGACACAGTGGCCAAAAATATTAAATGACACTGGACACAGTGGCTTGGGTCTGTAATCCCAGCACTTTGGGAAGCTGAGGTGGGAGGACTGTTTTTGTCCAGAGTTCGAGACCAGCCTGCACAACATAGCGAGACCCCGTCTCTACAAAAAAAAAAAAAAAAAAAATTAGCCAAGTGTGGTGGCACACACCTGTAGTCCCAGCTACTTGGGAGGCTGAGGCAGGAGGATTGCTTGAGCATGGGAGGTTGACACTGCAGTGAGCTGTTATCACAGCACTGCACTGCAGCCTGGGCAACAAAGTAAGACCCTGTATCAAAAAGAAAAAAAAAATTAAATGGAAAATTCTAGAAATAAACAATTCATACTTTTTTTTTTTTTGAGACAGAGTCTCACTCTGTCTGTGGGTAGATGGAGGTAGATTGTTATGCCAATGTTCATTTTCTGATTTTGATGGCTGTGCTATGGTTGTGTAGGAATGTGTCCTTGTTTTTAGAAAATAGACAGTGAAGTATTTAGGGGTAAGGGGGATTCATGTCTGCAAGTTACTCTCAAATAATTCAGAAAAGAGAACAAGAAAAATAAAGCAAATCTTGTAAAATGTTAACAATTGGAAAACCTTGGTAAAGGACACATGTAACATTTTTTGTAGTATTTTTGCATCTTACCTGTGAGCTAGAAAGTATTTCAAAATTAAAAGTTAAAAAAAAGGATGGAAGGATATACAACCAAAGTTTTGATGTTAGTGATCTCTGAATCAGGAGCTTAGAGACACTTCTTAATTTCTGTTTTTGCTTATTTATATTTCCTATGCCTTTTATAATGCCCATGTTATTTTTATAAAAGCAAAAGAGACAATAATAACAATCTCTTAGTGACTCCTCATTGTCTATGGAACAAAAATCCAGTGTTCTTAACCTGCCAAGCAAGGTGCCACCTGATTTTCTAGCCTTACTCCTCTAGCCTTGCCATCAGTCCTCTGCTGCAGCCAGACGTTTGATTCTGTCTCCCAAATGGCCATGCATGCTCCAGCTCTGTGTTTTAACTCATATCTTCCTAGGATTCTCTCCTACTCTTCATCTTTCCAGCTCCTTCTCTTTTTTACTTTTATTTTTTTAGAGACAGAGTCTCACCCTTGTCATCCAGGCTGGAGTGAAGTGACATAATCAAAGCTCACTGTAGCCTCAAACTCCTAGGCTCAAGCAATCCTCCCACCTTAGCCTGTTGAGTAGCTAGGACTACAGGTGTGCACCACCATGCCCAGCCAATTAAAAAAACTTTTTTTGGCGGGGCGTGGTGGCTCATGCCTGTCATCCCAGCACTTTGGGAGGCCGAGGCGGGTGGATCACGAGGTCAGGAGATCGAGACCATCCTGGATAACATGGTGAAACCCGTCTCTACTAAAAATACAACAAGAAATTAGCCAGGTGTGGTGGCGGGCGCCTGTAGTCCCAGCTACTAGGGAGGCTGAGGCAGGAGAATGGCGTGAACCCAGGAGGCGGAGCTTGCAGTGAACTGAGATCCCACCACTGCACTCCAGCCTGGGTGACAGAGCGAGACTCTGTCTTAAAAAAAAAATTTTTTTTTTTTTTTTGTAGATACAGGGTCTTGCTATGTTGCTCAGGCTGATCTCGTACTCCTAGGCTTAAGTGATTGTTCTGCCTTAGCCTCTCAAAGCTCTGGGATTACAGGCAAGAGCCACTGCACAAGGCCTCCTTCCTATTTTTAAAAACCGAGTTGGAATCCAAGTTCTCTATAAATCCTACCCTGACCACCCAGTGAAAATGAGCTCTTCCTCCTCTAACATTGCTTGTATAATTTGGCAGTTAAAAAAATTCCAATGCAATAAATATTTATTGAGTGTTTACCATGTGAAAATAACCATATAAGGTCCTATATGGAACTCCAAGATAAATAAAACACTTTTTCCCTAAGTAGAGTATAAAATAACTACTCAAAATTATAATCACATGCAGAACATGTTATGTACCATAAGGCAGGGTAGAGAGAGATGGGGCATTGGGAGGAGCAAAGGGGAGAGGAAGAGCTGGCATTTGTTGAATCAATATTACACCTTCGACCAATAATGCATCATGCTATATATTGTCATTAAATCCTCACAACAACTCCTTTTAAAGGGGTGGAAGGTAGGGTTCAGGAAAGTAAAAAAAAAAAAAAAAAAATTAACTATGTTTGTATAGTTGATTAAATGATAATGAAAAGTCAATATTCAGATCCAGTTCTGGCTTTAAAGAACTATCTTTTATCTAGTTAGTGATTTAAGAAAGGTTTTATAAAGAAGCAGCCATTTGAGATGAGGCTTGAATTATGGGTAGGTTTAGATAAATTGGAGGGAGAGAGGGAAGTGTATTCCCCCAGTTTTAAAATTCATACGCAAAGTGCAGAGGTAAGAAAGAACAGAATGAGTTCAGGTAGTAGTGAATAGCCAAGTTAGACAGGTTCATAGTGTGTGTGTAATGAGCTAATAATTTAGTAATAACTGTCTTTTATTGTGTCAGACCCCGTTTTACATACTTTTATGTATACTGTCTCATTTAGTGCTCGTGGCAATGCTGTGAGGTAATATATCAGTTAACTTTTATTGCATAAAACGCCACCTTAAAACATAGTGGCTTAAATTAGCTCACAATCTGTGGGCTTGGCTCAACTGAGAGGAGCTTTAGTTGGTGTGGCCTGGGCTCACTCCTGCAGCTGTAGTCAGCTTGGTTGACTGGAGAGAATGATCTAAGACAGCCTCAGTTACATTTCTAGTGATGGGCAGCTGGAGGGCAAACATAGCTCCTCCACGTGGCTACTCCAGAGAGCTAGCTCGAGTTCATTCACAGGGTGGTCTCAGGTTTTCAAGTGTGTAAAAGAATTCCCTAGGCTTCTTGGAGGCCTAAGCTCATAAATTGCAGAAGTTCACTTCCACATATTCTACTGACCAAAGTGAGTCATGAACCCAGCCCAAATTCAAGGGGTGGGAAAACACAGTCCAACTTTGAGTAGGCAGAGGATGTAAACGGGTTGTAGTTATCCGTAGTCTACCACAGATGGATATTATTATCACCCCCACTTTAACAAAATTTTTTAAAAAGAGGCTTGAAGAAATTAAGCAATTTTCCTAAGGTTGCATAATCAGGAAGTGGCAAAATCAGGATTTGAACCCTGGCCTTAGCGTGGAACCCAGGCTGAAAAGGTATGTACCAGTTGTATGATGCAGAGCCTAGCATGACTGGCAAGGTGACGATTTGCCATGAAACTCTGAAAGATAACAAATTGGTGTTGATGGTTTTTTAATATAAAGGTGAAAAAAATATGCATGCTTTGGGAAGACTTCTCTGGAAAGGGATAGACTGGTGAAGGAAGGGCTAGAAGGAGTGTTGCCAGCACAGGAGCTCATGTAATGGCCAAAGTAGAGAGAAAATGTGTGTCAGCAGTAGCGTGGCTACTATTCAAATGGTAAAGATGAGAATAAATGTGTCACCTCTTGGAAAAGAGGGAATTAATTGAAGAGCCATTGTGGAGTTAGAATTTATAGGACTTGACAATTGATTGGGCATGATCGATGGAAGAAGAAGAATAGAGAGGAAAATGAACCTCCAAAGTTATAATCTTAAATGCCAGAGAAAAAGTGATGCTCTTAGAGTAAAAGAAGTCAGAAGAAAGAGTTGGGTTGGGGATTAAAGAAGAGTCCGTGGGTTTGGGACTTGTTCAGTTTAAAGTGTCAGCAGAATAACCACATGGAAGTGCTTAACAGGCCACTGGTAAGAAGGATTATAGCTGGGGAGAAAGACTAGTTCTGCAGGGCAGGTTTAGAAGTCATCTGCAAAGAGGTGAGATTAGAAGCTGTAGGAAAGGCCGGACGTGGTGGCTCACAGCTATAATACCAGCACTTTGGGAGGCCGAGGTGATTAGATCACCTGAGGTCAGGAGTTTGAGACCAGTCTGACCAACATGGCAAAACCTCATCTCTACTAAAAATACAAAAATTAGCCACGTGTGGTGGCACACACCTGTAATCCCAGCTACTCGGGAGGCCGAGGCAGGAGAATCACTTGAACCCGAGAGGCGGAGGTTGCAGTGGGCCAAGATTGCGCCATTGCACTCCAGCCTGGGCCACGGAGTGAGACCCACCTCCAGGCTGGGTAAAAGGATTTGGTGTCATCCACTCTCAGAGACTATCCAGAGAAAGGAAAAGCAGATATATAGAGATAAAATGGTCAAAGAAGTATGGGGAGGACAAAGGTCAAGGAAAGAGAGAGTTTCAAAATATTAAGGAAAGAGAATTTCAAGATGGATGAGCTGATCTGTATATAAATGCTACAAAAATCTAATCGATTGTATTTCTGGGCAAATGGTTGATACGGTAATGATCGGAGTTGGAGGGGTGGTGGATTAGAAAAGTTATTGGTGATTTGGATCTAAGGCAGAAATTTTTAATATTTTGGGGGTTGGAGATCCCTCTGAAAATCTGATGACAGCTATGTACCTTTCCTCCAGGGAAATGCACATCCATGAAATACCTTTCATACAATTTAAGGAGATTTATAAAGTCAATGGGCTACAATGAGCAAGAAATAGACTTCAGAGTTTGAACACTGTATCTTTTTTCTTTTCTTTTTTTTTTTTTTTGAGATGGAGTCTCGCTCTTTCCCCCAGGCCGGACTGCAGTGGCGCTATCTCGGCTTCCTGCAAGCTCCGCCTCCCGGGTTCATGCCATTCTCCTGCCTGAGTAGCTGGGATTACAGGTGCCCGCCACTGCACCCAGCTAATTTTTTTTATTTTTAGTAGAGACGGGGTTTCACCGTGTTAGCCAAGACGGTCTCGATCTCCTGACCTCGTGATCCGCCCGCCTCGGCCTCCCAAAGTGCTGGGATTACAGGCATGAGCCACCGCACCTGGCCCTTGAACACTGTATCTAAGGATAAACAGTCTTATTCACATCAGAGGGGGCAGAATACTAACTGACTAATTTGTGGAAATACTGGAGCTAAACATAGTGCCTAACACCTCCTATGTGTATGAATTCCCAAGTCTGAACAGGGCACAAGTGAGGAGAGAGAAAGGGAGGGGAGGAAAGAGAAAGGGCCAGGTGCAGGGAGGAGATAAACACAGACACAGAGAAAGACAGAGAATGGCTTATCAAATTAAAATAAGAAGAATAATTATAATAGTTACAATTTATTAAGGTGGTCTTGTGTATCAGGTATTTTATATATAATGTTTTGTTTAATACTCACAAAACCCTCTAAGATAGAAATTATTACTCCAGATGAGAAAACTGAGATTCAGAACAGTTCATGACAAATTCAACAGGGTCTATGGCTGAAATGGGATTCAGTGTGACTCCAAACCCATGTTTTTCCAAAGAGGCCATACTACCTCCCATGAACACAGGTCAGACAAACAAACAGAAATTCTCAGCTGAAATGTTAGCAATAGAAAATAATTTTATTTTAGGTGTTATCTAAGATTAGAATACCAAAGGAAAACAGGAGCCAAAAAAAAAAAAATATGATAAGAATTGTGTAAGAACTTCAGCGGATGCTAAGAAGTCACCCAGTAAATTTTGCCCTTTACTCTTGATGAAAACTTTTTAAAAGTTTGGTTTGGAAAGTTTACTAGAGAGATTTTGCAATTGCTATGACAAACAACTCCCAAATGCTGGGGCTTAACAAATATTTATTTCTTGCTCACATCACATTTGGCATAGTATGTGTGTGGTATGGGGGGAAGGGGACTAGGCAGGGCCCTGTTCCACTTAAGTCATTCAAGGGGCCACTTCCTTAGGGGCTTTGAGTCCTCTGCTGGATCCCATGTACCCAGCCAGCAGGCAAGTCAAGACAAAGAACACGGATTGTACTCACACTGTCCATGTTCCATTGACCGGGGTGGGTCACGTAGCTCCATCCAGATGCAAGGGGACTGGGAAAGGTAATTTAGTTGTGTATCAAGAAAGAGAACACTATTTGATGTGGAAAATCTCTGCCATTGACCTTCTTTTTATACCTTTTACATGGTAACATATTTAAAACGGAGGCCCACATTTATAGTTAATGTGGGCCTGAAAGAGTTATTTCCTCAGGAATAAACATAAGAACAAATTCTGTTTCTAGGTGCTACGGTCTGAATGTTTGTGTCCCCCCATGCCCCCCGCCTGCCCCCAGCAGATTCAGATGTTGAAACCTGATCACCAATTTGGTAGAGTTAGGAGGCAGGGTCTTTGGGAGGTGATTAGGCCATGAGGGTGGGGTCTTCATGAATGGGATTAGTGCCCTAGTAAAGGGATTGAGGGAGTCTGTTTGGCCCTTTTTTTCTCTCTTCCATGTTGTGAGCATGCAGCATGAATATGCCATTTATGAGGAACAAGCCCTCACCAGACACCACATCTGCCGGCACCTGGATCTTGGACTTCCAGCCTCCAGAACTTTGAGAAATAAACTTCTGCTGTTTATAAGCCACCTTGTCTATGGTATTCTGTTACAGCAGTCTGAATGGACTGAGACACTGTCCTGCTCAACATACTACCAGACACTGATAATAACTGTTTGAGAAGAAAAAGAAATTAAAATATAGAAAACAAGAAAACAAATGTCCACAGATGATATAGTTTTAAATTCCTTAGAATTCCAACAAAATTATAGTAAAGTATAAATATTTCACCCATACCTCATCATACATGTAGGGGACAAACCACACACCTGTGTCAGATGCAGATCTTGTGCATCTCCTCAGATACCCTGACCTGCCTCCTTCTTTCTTATGATGCCATCTGCCTCCAAGCCTGTGCTAGCCTCACTGCCTTTGCTGAGCTCCCAAAGCTTGCTTGAGTTAAGTTGAAGCCCCTGACTTCATGGCCCACACATTCTCCATGAAGAATTACTTCCTTTAATCACCACTCCCAGGCTTGGATGTCATGATACTCTGTCGTATGCATTTTAACTCCTGGCTTCTGCTGGAGGGCTGGATGACCTGACCTAGCAGTGCAGGAGAGTTACTATACTGTCAGGTGAACCTCAACCAATATGAAATAGGAGGATCAAGAGAGTTGCACAAATAAATGTTCCCACCCCACCCCTATTTTTTTTCCTGTGGACTGTACTGAAGTGTGGTTCCTCCTTGCAGCCCTTCTGGAGAGATGCTGAGTACTGAACAACACACTTTGCAGCTCACTGGCCAAGTGGTTCATCACATTACTTTGCCTATTTTCTTACTTCACTTCCCCTTTAATTTTTTATTTACCTCACCACTCTGAGCTTGCGGCTCCAAATAAAGTTTTGGCATTTTCTCCCTGCCTAAGGCTCTGGTTCCTAAAGGATCCAGTCAAAGCCAACATTCACTCACAAATAAATTACAGTGCTATATGCTAGTGACACACATCTATAAATTAAGATGAATAAAGTGAATGAATCAATTTCTTTCAGAATAATAATTAAATAATTAAACATTCATTTGGCTCAGGTAGATTTAATTAAAAGAAATTATGAAAGCACTCTGGAAGAAATAAAGGAAGAAATAATAGACAGATGCATTATGGCTCTTATTCGAGACCTTGGGAAAATGAAACATTGTTATGATAAAAATGCTGTTTAAGTGAATGTATATTTAATCTGACACCACTTTTTATGAGATACTTTATATACAAGACAAAGTGAGTGTGAAAATCCCACTGGAAAACTAAAAAGTCATGAATACATATTTATTTAAATGATGAGAAACTCTATGAGAGTAAAAACACCTTTCAGTATGATGATAGCATGATTTTTGGTGCTTTACAGTTTATAAAGTATTTTCACACATTTTCTCACTTATTTACCACAGTAACGCTATTAGATTGAACAGGAGAGGATTAGTGTTATCTGCGCTTTAGAGATTATTTACTTTTTGGATTTAGTTACAGATGCCCTCTTTCCAAAAACAGCCTCAAGGTACATCACCTTACAGTTGAGAAGTTTGAAGAGTGGAGAGCTCCCATTTCCAGGGATAGAAAGGGGGTGTCAGGGCTTACATTCAAACTTTTTTTTTCCTCTTCAATTTTTATTTTAAGTTCTGGGGTACACCTTCAGGACGTGCAGGTTTGTTACATAGGTAAATGTGCGCCATGGTGGTTTGCTGCACCTATCAACCCATCACCTAGGTATTAAGCCTGGCATCCACGAGTTATTCTTCCTGATGCTCTCCCTCTCCCACTGCCACAATACCAGGCCCCAGTGAGTGTTGTTTACCCCCAATGCGTCCGTGTGTTCTCGTTCACACCCATGCTTTCCCCCCATTATGCTTTATATTCTTCTGTTATGACATGACAATGAATTAAAGCACATGGCTTCAGTTTAAAAGCAGAATAAAAATCTTAATAGAATGAAATAGAATTTAGAAACAAATTTAAACTGCTAAAAGAATTTAGCATAGTTATTTTCATAGTCATATGTGCTCATGTCTTGTAAAATTATTTTCAAATTAATTTGGGGAGTGAGAAGGATATAAACATAGAATTTAAAAAAATGAATGAATGGATGAAGTAAATGAATTAATACATTCCAAACTTGGAGCAGTGTAATAATTGGGACAGGATACTCTTAAGACATTTTGTTGGAATAATCAACTATAGTGTGGATTTGAGAAAGAACTCACAGTCACTCATATTTCACACTCAGTATTGCAAAAATTTTCAGATACTTCAAAGTGTTAGTTTGGTTCATAGTAGGCACTCAATAAATATTTATTGTTTGAATGAGCACTGCTTTCTTCATCTGTTTAATATTGATATAAAGAAATACCTGAGGACTAGGTAATTTATTTTAAAAAAGGTTAATTTGAGTCATAATTCTGCAGACTATACGAGAAGTATGAAGACAGCATCTGCTTCTGGTGAAGACTTCAGGCTGCTTCCACTCATAGTGGAAGGCAAAGGGGAGCTGGTGTGTTCAGAGATCATGTAGCAAGAGACGAAGCAAGGGTGGAGGCAGGGGTGTAGACAATTTTTAACAGTCAGCTTTCACGAGAACTAATAGAGCAAGAACTCATTCATTACCATGAGAAAGGCAGAAAGCCATTCATTCATGAGGGATCTGCCCCCATGACCCAAATACCTCCCATTTGGACCCAACTCCAACACTGGGAATCAAATTGCAACATTAGGTTTGTGGGGACAGACATCCAAACTATAGCAAGCACCTATAAAAATTGTTAGAAGGAAAGGAAGCTTCATATCAACCCCAGATGTGGAAGAGAAAATCACAGAGGTTACTAGAGACAAGATGCATTCTAACATGTACACATTTAAAACATTAGCGCAGTGTCCTTGGCTTTCAGTTCATCTCCTCTCACTAAATCCTCTTCAGCGACTGAAGAATTGCTAATCTGATTGGTTAGCTACCAGGACAGAGACTGAGCTGTGT
The DNA here is from genome assembly GCF_000001405.40 of Homo sapiens. Taxonomy (NCBI): domain Eukaryota; kingdom Metazoa; phylum Chordata; class Mammalia; order Primates; family Hominidae; genus Homo; species Homo sapiens. The sequence continues at coordinate 64,433,927 of NC_000001.11, read as the reverse complement.
TTACCAGTGGGTGAGGTTTCCTCGTGTGCCTGCAGCCATACTTCCAGCACTTGCTTCCAGCCTTCTTTTCCTATTTTCTTTCCTATGTTGGTTGTGTAGTAGAACAGTAAGCCTTTGCTGGACACACCAAGTACTTCTCCACCTTGCTGCATTCACATGGAAAGCTTTCACTCCCAGGCTGCTCTCTCATTTTCAGTACACTGTGGCACACTTTGGCCCTCAGTGGCAAACCCAGCCATTTCCTTTCTCCGTTTCCTGCTTCTAGGACTGTATGAGGTTCATAGATGTTTTTGCCATTTTTTTAAGAGTCTTCGCTCCATCTGTTTTCCCTGTCTTCTCCAAGGTAGGCGCTGGTACTCTGCTCTGACTCAAGGTTATGCGATTGTGCAGATGCTTATTCACAAATGGGCAAATGAAGGGAGGAGTAAGATGGGCCCTCCTTATAGATGCAGCCTCAGCAGTCACATCTGTAACATCCATGCTCTCTGGTAACAGGTGTTTGCCACATGTGTACCATCCATGGTCTCTGGCAACAGGCGTTTCCTCTGGCCAAAGGAGTGGACACTGAATCATGCTTGAACAATTGTTGGGCATGGGCACTGTTCTATGTGCTGTACATAAATTAACTCATTTAATCTTCATAATAACTGTATGAGATAACTATTCCTCCAAAGATGAGGGCACTTCAGCATAGAGAGGGTATCTTTCCCCATGTCACCACACTAGTAAGTGAGTAAATGTGCTGAGGCCCAAACCAGGCAGCTTCGTTCTCATCTCCTCCTGGCCTCGGTGATTCAAGCTGGACCATTCAGAGTCCTTTCTTGGGACTTTTCTAATTTGTGCCAGGCCAGGTAATACTGTCGGGTTCCCAAGATAAGAATGTGAATCTAGAGCCATCTGCAGCCATGTTCCCCCATGTGTCTGCCACAGGAGAGAATAAAGTTGACAATTAGAGAAAAGCAGAATTGCTTGACAGCTTCCTAGAAGCATTGAGACACGGCTTCCAGTCACCTTCAACCATTCTCAGGCTCAAGAGTACATGAAGTACAGCAATTCTGTTTTCTTGATTACGGGTTTTCCAATTGTGCTTCTGTCATTAGCAGTCAAAGGGTTCTGACTATTAGAAAAATTGAAGTCCAGATTGACCAGCTCCTGTGGCAAAGTAAGCACAGTAATTAAAATAGGGAGTATGGTGAGCTCAGTAGTCCCTTTCAGATAAATTGCTGAAGGTAAGTTTAAGTAGTCATAGGGTCACAGAAATTAATTTAACAGGTTACCCACTAAAATCTTGACCTGCATAACCCCAAACCCTCCAGGCCTGGTAAACAGAGGCTTCACATAAGTCATCGCACTATCAGGTGACAACCTCTCACCCATTTCCAGATCTGAGCGAGCTTCCAGCTCCAGAGCGCCTTCAAGGAAGAGGAGACAGAGTACCCCTAAGTAAGAACCCTGCTGAGCCTACTGTGAATCTCCCTTTTCCTTTTCCACAAAAGGATTTGTGGTCCATGTGACTATGCATTCAGGAAGGAGAAACACCTAAATTTAGGGAGAGGGCACTGTAGGACGCCACACTGCTTTGAATTCATCTCATAAAAGGTCTGATGGAACACTGAATCCATTTCTATAGTTATTTTTCTGGTCCTTGATCCCAAGCGAATATCCCAGGCAATTGAACTCCACATTGAATCCCTGATCTGTGAAATAATAGCAATCACGGGTCGAAGGGCCAAGTGGAAACAAGTGGAATTCCTCCTCTATAGCAAAGTTGCAACCCCAAGCGATATGCATCCCTTGAGGAGTACAAAGGACAAGGACGCATGAAAATAAAAAATTAGCCCTTTTTCACTGGGCTGAAATTGATTACACATTCTTAGCTTATCTATAATCACTCACTCATTTTATTTTTCTACTTAGATTCTGGGTTTTGGAGCCTCTTTAATTTCTCTTCACTAATTTTTATGTTGTTTTAGTGTGTTACCTATGTCCGGTATATTTGTTTACGAACAAATGGTTTTAAGATGTTTTCTTCTTTTAAACTTTACTTAAAAAGCTAAACATACTTGTTAAAAATCTTCTTACTCCAACATATAAAGAGTGGCCAGACAGACAGAAAATGCCACCCTCCCTAAGGGAAAGTGGTTGTCCTGAGTGTTGACTACATGAGTCAAAATGGACAAAGACAGGCCGGGCGCGGTGGCTCACGCCTGTAATCCCAGCACTTTGGGAGGCCGAGGCGGGTGGATCATGAGGTCAGGAGATCGAGACCATCCTGGCTAACAAGGTGAAACCCCGTCTCTACTAAAAATACAAAAAATTAGCCGGGCGCGGTGGCGGGCGCCTGTAGTCCCAGCTACTCGGGAGGCTGAGGCAGGAGAATGGCGTGAACCCGGGAAGCGGAGCTTGCAGTGAGCCGAGATTGCGTCACTGCAGTCCGCAGTCCGGCCTGGGCGACAGAGCGAGACTCCGTCTCAAAAAAAAAAAAAAAAAAAAAATGGACAAAGACAGCAGGCCCACGTGACTAAGGCACCACATGTTTCTTGTCCTCAATTGGCGCAGTGAATCTCATTGTGCAAGCCATTTCCATCCTGCAGACTGTTTTAGAAGTGAAGTTTTGAAATAAGTGCTTAACGAAGAATGTAAAGAGAGAGGACAAATCTCAAATGTCTCAGGTATTAAAAAATTTCATTTATTACCTTACATTTCTCTCCTGAATGGAAAGACTGTGTTTTTAAAACCTTTAGATGTCATTTTTTTTCCAAATGAAATTGTGAGTCTTATAAAATTGTAACCAAAATTTCAATTATACATTTTAAGAACGTAACAAAATAATTCGAGAATTTATCTGGAGAAAGGAAAGAATAAGAAAAACTAAGCAGTTATTGACATAGGTGACTATTAAGTGGGAAATTGCCTACTAATAGGTAAAGTGAAATAATTAAAGCAGTGTAGTATTGATTTAAGAATGACAGAAGGTTGGCTGGGCACGGTGGCTCACACCTGTAATCCCAGCACTTTGGGAGGCAGAGGCGGGCGGATCACTTGAGGTCAGGAGTTTGAGACCAGCCTGGCCAACATAGTGAAACCCTGTGTCTACTAAAAATATTAAAAATTAGCCTGGCATGATGGCGGGCACCTGTAATCCCAACTACTAGGGAGGCTAAGGCAGGAGAATCACTTGAACCCGGGAGGCAGAGATTGCAGTGAGCCAAGATCGTGCCATTGCACTCCAACTGGGTGACAAGAGCAAGACTCCGTCTCAAAACAAACAAACAAAAAACCCCACAAAAATTAGCTGGGCATGGTGGCGGGTCCCTGTAATCCCAGCTACTTGGGAGGCTGAGGCAAGAGAATCACTTGAACCCAGGAGGCGGAGGTTGCAGTGAGCCGAGATCGTGCCATTGCACTCCAGCCTGGGTGACAAAGCCAGACTCTGTCTCAAAAAAAAAAAAAGAGAGAGAGAGAAAGTCAACTAAATATGTAGTCCAGAACCTGACACTGGTATGCATAGAAACTTACTATAGAAATACAAGAAGAGTGAAGAATTTAGTAAAAGGTATTACAGAAATTAGCCACTCTGGGGCCTGGTGCTTTTTAGTTAGGAACTACATTTCCCAGCCACTGCTTTTTTCCAGGTGAAGCCATATGACTGGTCCCTGTAAATGGAATGAGAGTGGGAAGTGATGTGCGTCCCTTTCAGAGCAAGGCTTTTCAGAGTCAGACTGGATCTTTTTCACATTCTTTCTTCCTCTTCCACCTTCTGGATGCAGTTAACTATGATGTCCTAGGAAACATCTGTGACTTAGCTGCAATTAGCTGGCATTTTCAGCTCTTATACAATGAGGTGGTCTCTTTTTCTTTATCAAGATTCATAAAATAAGGAATTCTCCAAATAGATAAAGGTTCAGGAAATGGATATAAAACAAATAATGAGTGCTACTACAAGAGAATATTAAGACTACACTCAGAAAAGCAAGGAAGAGGAAGGCATTGAATATTGGAAACTAAATACATATTAGTTAGGTTCAGGTTCGTTGCATGTAATAGATAGAAAAAGTAACAGTTATTTAGACAAGGTAGACATTTGTTGCTTTTCCACATAAAATAAATTCAGAGGCAGGCAGACTAGGATTGACATGATGTCTATACACTGTCATTTTGGACCTATGCACTTATATTTCTATTCTACCATCCTAACATTTTGCTCTCATACTCAGGGTCACATCATGATTCAAGATGGATAGTGGAATGCCAACTGTCTCAGCTGTAGGCTTGAAAAAGGAGAAAATGCAGAGGTCAAATAGAGAAAGTTTTAGGAAACGGGTATACAACAAATAATTAGTGCTACTACAAGAGAGTATTAAGACTATACTCAGGGAAGCAAGGAAGAAGAAGGCATGGGATATTGAAAACTGTGAATGTGATTAAAAGGACAGGACAACTTGAGAATCTGGTAAGTTATATATACATATGATACATGTAATACTTCCCACTCCCACTTCCCACTCACATTCCATCTACAGGGACCAGTCATGTGGCTTCACCTGGAATATAATATTTCATTCATATATATACACATATATGAATGAAAAAAAAGGATGGTGATTAGAAACTCAAGGAAAAACAGAAGTTGTACAATAAAATTATGTTGAAATATGAAACAAAATGAAATAATGGTGTAATAAAATAGAGTTCATTGAATACTTTTAGTAAAGCGTATTTTCTTTCATGTGGCCAGAGGGTCAGATAGTGACCATGAAAAGAAAGAGATGTAATCTTAGCATATTTCTTGAACCAATGTGAAAAAAATATTTACATAGGTGTAAATATTAACATTGCATATATTAGTTTTAACATTAAGAGTCAGCCTTCAGACAAGACATGGGTCAGTTGTAGCTGCAAAACAGAATAAATGTTAATATTATAATGTAAAAGTCTAACTGACAGAAGGCAGAAAGTGAAGTCAGGGAGGAACGTGAAGAAAAGGGTAGAATTCATTTCTCCTCTTACATAGAGTGGAGCCAGGATACTGATTGATGTTGATAGAGAAGTAGAATTTTAAATATTAAAAAAGTTATAATCAATAAAATAAACATAACATATTAAGAGGAGAAGGGATACAGAATAAAATACCATGTGTTCCCGGAAACTGAGGGTTTAAAGGTAATGAACGTAATGAGGTTTACATTTTCCCTAAGAACAATGTTTTAGTTGAAAATTAAGTATCACATAAGTTCCAGGAACAATATGTCAGGGAAGTAAAGAAAGAACTTTGGTAAAAGTATATATTGATTCAAAAGAATTTATTTTTATTACAAATGGATACATTTCATTAATGGTATTTATTTTTTAATGGTTTGAATGTAATTAGCATTACTACTACTTAAAGATTGGAGCTATATTTATGTGTATTTTAAAAGAAATATGAATCTGGACATGGTAGCACATGCCTGTAGTTACAGCTACTTGAGAGGTTCAGGCAGGCGGATCGTTTGAGCCCAGGAGCTGAAGGCTGTAGTGGTCTATGATCACTATGTTGCCCAGGCACTCCAACATACTGAGTCCCTGTCTCAAAAACAAAACAAAACAAAAAACCCAAAGAGAAACATGATTTAGAATTTTTATCTATTAGTTTGCTTGCTATCTTAGAATTTTGATGGTTCCATCCTCTCGGGAGCTGTTTCCAGAAAGATTAAAATAATGACTTTTTTCTATGTATATAAATTTGCCAAGAGCAAGACAGAATTTCAAAGTAATTTTGCCAACCTTAGAGCAACTCTCAAATCTGAGATGACTGTTTTCATCAAGAGGCTTTGCAGTGTAAATATTTGAAGATCCCAGTGTGGACTTTGTGGATTTCTGAGGTGTAGAATTCCCCTGAACCACCTTATCATTTACCTTCCCTTCATGTGTTTCTCCTTCAGCCTCACCTTCACCAACATAAAAGGCAGACTTAGAGAGAAAAGTAAGTCATTAAAATATAGGATTGGTGAGGCTGGGTGTGGTGGCTCACGCCTATAATCCCAGCACTTTGGGAGACGAAGGCAGGTGGATCACCTGAGGTCAGAAGTTCAAGACAAGCCTGGCCAGTATGTTGAAACCCCATCTCTACTAAAAATATAAAAAATTAGCCGGGCGTGGTGGCATGTGCCTGCTGTAATCCCAGCTACTCAGGAGGCTGAGACACGAGAATCGCTTGAACCCAGGAGGCGGAGGTTGCAGTGAGCTGAGATCGTACCATTTCACTCCAGCCTGGGCAACAAGAGTGAAACTCCATCTCAAAACAAACAAACAAACAAACAAAAACAGATAGGATTGGTGGAGCTGGTAGAAAAGGTAAAGCATTGACTTTGATGGACAGAATTTCTTCCTTTTTGGAATACAAATCGGGGAGGGGGTGAGTGGTGGACGTTGAGTTACCCTTAGGCTGATGATAAGACTGTGGATACTTTATATATCCTCTGATGGAAAAATTCTTGTACTTTCCTGAAACGGTGCCAGCAGGGACTCTACTGAGAACCACTGAAAAATAGAAACAGTGGTATTGAGACGAATAGATAAAGTGAGGATAATCCTTGATTCACTAAAAACTATTGTTCTGAAGATCCTATTACTGTAATTTGAAAATGTTTAAGGTATCCATGTTATATTAAAACAAACCAGGGTACAAATTACATGAATAATAAATCTATATTCAGAAGAAAAGTCACTGAAAAGAATAGACCAATATGTAAATAATGTCTGTTTTCAAGATAATGCATATAAAAACACCATGGAATTGCCAGGTAGTAGGCGGTCAATCAATATTGCTTGAATTTCCATTTGTAATCTCACTTTTACTGAATCTGTCATAAGGAAATAATCTAAATGAGGGACAATTTGTATAAAAGTATATTCAACAGGCCCCTAAATAAATGAAAAATTGGAAATGAACAAAATGTTGAAAAATTGGAATGTGATAAGTAAACACATTTGGAAGCAATCTAGTTGGTGTTTGGTCTCTAGGCTGGTAACAGTGTAGCCTTTCACAGTTAATAAAAGATTTTCTGTCTTCCAACAAAGTTTGGCAATAGACAGTCATTAAACATGATGACACATGGATATGCACATATAACTGGAAAGAAAAATATGTGCACAATGATTACAAATATGAATCGACGTGTGTATCTAGATTAAAGCTAATCAATAATTTACATGACATAGAGTTTAAATATTAAATGAATTCTTCCTGTCCCTTGCAATCTGTGAAAGCATCTACATGTATAAATTTTAAAATGTGTCATGAAAGCAACACTTACTGAAGCCATTCCAAATAAAGTTTACTGAAAAACTACTGAGTCAATTCTCCTTGTTGATCACTTTGTAACTATTAGCTAATTAAAGATATTTGAAAGAAAAGAAGTTTTCTTTTGCACTGCAGTCTTGGAGAGATCTTTAGGCTCCCCAGAATTCCCTATCACATGGTTTAGATCTTCACAAAGTTCTGAAATAACCACTGAAATTTTCTAACTAGACTTCAGTATTTTTAAAAATTCCACTATACAGGGTTTTACTATATAAACCCTGGGCTATATAATTCTGGTCTATCATGGGGTTTCAGTAAATTGTATCTGGATATGGTGGTCTGTAGCAAAGATTTAGATAATATCTTTCTCTTAAATTCATCACAGTTTAAATAAAGTTCATCCTGTAAATTCAGAAAATATGCTCTGTGTGATGGTTTCCATTTGAAAACAAACAATTAACATTTCCATGTCTCGAGAACAAAACTGAGTTAGCATTTTTTATTATGAGTCAAAGAAAAGTTGTAAATACATTTTTCTTAGCAACTGGTTATACAGATTATCTCAAGTTGCAAGTATTTTTTTTTCTACAAATGTGTATACTAACTTTTCAGCAAAACAAAAAACCCACCATAAATATTTTAAAACTCAACCATTAGTATCTCTGTATTTTCTTCTAACCTCATAAAAAGGCTTTTATGTCTTTTATAACATTGTAATCAGTAAATGCATTTTATTTTGTGTCCTGGTTTTTCTACTTAATATTATTTCAAATATGTTTTCATATATCAAGATTTGCCATACTTGTTTTAAAACAACACTTTTATTTTTTATTTTTTTATTTTTTTTGAGATAGTCGCCCAGGCTGGAGTGCAGTAGCATGATCATGGCTCACTGCAGCCTTGACCTCTCAAGCTCAGGCAATCCTCCAGCCTCAGATTCCTGAGTATCTGGGACTAACAGGCACATGCCACCATGCCCGGCTAATTAAAAAAATTTTTTTTTTGTAAAGATGGGATCCCTCTATTTTGGCCAGGCTGGTATTGAACTCCTGTGCTTAAGAGATCCTCCTGCCTTGGCCTCCCATAGTGCTGGGATTACAGGCATGAGCCACTGCACCCAGCCAAAATCAACAAGAAAGCCCTCACCAGATGCAAGCCCCTTGACCTTGAACTTCCTAGCTTCTAGAAACGTAAGAAATAAATTTCTTTTCTTCATAAATTATCCAGTCTGTGGTATTGTGTTACAGCACTGAAAACACACTAAGACTAATAGATAAAATAGACTCTGTCAACAAATACCTGTTTGTTCTTCAATGTTTGTGTTTTATATGTAACAGGAAAGGACTCTAATACCTCCATTCTCATCCCTGCATGGAAGAAAAGAAGTCTTTTGGAGAGGGACTCTAAAAATACATGCCTTAAAGTTACAAGAGGAGAAGCAATCAGCATTAGCAGAGAGTTTTCTTGTCTTGTAGATATTCTTACTGAACAGTGTGAAGATCTATCACCATCCTCCAAGACAGAGTCAAGAATATATGGTCATTGCCATGGTGACATGAGGAGGCAGCAAGCATAATGGCGCTTGGAATTGGAGGGGAGGATAGAAGGTTAGAAAAGGAAGAACAAGGGAAAGAGCTTCCCTCTTTCTTACCAAATGTATTCTAACTTTTTGACATGGCATAAAAGACTAACTTTCTTGTGATATCTCTCCAGTCTTCCAGGACTAATCATGAGTCCTGAAGTAATGTAGTATGGGCATTGGAGTTAGAAAGACCTGGATTTGCCAGCTGTATGACCATGGGCAAATCCCTTTAGTTCTCTGAGACTCAGTTTATTCATCTTAAAATAAAGGTAAAAATCACCACCAGTGAGGCTTATGGAAGGATCAAATGAAATAATACTTAGAGGCACAAACCTCAGTGCTTGACACACCAAAACTTCAGTGAATAAATAAACATTCTCTAGTTTCTTCTCCTGGAACTCCTATTAGGCATATGTTGGATTTCCTCTTTCTGTCCCGCATGTATTTTACTATCTGTTTAGCTCTGTGTGCTGCATTGTGGGAGATTTGCTCAGACCTCTCTTTCAATTTTCCCATTTTCTCTGCAACTGTGATTTTGTTGTTGTTAGCTCATTTTCAGCTCATCTTTTTTTTTCTTATTGTGAATCCACTATTATTTTCTTCTATGTAGACTCTAGAAGTTTAAATAATCCTGGGCCAACTGTTATGTTAATCTCTCTATATTTCTATATAATTTCTTCCCTACACACAGAACTTGGAATTAGGTTCCTTGGAGATGATTTCTTAAAAGTGGAAGCATTTTTGTGTACCCAAGGCTCTGCAATGACAACAAGTATTTTTGATACTTTCCCTAGGTCAGTGAGCAGAATTTTTTTTTGTCCCCTTTTCAAAACAGGAAGCTCTTTGAGGCCCTACATTTTATTAGGGGAGCTAACTTCAAATCTCCAGCTCAGAGCAGCATCTACTATCCTCATTTGGACATACATTTAAAAAGGAGAGCTTTATTTCTTATAAGGGGTTACAGCTTATAGGCTGGCCATCCTTCAGGCTGGGAAGCATAGTTTTCAGGCAGAAACCCAAAGCAGGCACTTCAAAGGAGGAAGGGTGAGAGAAATTTATCCTGAATAGATTAAGTATACATATTCAACAGGTTATAGGAAGAGCAATGAATAGTCTCAGAAAGGGGGCCATGCACACATATTAAGCAAACATGCATGTTACATACATCCCATGTTCCCTTTGGGGTGGAGAGTCTTAACATGTAAATACTGCAAAATTAGATTATACGTGTCAAACGGAGGACACAGAGGCACTCTGTATGCAGTCTCCCTGGACTGGCCAGAACCATTCTGTCATTGGTGGTCTCTTATCAGGAAGGAATGCTGGTCAGCTGTGTTGAAACTGCAAAAAGGGAGGGGAGGCCAGACGCTGTGGCTCACTCCTATAAGCCTAGCACCTTGGGAGGCCGAGGTGGGTGGATTGCTTTGAGCTCAGGAGTTTGAGACCAGTCTGGCAAACATGACAAAACCTTGTTTCTATAAAAAATGCAAAAAAATTAGCTGGGTGTGGTGGCACACACCTGTAATCCCAGCTACTTGGGAATCCCAGCTGCTGGAGAGTCACTTGAGCTGAGAAGTGGAGGTTGCAGTGAGCCAAAATCATGCCACTCTACAACACAGTCTGGGCCACAGAGTAAGACTCTGTCTCAAAAAACAAAAACAAACAAACAAACAAACAAAAACAAAAAAGGGAGGGGAAATGTGCAATAAAGCAAATCTTTTAAAGGGCTGGTTTCTGTTTAACTCTTAGGAAAAAAGTCTTATAGTGGTTAGCAAGGGAGAGGGGTCCCCTTGGCTAAGAAGGGGTTGATTCAGTTGGGTGGGGGGCTTAGAGTTTTATTTTTGTTTCTCATATCTAAAACCAACCCTTTCTCTCACCCAATATGAACCCTTTCTGAGTCACCTTGTGCTTACCTCCCTGGTTTAGATCTCTTTGTTTCCTTGGTGATTTCCCTTTTTTTTGAGATTAGTTATTGCTATGAACTGAATTGTGTCCCTCAAAATTCTTACATCGAAGCCCTAACCCTCAATTTGATGGTGTTTGGAGATGGGGCCTTTGAGAAGTAATTAAGTTTTTATGAGGTCATGATGGTCAAGCCTTCATGATGAGATCAGGGTTTTTATAAGAAGGGACAGCAGAGAGCTTGCTTCTCTGTCTCTCTCTCCCCTCTCCCCACTTCCATCCCTTCCATGTGAGAACATAGTGAGCAAGTGACAGTTTGCAAGCCAGGAAGTGAGGCCTCACCAGGGAACTGCATAGGCTAGTATCTTTATCTTGGACTTCTCAGACTCCAGAACTGTGAGGAATAAATTTCTGTCATTTAAGCTATAGAGTCTATGGTATTTTGTTATGGCAGCCCAAGCAGAATAAGACAGATTTTGGTAGCAAGGAGTGCAGTGCTGCTACAATACCTATCTAAAGATGTGGAAGTGGCTTTGAAACTGGGTAATAGGTAGAGGCTAGAAGAGTTTTGAGATGCATGCTAGAAATACGAACATTATGGGTGATTCTGGTGCAATCTCAGATGGAAGTGAGAAATATATTATTGCAAAATGGAGAAAAGGTGACCATTGGTATAAAGTGGCAAAGAACTTGTTTGTGAAAGGTAGAACTTATGAGAGATAAAATTGGATATTTAGTGGAGAAGATTTCTAAGCAAAATATTTAAGGAGAGGCTTGGTTCCTCCTGACTGTTTATAGTAAAATTTTAGAGGAAAGAAATAAATGGAAGAAGGACTTACTAAGCAAATAAGAACCAGAACTTAAAGATTTAAAAAAATTCTCAGCCTATCCATTTTGCAAAAAAAGAAAAAGTTTTTTTTTATGAAAAGAACACCAAGGATGTGGCTGAATAGCCATTTGATACGGAGATAAGTGTGGGTATGAACCCCAGACCCAGTCAGTTACCTCAGCAAAAACACTGCTAGTTTGAACTAAAGGGTAAAGAGATGACACAAAATGGAGTAAGATCGTGAGTATTCTTAGATCCTACAGGACCAGGACATAGAGCTATTTTGCTGCAAACATGAGCTGTTTGTCAAGACAAGGGAAGAATAATTTTGAAGGTGATCCAGAGATAATCAGGGCTGCCTCCTTGGTTTCAAAGGTGGGGGGCATCACCTCCATTTCAACAGGCCAGGCAGTGGCCATCCAGAATCTTGGGAGCAGGAGCACCATGTGGCAGAGCTGTGAGGGTGGAACCCCCACTAGAGCTATATGGGTATGATGCTGTCACCCCAATGGGTTCAGAAGGCAGAGCACTTAACCAAAGAGCGTTATTCTCAAGCCTTAAGATCTGATGAAATCCATATTACAAGGTTTTAAATTTGCTTAGGACCTCTCACATCTCTCCCTTTTGGAATGGGAATGTCTATCCTCTGCCTGTTCTACCATTGCAATTTGGAAGTACGTAACTTTTCTGGTTTCACGGGGTCACAGCTCATGGGAAAATTTCCCTCAGAATGAGTCATATGTTGAGTCTAACCCATGTCTAAATCAGATGATAGTTAGATGAGACTTTGGACTTTAAACTTTAGAGTTGCTACTGGAATGAGTTCAGACTTTTGGGACTTTTTGAATGAAACAGATGTATTTTGGATGCAAGAAGGACATGAATTTTGGGGGACGAACGGCAAAATGCTATGGACTAAGGTGTCTGACATTTATTTTTTGACTATTATTTTGTTCTCTGATTATATTCTGTATGAATTTTGACAACAGGGAGACTCAACCATGCCATCATATTTTTCCATGTTGTCTGGCATTGGTTAACATCCAACAAAAGTCATTATTATTATAATTGATAAAAACTATGGCTTTCCTTTTATAATTTTAGGCCATATTTTTCAGCTTGAAATGCCCTTCTCTTGTAAATACAGCACAATAAAATTTTATCAATAAATACTTTGGGAGATGCTGGCTATCATTTAAGGACCATTATAAATGTCAACTTGCAACTTAATGGAAAAAGATGATCCCTGGGCCAATCAGTCCTAAGGTTGGAACTTCTTTTATACTCTTACTAACTTGTGGCCTGGGAGAAGTTTCTTAATGTCTTTGAAATTCTAAGTTTCATCAGTAAATTAAAGATAATATCATTATCTTAAGGGTTGTTGTGAGGACTAAAACTTAGAGTATATAAAACATGTAAACATTATCAACCACAGAGTAGTTGTTCAATACATGACTGTTTTTATTCTTCGTCTTATTATTATCATAATATTGTCATTGGTGGGGCAGGGAGTTTATGAAACCTGGATTTCAGTTGCAGCTCTGAAATTGGGAGTCACTTTTGTTTCCGGGTTCTAAGTTTCTTTCACATGTAAAGAAAATGCAGGAAATTTTATGTTAAACATGGTGATTTAAAAACAAATGTTTATCTCCATTCTCTCCCAAAATCATAGTAATGTGAAATAAAGGAGTGCAAAAAGGCATAAACTTACAAGGAAAGAGAATGCGAGATGAGGAGACAGCAGGCAGGCAATGTCAATAAAAATTGGAAAACAGTTGGATGAGTAGTAACTGACTTAGATGGAGAAACTAAAACCTAAGCCTGTGAGGGGAAACCCAACAAGGAGCAATGGAGTCATCTGCAGAATCTCAACAAGTCTCAAAAAGTGGAGGCACAAGTTATCTTTGAAGTTTTGGGTGCAGGATGAGACTGAAAAGAGTAGGGCTGAGTGAAAGGCTTTCTGAGTAGCAGTTAAACCATCACATCTCCCATTCCCCATTTTAACCAAGTGATGACCCCTCCTATATTCAGGAAGCAGAGAGAAGGCTCTGGATTTGAGTAGACCCAGTAGGTGGTATAAAGCCAGGGGTGAAGTGTCACAGTAAAAACTGGAGGATGGAATGAATGTATCATAATGTGGCCCAGAATATGCCACCCCAAAATTTGCCACTTTAGAGTGGGGATTATTTTGAGCTGAAGGCAATTCAAAATCAACAGATGCAGAAAGAGTTATCTGCCCACATCTTATCTACCTAAAAGCAGGGCATATATTTTCCTTTAATGTTGTCCCTTAAAGTCCAAAGACTATTTCTTTGTTAAAAGGGTATATAAAGCCCTGGAGTCAAACTGCTTCTTTGAGTTTCACTTCTTTTCTGTGAACTTCTGTGCATGTAAATATTAATAAAAATTGTATGCTTTTTCTCCTGTTAATCTGTCTTTTCTTAGTTTAACTTGCAGGCCCCCAGTTACTGGACCTAAAAGGATAGCAGAAAAGTTTTTCTTCCCTGACAATTGCAAATACCATTTGTAGCCACTCCTCCTTTCAGCTCCCAGATTGCTAGCTGCCAGACTTATACTCCCAAGTGATTATTAGAGAAGGCACCTCTAAGGGACCAGGCAGTCCAAGAGGAAAGTACCTATAGATATTGACATCTGGCAGAAATATCATCAAAGGAAGTACTAAAATAGTGCTGAGAGAGCCTCCAGTCTAGATAGGAATAGGAGGACAGAGACCCATGAAGTATGCCTCACTGTGAGAAAAATGACCTGAGAGGTTACCTGCTGTATTTGAAAAAATGAAGAGAAGACTTGTTAGTTCTGTCAGAGAATTTGGGAATAATTAACAAAAAATTGGGTGTTTTTATTAGGAGAATCTTGGTGGCTTAGCTGAAAACAATATTTTATTGTCTAATAATGAAAACATTGAATAATGATTTAGCCATAATTAATGATCTATTTTGAAATGAAAGGAAAAGGGAATGTATCTTCTGTGGAGATTAGAGATCTGAGAGTCTTCCATCTGAGAGTTAAAAGGCAACATTAAAATGGAAAAGAAAATCAAGGAATAGCACTTAACATGCAATTTACAAATATGGTGGTAAATACTAGAAGTGGCTAAAAGAGTTGGAAATGATTGCTTCTGGAAAGGGAAAACTGGAAATTGAGTGTGCCAGAAGAGACAACTGTTGTTAAAATACTTATAGTATCATTAAAGGAAAAAGAGAGAGAGAATTGCAGTGCTCACCCATCCTCACAGATAATGCAGGGTTTATTTTTTATTTTTTATTTTTTATCAGCTTTGTTCATGGCCTCAGTGTGAGTGAAATGTTACATGTTCTTGAAAGATTAAAATTCAGGAAGAAGGCAGTAAGTTGTAGGGATAATTTAAGACAGTTCCCAGGAGCTAGAGAATGAAAGGTTTCATTTGATTTGAATATTAGAAGGCCAATCTGAGTTGGAGGTGGTGTGATTTAGATTTTCACTCCTGTGAGAGGATGTCTAAGCGACAGTAGCAGAAAGATCCAGTTTAGAATGCTGAGGCTGCCGTCTTCTAATCCAGCTCTCACTGGTACACCACTCTATCTTCTACATTTACAACCTTAGGGTGTTTGAGGACTTTCTAGTTTTTCCTTTTAGAATGCCAGCCCGTTTGCACTTAGGTACCAGCTTTTCCAGATATATGCATTCTGCTCAAGGGCTGACACAGTATTTGGTGCATAGATTGCAGTCAGAGGACATTCACAGAAAGTAATACTACATTAATTTCTTATAAACTTTTGTAATATTTGCTTACAAATTCCTTGCAAAATTTTTTGATCTATTTCCATAATATTAGCATTTTCATTAGAAAAACTTAGCATATTAATTATTTCATCTTTTTTTCTCATTAGTCATTAACACGTTGAGGTTTATATTTGTTCCTTACATATTTTTTGCTACAACAATTATTCACACTACTTTTTCATAGTCAATCTCTTTAAAAATTATTATTTTGCTTATTCCATAAGTATTTGTTGAGGACCTACATTGTGACAGGCCCTATGCCAGAGGCTGATGGCAGTGAACAAAACAGATGAGTTATAGCTTTACCAGTTGGTGAAAAAGAGAGTTTTTAAATAAAAAGTTATACAACTAGATATAATTATAAATCATGTTTACAGAGTTATGTGTGAGAATTAAAAGGGAGATTCTCTTATAAGTTCCCAGGTTCAGAATTCTGGTTCCAATCTTTCTTGCTTAGAAAATTTAATTTAAAAAGGCAAGTATGCAGACCGGCATTCTTCAATAAAAACGTAATAGTGTACCAGGAGGTAACAGACGCCCATTATCCACATAGCTTTTTAATCTTTTCTATATTAATTCTTCTATTTATAGCTACTCAGTATGTAAAATGCAGCTGCCTGTGTATTCCTCCTGCTTGTAAACAACACAATAAAGTCTCAGTTTAATTAAAATTCCATAAATTGGGTGAAAAATCCCAGCTCCTTTCCCTTTTCTTCTCCTATCAATAGGATTAGAATATTTCTCCATCCAACTTTGCCTTCAGATGCTTATCACAGGCATTCTTAGAACCACTAGCTAATGAGAGGTATCAGCAAGTCAGGGGGAGGGAGAAAAAGGCTGATTTTCCAATTATGAATGTACCGATTCATTAACACTGACTCGGACATTCATTTTAGATTCAGGTTGTCATGGACTTGCATTTAAACAATAGTGGCATGTGGATCTTTGCCATCTTTCCTCAATCTTGCATGGAGATGCCACTTAAAAAACAGCAGAAAGGGGAACTGAAAAGGAAGGAAATATCCATGGCCTAAGTCAAAATTATGTAAGTTTGCTAAAGAACGCTAATTTTTTTCACCTACTATTGGCCAATATCAAACTACACTAAAATAATGGCTTATTCTACAAACTTTAAATTGGACACTAAGAAATTCAAAGTACAGAGGTACTTTTTGAATCAGAAATGCGAAGTATCTTTTCCAAGGTTACAAGTTGCCTGAAGTCCTGGAAAAGTTAATGGCAGTATTAGTTAAAGCATCAAGTTACAATAGTTTAAATAATAACCTGTTATTCCCCAACTTTTATGAATATACTCAATCTTTTTATAAGATCACACCTCCTTAAAAATGTACCACCAAAAACATAGTAAATTTTTAATGGAAAAAAATAAGATTAATTAATCATTTGTGTCATTGTTCAAGTGACTATCTCAAATGAACTTTTTCTTTTTTTTTTTAGGTTAGAGGTTTTTATTTTTTTCCTATTTTATTTTATTTTATTTTATTATTATTATACGTTAAGTTTTAGGGTACATGTGCACAATGTGCAGGTTTGTTACGTATGTATACGTGTGCCATGTTGGTGTGCTGCACCCATTAACTCGTCATTTAGCATTAGGTATATCTCCAAATGCTATCCCTCCCCCCTCCCCCCAGGTTAGAGGTTTTTCTTTTTTTTTTTTTTTTTTTTTTTTTTTTTTTTTTTTTTTTTTTTTTATTGATCATTCTTGGGTGTTTCTCGCAGAGGGGGATTTGGCAGGGTCATAGGACAATAGTGGAGGGAAGGTCAGCAGATAAACAAGTGAACAAAGGTCTCTGGTTTTTCTAGGCAGAGGACCCTACGGCCTTCCGCAGTGTTTGTGTCCCTGCGTACTTGAGATTAGGGAGTGGTGATGACTCTTTTTTTTTTTTTTTTTTTTTTGAGACGGAGTCTCGCTCTGTCGCCCAGGCTGGAGTGCAGTGGCGTGATCTCGGCTCACTGCAAGCTCCGCCTCCCGGGTTCACGCCATGCTCCTGCCTCAGCCTCCCGAGTAGCTGGGACTACAGGCGCCCGCTACCACGCCCGGCTAATTTTTTGTATTTTTAGTAGAGACGGGGTTTCACCGTGTTAGCCAGGATGGTCTCGATCTCCTGACCTCGTGATCCGCCCGCCTCGGCCTCCCAAAGTGCTGGGATTACAGGCGTGAGCCACCGCGCCCGGCCGTGATGACTCTTAACGAGCATGCTGCCTTCAAGCATCTGTTTAACAAACCACATCTTGCACCGCCCTTAATCCATTGAACCCTGAGTGGACACAGCACATGTTTCAGAGAGCACAGGGTTGGGGGTAAGGTCACCGATCAACAGGATCCCAAGGCAGAAGAATTTTTCTTAGTACAGAACAAAATGAAAAGTCTCCCATATCTACTTCTTTCTACACAGACACGGCAACCATCCGATTTCTCAATCTTTTCCCCACCTTTCCCCCCTTTCTATTCCACAAAACCGCCATTGTCATCCCGGCCCGTTCTCAATGAGCTGTTGGGTACACCTCCCAGACGGGGTGGTGGCCGGGCAGAGGGGCTCCTCACTTCCCAGTAGGGGCGGCCAGGCAGAGGCGCCCCTCACGTCCCGGACGGGGCGGCTGGCCGGGCAGGGGGCTGACCCCCGTACCTCCCTCCCGGATGGGGCGGCTGGCTGGGCAGAGGGGCTCCTCACTTCCCAGTAGGGGCGGCCGGGCAGAGGCGCCCCTTACCTCCCGGACGGGGCGGCTGGCCGGGCAGGGGGCTGACCCCCCAACCTCCCTCCCGGACAGGGCGGCTGGCCGGGTGGGGGACTGACCCCCCCACCTCCCTCCCGGACGGGGCGGCTGGCCGGGCAGAGGGGCTCCTCACTTCCCAGTAGGGGCGGCCGGGCAGAGGCGCCCCTTACCTCCCGGACGGGGCGGCTGGCCGGGCAGGGGGCTGACCCCCCAACCTCCCTCCCGGACAGGGCGGCTGGCCGGGTGGGGGACTGACCCCCCCACCTCCCTCCCGGACGGGGCGGCTGGCCGGGCAGAGGGGCTCCTCACTTCCCAGTAGGGGCGGCCGGGCAGAGGCGCCCCTCACCTCCCGGACGGGGTGGCTGGCCGGGCAGGGGGCTGACCTCCCCCACCTCCCTCCCAGACGGGGCAGCTGGCCGGGTTGGGGGCTGACCCCCCCACCTCCCTCCCGGACAGGGCGGCTGGCCGGGCGGGGGGCTGACCCCCCCCACCTCCCTCCCGGACGGGGTGGCTGGCCAGGCAGAGGGGCTCCTCACTTCCCAGTAGGGGCGGCTGGGCAGAGGCGCCCCTCACCTCCCGGACGGGGCGGCTGGCCGGGCGGGGGGCTGAACCCCCGACCTCCCGGACGGGGTGGCTGCCGGGCGGAGACGCTCCTCACTTCCCAGACGGGGTGGCTGCCGGGCGGAGGGGCTCCTCACTTCCCAGACGGGGTGGCTGCTGGGCGGAGGGGCTCCCCACCTCTCAGACGGGGCGGTTGCCGAGCAGAGGGTCTCCTCACTTCTCAGACGGGGCGGCCGGGCAGAGACGCTCCTCACCTCCCAGACGGGTCGCGGCCAGGCAGAGGCGCTCCTCACATCCTAGACGGGGTGGCGGGGCAGAGGCGCTCCCCACATCTCAGATGATGGGCGGGCGGGCAGAGACGCTCCCCACATCTCAGACGATGGGCGGCCGGGCAGAGACGCTCCCCACTTCCCAGATGGGGTGGCGGCCGGGAAGAGGCGCTCCTCACTTCCTAGATGGGATGGTGGCCAGGCAGAGACGCTCCTCACTTTCCAGACTGGGCAGCCAGGCAGAGGGGCTCCTCACGTCCCAGACGATGGGCGGCCAGGCAGAGACGCTCCTCACTTCCCAGACGGGGTGGCGGCCGGGCAGAGGCTGCAATCTCGGCACTTTGGGAGGCCAAGGCAGGCGGCTGGGAGGTGGAGGTTGTAGCGAGCCGAGATCACGCCACTGCACTCCAGCCTGGGCACCATTGAGCACTGAGTGAACCAGACTCTGTCTGCAATCCCGGCACCTCGGGAGGCCGAGGCTGGCGGATCACTCGCGGTTAGGAGCCAGAGACCAGCCCGGCCAACACAGCGAAACCCCGTCTCCACCAAAAAAGTATGAAAACCAGTCAGGCGTGGCGGCGTGCACCTGCAATCCCAGGCACTTGGCAGGCTGAGGCAGGAGAATCAGGCAGGGAGGTTGCAGTGAGCCGAGATGACAGCAGTACAGTCCAGCTTCGGCTCGGCATCAGAGGGAGACCGTGGAAAGAGAGGGAGAGGGAGACCGTGGGGAGAGGGAGAGGGAGGGGGAGGGGGAGAGGGAGAGGGAGAGGGAGAGGGAGAGGGAGAGGGAGAGGGAGAGGGAGAGGGCCTGAACTTTTTCTTAACCTAAATTTGTTTTAGACTTAAGGGAATAATCCATACCCCTATTTTTCATGCACCAATGACATCATCCTCAGAAATTTTGTCTGTTTCCCAGCATCAATTGTATGTTTATTTTCTTCATATTTTTGTTTTAAGTGAATCACTTTATTTCAACTTCAGTAATAATATGACTGAAATCAAGGGGTTGGTTTGATAGCTGTATTTTTTTCAAATAAACATAAGCTTAGAGTCTAGAATTTATCATTGTTGTCAGCTGAAGTGCTAGTTCAAGGCAAGCTGCAACTTCTGTTGCTTTTAAGCTACTGAGAAGTAAGATTTTCTGGTTGTTTATTACAAAAATAACTTAGCCTATACTGACTAATGACTTATTACTTTTTATATTACTAGGATAGTTACATACTGCATTCAAATCCTCTCAAAATTTTTGGAGATGCAAATGCACAGAGTGAGAAATCAAAAAGCTTAGCAGAAAGCAGCAGCTAGGAGGTAGAGGTTAGTATTAACAGCTGCATGGTGCTGGGGGGAAAGAATTGACGTTTAAGTTCTGCCAAGTTAGAAAGTTCTGGTAAACATCTTAGACTTTCCACTAACACCTCAGAAAAGCCACACCTTACGACTAAGCCCAGGACTCTAAACTCCACTCTAGAATGTAAAGCAAGATGTAAATAAATCCACCATAACAAAACCTAAAACAAGCCTTCATTTGAGATTAATGTAATCCAGGCAGGTATGGTGGCGCATGACTGTAATCCCAGCACTTTGGGAGGCCAAGGCAGATGGATCACCTGAGGTCAGGAGTTTGAGACCAGCCTGACTGATATGGTGAAACCTCATCTCTACTACAAATACAAAAATCAGCCTGGCATGGTGGCAGGTGCCTGTAATCCCAGCTACTCAGGAGGTTGAGACAGGAGAATTGCTTGCACCTGGGAGGCAGAGGTTACAGTGAGCCAAGATCGTGCCACTGCACTCTAGCCTAGGCAACAGAGCGAGACTCTGTCTCAGAAAAAAAAAAAAAAAATTTAATGTAATCCATCAGTAACTTAACTGCTTGCCAGTACAAGCTCAACATTCTTTAGAGTAAGAATACAGAATCTCTATATGTTCATTCCCAAGTATCCAGGATAAAATAAAATATTATTAAACATTTGAATTAGCAGGAAAAAATAGGAAATATCAATTGAACACAAAACAACAGAAGTTCCACAGATGACTCAGATGTTAAGACTACGACAATGATTTTAAAACAGCTATTCTAAACATGCTAAAGGATTTCAAAGAAAAGATAGGCAGAATGGGTAAACAGAGAATCCCAGAAGAGAAATGGAAATCATAAGAGAAACAAATTGAAATTCTAGAACTGAAAATATAATATCAGAAAAGAAAAAAAAATTACTCAATGGAAATTAGAGATGATTAGACACTTCGAAAGAAAGTATCAGTCTCACTCACACTGAAGAACAGAGAATAAAAGATAGAAAATATTAACCAGACTGCAGAGAACTGTGGGACAATAGCAAGCTGACTGAAATATGTGTGATTGAAATACCAGAAAGAAAAGAGAGAGAGAGAGCATGAAGTAGAATATTTTTAAAAGAAATAGGATTTTTAGGCCGGGCGTGGTGGCTTACACCTATAATCCCAGCACTTTGGGAGGCCAAGGCGGGTGGATCACAAGGTCAGGAGATCGAGACCATCCTGGCTAACACGGTGAAACTTTGTCTCTACTAAAAATACAAAAAATTAGCCAGGTGTGGTGGCAGGCACCTGTAGTCCCAGCTACTTGGGAGGCTGAGGCAGGAGAATGGCATGAACCCGGGAGGCGGAGCTTGCAGTGAGCCGAGATTGCCGCACTGCACTCCAGCCTGGGCAACAGAGCGAGGACTGCGTCTCAAAAAAAAAAAAAAAAAAAAGAAATAGGATTTTAAAATTCCCTAATATGGTGGAAATATACCAAGATCCAATAGCTCAGAGGTTCCTAGAAAGATAAATTAAAAGAACACCACATGTAGACAAATCATAGTCCAACTGTGAAAACCTAAAGATAAAGGGAACAATTTTTAAAAGGCCAGATAAAAATACATATTATATAAAGGGTAATATATGATTTCTCATCAGAAAAATAAAGTTAAAACACAATAGGATATCTTTAAAGTGTAAAGATTTTTTTTTCTTGAGAAAAAATAGTGCTGAGGTGATTTATTTTCTTCATTTATTTACTGAAAGAAATGTTAAAGGAAGTTCTTGAGGTTAAAAGAAAATGATAACAAGTGGAAATTTGGATCTATATAAAGGACTAAAGAGCACCACAAGTGGTAAATATGTGGATACGTACAGATTACTTTTCTTTTTCTTCTTTTGAGACAGGATCTTGCTCTGTCACGCAGGCTGGAGTGCAGTGGCATGATCATGGCTCACTGCAGGCTCAACCTCCGGGGCTCAAGCCATCCTCCTATCTCAGTCTCCTGAGTAGCATGCCACCACACATAGCTAATTTTTTTTTTCTTTTGGTAGACATGGAGTCTTTAGATTTTGCCCAGACTGGTCTTGAGCTCTGAGCTCAAGTGATCCCTCTGCCTTGGCCTTCCAAAGTGTTGGGATTACAAGCATGAGCCACTGTGCCTGGCCCAGGTTACATTTTTTTTTCTCTTAATTTCTTTAAAAATAATTAAATTTTAAAGCCAAAATAATACAATGTATTGTGAAATTTAATAATAGTAAAATATGTAACAATAATAGCACAAAGTGGAGAGGGAAGTGAATATGTTTATATGAATTTTTTCTGTTTTTTTGATACAGAGTCATTCTGTCACCCAGGCTGGGGCATGCAGGGACATGATCTTGGCTCACTGCAACCTTCACCTCCTGGGTTCAATCAATCCTCCCATCTCAGCCTCCAAAGTAGGTGGGATTATAGGCACGCACCACCACGCCCAGATAATTTCTTTTGTATTTTTAGTAGAGACGGGGTTTAGCCAGGTATGGTGGCGCATGCCTGTAATCCCAGCTATTCGGCAGGCTGAGGCAGGAGAATCGCTTGAACCTGGGAGGCAGAGGTTGCAGTAAGCCGAGATCACACCACTGCACTCCAGCCTGGGTGACAGGGCGAGACTCCATCTCAAAAAACAAAAACAAAAAAAAAGAAGTTAAAACAAAGTACTAAAAGATACTCAATGAAGTAGAAGAATATAGAAAAGGAGGGACAAATAATAAAAACATATGGGATGAATGGGAAAAAAATAGCAAGATTTAAGCCCAAACATATCAACAATCTCATTAAATAAAAATGAACAAACATCCAATTATAAGACAGAGATTGTCAAGCTGGATACAAACAGAAAACCCAATTTAATGTTGTTTATAAGAGATGCATTTTAAATATAAAGACACTAATAATCTGAAAGTAAGAGAATGAAAAAATTATACCATGAAAATGCTAAACCCAAGAAAGCTAGTGTGACTATGTTAATACAAGAAAAACTAGGCTTCTAAATAAGGAATACTGCCAGCGGTAAAGAGGAATAATTTGTAATGATATATAGGTCAATTCAAGACATAACAATCCTGAATATGTATGCATCTTATAACAGAGTTTAAAACTATGTGAAGCAAAATATGCCAGAATATAAAGAAAAATAGACAAAATTACAATCATAGCTGGAGTTTTTAATACCCCCTTCTCAGTAATTGATAAAACAAGTAATAAAAAAAAATGGTAATACAACCGTCATTACCTAACTGACATTTATAGGGCAATATATACAGCTTCAGTAGTATGTATATTCTTTTCAAGTGTACTTGAAACACTGACCAAGACAGATCATATTTTCTCCTGTAAAAAAAAAATCAATAGATTTCAAATGTTAGATATTATACAGAGTACATTGTTTGACCACAATGAAATTAAATTTGAAATCAGTAACAAAAATATTTAGAGCATTCCTAAATATTTAGAAATAGGCAAAACATCTCTAATTAAATAACTAAAAGAAGTCACAAAGAAAATAGAAATTATCTAGAACTAAATGATAATAAGAACATAACATGACAAAATGTATAGGATACAGATAAAGCAGTGCTCAGAAAAACAATTTATAGCTTTAAATGTGTGTATTAGAAAAGGAGACAGGTTTAAAAGCAATGATCTAAGATTTTAATGGGAGATATCAAAAAAGAACCTCAAATTAAACACAAATTACATAGAAGAAAGAAATAGTATAAAGTAGAAATAAATAAAAAACAGACAAGCATGGGGAAAATTAACAAAGTCAATAGAATTTTGAAACAATGAACAAAATAAGCCACATCAATTCTGCTGAAAAGAAAAAAAATGAAAATACAAATTACCCGAATGAGAAATGAAAGAAGAAACACCACTTCAGATCCTATAGATATTAAAATAATACAATAAAAGAATACCATCAAGTGTTTTTATACCAATAAATTTGACAAGTTTTAAAGAAATAAACAAATTTTTTGAAAGTCACCAATTACCAACATTTACACAAGAAGAAACAGAAAATCTGAAGGGTCCTGTATTTATTTATTGAATATGTCATTAAAAAGCCTTCCTGCAGAGAAAATTTTGGCCCAGATGGCTGTACTAATAAACTCAACCATATATTTAAGGAATAAATAATACCAATTTTACACAAGTTATTTCCAAAAATAGAGGTTGATGGAACTTTTTCCAACTCATTTTATGGGGCCAGTAAATACTGATATCAAAACCTGACAAACACAATAGATGCAAAAATCCTTAGCAAAATATTAGCAAGTTCAATCTTAACAATATATTATAGAAAAGGCAATACAACATTGTCAAGAGGGTTAATCCCAAAAATGTAAGATTGGTTTAACACTTAAAAACCAATCAATGTAATTCACCACATTACTTAAATAAAAGAGAAAAATGATATAATCATTTCAGTAGATGCAGAAAAGCATTAGAAAAAATTCACCACCTTTCTTTTGATAACAGAGTCTTAGCAAAGTAGGACTAGAAGGGAACTTCCTCATTCTAATAATGTGTATCTAAAAAACCTATGGCTAATATTATGCTTACTAAAATACTGAATCCTTTCCCTGTATGTCTGGGAAAGGCTGTATGTTCTCATTATTAAAATAGATTATATGGGTTAGGTGTGGTGGCTCTTGCCTATAATCCCAGTACTTTAGGAAGCCAAGACAGGAGGATACCTTGAGCCCAGGACTTCAAGGCTGTAGTGAGCTAATTGTATATGTTTGTGCCACTGCACTCTATCCTGGGTGACAGAGTGAGACCCTGTCTCTCAAAATAAATAAATAAATAAATAAATAAAATAGATTGTAGATTTAAATGTAAATGTTAAAACCATAAAGCTTGTAAAAGAAAATATGAAATATCTATATAAAATTTGAGTTGCCAAAATTTCTTAGACAAGTCATCAAGAAAATTTTAAAAAGTGAAAACATATGTTATGCCTTGAGATAAAATATATACATTGCCTGCAAATCACTACTGAAAAGACAAAAATATTAAATAGGGAAAAACCTGGACAGTCACTTCCTAAAAAAAGATATGTATAGATGGCCAATAGGTAAAGAAAAAGATGCTTCACATCATCAGTCATCAGGTAAATGCAAATAAAAACCACAATTAGAAACTACCTCACATCCACTAGACTGTAAATCTTAAGAGACTGAGAGTAACAAGTGTTGGCGGGATGTTTTTATGGGTTGAATTGTGTCCCACCAAAAAAGACATGTTGAAGTCCTAACCCCCAGAACCTCAGAATGTGACCTTATTTGGAAATAAGGTCATTGCAGATGTAATTAGATGAAGTCATACTGGCGTAGGGTGGGCCCCTAATCCAATAAGACTGGTGTCCTTATAAGAAGGTCGTTGGCCGGGCGCGGTGTTTCACGCCTGTAATCCCAGCACTTTGGGAGGCTGAGGCGGGCGGATCACTAGGTCAGGAGTTTGATACCAGCCTGGCCAACATGGAAAAACCTTATCTCTACTAAAAATACAAAAATTAGCTGGGCATGGTGGCAGGCACCTGTAATCCCAGCTACTCGGGAGGCTGAGGCAGAAGAATCGCTTGAACCTGGGAGGCAGAGGCTGTAGTGAGCAGAGATTGTGCCACTGTACTCCAGACTGGGTGACAAAGCAAGACTCTGTCTCAAAAAATAAAATAAAATAAAATAAAATAAAATAAAATAAAATAAAATAAAATAAAGAAAAAGAAAAAAGAAGGTGGTCATTGATGACAGAGACAAAAGGAGAAATGTCACATTAAGATGGAGGCAGAGATTGGAGTGATGCATCTACAGCATCTGGGGTTACCAGGAGCTGAATGGGCAAGGAAGAGTCCTCTCCTGGAGGCTTCAGAGGGAGCATGGCATTGCCGCCATCTTGATTTTGGACTTCTAACCTCAAAAAATGTAAAATAATAAAATTCTGCTATTATAAGCCAGTCTGTGGTATGTTGTTACAGTAGCCCTAGGAAACAAATACAGGTGTGAAATAACTGAAGCTCTCCTCTATTGCTGGTGATATTTTAAAATAAGCATTTCTTGTTAAGTTAAACATACACTCACTAGATGGTGCAGCAATTCTGCTTGGGTATTTATTCAAGGAGAATGAGAACACTTGTCCACCAGAAGACTTGTATAAGAATGTTCATGACGACTTCAGTAATAATAATCATGAACTGGAGATAAGCAAAATGTCTTACCAACAGGAGAATGACTAGAAAATAATACCGTATTCATAATATTGAATTCTACTCAGACATAAAAAGAATGAACTACTCGTAAATGCAACAATATATATGAATCTCAAAAACATTATGTTGAGTAAACAAAGCCAGACACAATAGTGAACATATTGTATAATTCTGTTTAGCTGACTATTAGGGCTAGCAAAACTATCCTATTATGACAGAAATCAGAATAGTGGTCTCCTCTGTAGGTTCCCTCT
Source organism: Homo sapiens (assembly GCF_000001405.40). Classification (NCBI taxonomy): domain Eukaryota; kingdom Metazoa; phylum Chordata; class Mammalia; order Primates; family Hominidae; genus Homo; species Homo sapiens. Next base: position 64,407,191 of record NC_000001.11, on the reverse strand, counting down.
GCTTTACCTACAAAGGAGCTCGAGGAAACGTTTTGAGGTGATGAAAATATTCTTTATCATGATTGGGACGTTGGTTGTGTGGATGTATACATTTGTCAAAACACTGGGCATCACTTTTCAGCATGACTCATTTTGAGAAGATTCCAGATCACCTTCATCTCTTGGAATCCACATCTCCCATCTTCCCTTCTTATTTGTGGGACTTCAGCTTGCTCCCAATACATCCCTCTCTTCACTCTGCTGATGGCAAGGTGCTCACCTTTAACTAATCAGATGAGGTTAATACACAAGTTTCCCAGTTCCTCAAACTTCTGAGTGCCCTTAGAGCCTCCTCACGAGGCTTGAGGTGAAGGAAATCAACCTCTTTCCTTCCCCACAAAGGATTTGCAAAAGGGAGATGCATGACACACCAACTATTCTCTCCAAAGAATCCTCCCTCACTAGCCTTTTCCATATCAACTCTTCCATGCTCTCAGATTGTGTCCCTTAGCATGCCCTGTGTAAATGGGCTGGTGCCTTGCTCTGCGACAGCGGCGTCACCCTCAGGTACTTGGCATCTATCTGGTTGCTTTCAAAGTAAGACAGCAAAGTCCCATTTTAACATTCCCTTGCATAATTAATCTCTTTCCTCTGCTCATCTCTCTTAGATTGTTCCTGTTGGCTTTTGTCACTTTCAACCTTGTGTTCCAGTTATTGATGGACATATCTGTTTTCCCCCACTAGACTATTGGTTTCTTGAGAATAGGGTTCAAGTCTAATTTAATGTTGTATCTCTCACAGAACTGAATGGAGTTCTGGTACAGACTTGGGGCTTAATCCGTATCAAGGGAATGGACAGATAAATAATTAATTAGAACTGCTTCTTCAGGATTGATGACTTTGGGCAGGGCTTAGCCTGACTTTTTGTTAAGTACCGCGGGGTTTCCTGATTCCTTAGTCCATGTTGAAAACTCATTCATTCTTTTGTTATTCACTCAACAAATATTTTTTGAGAATTTATTTTATGACAAGTACTGGGTAAGTAACTGGAAATAAAACAGACATGGCCTCTCCCCTTTGGAGTTTAGAATTGAAGCTTCATGGTGTGAATTTGACATTGAGAGATGAATAAGCTTTGGCTAAGTGAGAAGGAAGAAGGCGAGTCAATCCATGAAGGGTAGTAGCTGGCAACTGCTCTTGACTCAGAGACAAGGGTCATGTGTGGATACACCCAGGGGAAGATAGAGACAGTATGTATAAATCAGCCAACCTGTAACAGGACAGTTTGGAAGAGCCTATGGTCCTGGCTTGAAGATGCATGTTCTTGTAGAGGATGGAGTGAGTCTAAGGAACAAACACAGGCTTGGGTGGACAAGAAGAGCTGTCTCTGAGGGTGTTTCTGGAATTTGGTTCCCTTCAGCCTGGGGAATTCATATTCCTTAAAAATATGATCTACAATGTACTCTAAGTCCTTTGTAGACACACTCATCCAGGTAGATGAAAATAAGCACTGAGATATCTTTCTGATGCCTGTGTGTGATAGTACCTGTCTCAATTGATAAATAACCTTGACAATTTTATAAGACATTTAGGTGTTCTTGTCTCATGATGTCACTAAATGAAGGTCTTATTATCTCCCTTCAACCCTCCCCACACACATACATGTGCTCACACACGTAGACATGCACACGCTTACATACACACATACACATGCACACACATGCTCTCCCCAAGAAGCTGAAGTTATTTGGCTGGTCTGAAGTCAGGTATTTACTTACCTTTCATTAAATTGATTGACAAGGAATTTGAAACGTGACCTTGGGGAAAGAATACGGGTTATCCCAACTGAACCTTCAACAAAATCATGCCAAATTTGCCTCAGGGAACAAAGGAGTTCTGCAAAATAGGCTAAGTCAGGCATATTTTCTCGACATCAGAATATCATGCACAATCATCTCAGCAGCAAAACTCAGAGTCACATGAAGAACCCAGTGTGTGTGGTCCAGAATATTAACAATACATTTTAATTTGAAGGCACTTCTGCCTGCAGGGCTCTGGGCACTTTAACAGAAAAATAACTAAAAACAAAAGAAGATCAAATAAAATGACAGACTGATCATAATCTCTGGTCTACAAGCAGAGAGCTGCCATGACTCTTAATTACACGTAAATAAGCAAGGTTTATGGAGTGTTGTGTAGCAGATAAAAATGTTAAAAATATAGGAAGAACAAGTTTTCACCAACTCTGTTGTTTGTTGGTGAAAATGACTCCAGGAAACCCACTAACTAATGCAGTATAACCTGCAAACCATAGGGAACTCAAAAGAACCCAAACAATAACATTGAGGCTTAGCACTCATGGTGCACTCCTTCTGTGGCTAGGTTGACCTTTTATGTGGCAAGAGAAATCCTTCCAATATTTTGTGGTCCTGGCAACCTCCAGTAGTCAATGTTACAATATAGCTGTGGGCAAAGCCACAGGTGAAGGTCAAGGACAGGGCTAGGACAAGCATTTACAGAGAGGCTGGAAAGTATGCATGGGGAGAAGGAAGCAAGAGGGCAGATGAGGGTAGGTGGAGAGGAATGGGAGTGTAATGTTTGGAGCAGGAAGCAGAGTTCTTCCAAAACATGATGCAGGATTGAAGTCTTACAGCCAGAAAGAAAATAGTTTCTTGGAAATAATGGCATCCACCAAAAGGCCAAGGCAAAGAACCCAATGGAGATAATAAGTCATGAAGGTTGAAGCCAAGGGGGTGAGTGAAGCCATGAGGAGTAGATTCCAGGAACAGGGCTGGGTTGGAGCTGTCTTAGGAGACCCAGTGGAGGAACAGGCAGGGAGGTCTGTGCTTGCTCACAGTGGTCAGACAAAACACTTTGTGGCAAGGAACATCTCTTTCAGACGGGGACAGAGATATTTCAGCTGACAAATGAGAAATTAACACCAGATGGCTCCAAAAGACATGCTTCTCACATCTTGCTGATTTTTTCTACCTTAGGAGGAAGAAAGTTGAGCAGTAAGGTAATGTCTACCCTCTAAACAAGGCTTCAAGTCTGTTTCATGAAGCACATCTTGTAATATGCTCAACAACAAGTATTCTGTGGTCAAATTCGTTTTAAAAATGCAACATACACAACTTTGTAATTTGCAATGCACATTAGTATATCAAAAGTTCTGAGAAGTCCTGCAGTAAAGAGACCTATTTAACTTGGTTAACCTTGTTTAATGCAGTGTTTCTCAAAATTGCTTGACCACAGAACATTCTTCTTCCATAACACCTGTTAATTTCCTGAGGGATCCTTGTTCTGAGCAGCACACTTTGAGAAATGTTTTTCTAGAACTTGTATTCTTTTTTTTTTTCTAGAACTTTTGGTCCTGTGGACTCAAGGCAAACCCTATCTTGATCCAACTCCAGGGAAATCACAGGAAACACTTGCTTTTGTTGTATAAATGAATTATCCTCAGGTGCTCACACAACACTTCCAGAGAAAGCCCTTGTTACTTATTTATTTAAAATAACTATTTACAAAAAAGGATTTGAAGTGGCGTGTGTGTGTGGTGAGTTGTCATCTGAGTCTGGAGAGTGGTGGTCAGCACAGTCATTCAGTTTCATTGATTTATGTTTCAGAAGCAGTAATGACATGAGTGGTCATGATAAACCAGGCAGTGGGTGCCACATACTCGGAGGATGAGATACATCATTCTCTAACTCTGGCCATTAATCACAGGGGAATGTGGCAATGTGGTGGTTGCTTATACAAAGTGAACAGAATTTCTGATTCCAAATTCGTCAAACTCAGCCTCTGAAAATGGTGATCAAGTTTTTGGAGTCTGACCATCCCTGCATTGCAAATAACTGCCACACATGTCTGCAATTGCTGTGACTGTAGGGAACCAGCAGTTCCTAAAGCTTTTTGTGTGCTGGGAATCGGCCTCAACACACAATTTTTTAAGTAAAGAAAAGCAGTCAATATGGGATTTTGGGCAAGGCTTCAGGTCCCTTGGCATATGTGACACTATCCTGCAGACTTTTCAATAGCAGCATTCTGTGTTTGAAGCAGATTACTCAGGTTGCTGTTGAGGGCCACATGCCCCCTCCATCTTCTGCCTCCGCAGGGAGAAGCTCTACTTAGTGGACAAAGGGTATTTTACATGACCCACCTCTTGCTCAGAATGAGGGTGCCTTTGCGTGCGGGACTGAGGGACTGATGATGAGTGTGTCTTTTCCAGAGTGGGCCAGGGTGACCTGAGGGTGGCTCATGAGCTGGCTCAGGCATAAGCCTTGGCCCTATGACAGAACAATGCCTGGTTACTTGTAACTTCCTTTCTGGAGCCTTTACTCCCAATTATATTTAGATAGAAGTGGGTTTTTTTTTTTTTTTTTGTAATGCGACTGAAGGTTGTAAAGGGGAGAGACAGTCTTTCAGCATAAAAACAAGGGTAGCTATGCTAGCAAGAGGTTAGCCTCAGGATAAGAGGCCTTTACAGATTTTTTGGAAAAGATATTTCAAATAAGACCAAGTCATTATGAGGAATACTTTCCTGCCATTTCTTCCAGATCTCCTCAGGTCCTCACCTTCATTTTTCTATATTAATCAGCAGCTCCTGAAAGAGGAGATGACTCAGAGGCCGAACACCAGAGGAGGCAGGATTTTGGTGGAAAGGGGCTGGAATTAAAAGGACTGAGAAACTACGGAAGGTCTAAAGTAGAGAGGCTGAAGGATAGGGTGGATGGAGAAGGCCCCATGCTGACTGAAGGTGCTGTGATCTAAGAACACAGATGTGATCAAGCAGCTCAAAGACATGGGGCAAAGAGGTTTCCTGGTGTTGAAACTGCTTGAGAAAGTGTTGAAAGGTAAATTGAGATCTATGGTAGTGAAACAGTCAGGGCAAGA